>NC_000002.12:204156284-204459314 GCF_000001405.40 Homo sapiens | reverse complement strand
GGCCACCTCTCTACGACTCCCCTTTCTTCTACTTCTATTTCAAGGCCCGTCTCCAACTTGTGTATTTTGCTTAATAATATTGTTTACACTGACCTTCTTTGCCCTGCCCTCTGCCTCTGGAGTCTGAACCTTAGAGATGCATCAACTGAGCTTTCTGGTCTCCTGGCTTCAAATAGGGCTCAGCCAGTGGGAGATATCTATGGGAGAGGAGAGGGTGGGAGGGAAGTCAGGGTCAGGGTGTTTACTCCCCTGTCTCCCTCCCTATTGGATCCCTACAGGCTGGCTGCATCCTTCTACCAAAAGCTAAAACTCCTTCCTCTGGCTCCTTTTAGGCCTCAGGGTGGTAGACGGTCCCCACAGTTGGTAGCTTCACCATCTGTTGTTCGTTTCCTTAACTTTGCCCACATTTTTATAAGTCATTTCTTCATTAATCTCCCTATCATTCCTGCCTCTTGAGTGTGCCATATCTTTCTTGCCAGGACCTGACTGATATGCTCCCTTTTTGAATCCTGCCTGCTGGCCCTTCACTGATGGCCAGTTGAAGTGACCACTGCTTCCTTTGTTTTTCCTCTTGTCCTGTGCTTTCTTGAATCATTGCTCTGATCACACTGTGCTGCCCACATTTGTTCCCATGTTCATCTCTTCTGTGGCCTGGAAGCTCCTTGAGAGTAGATATTGCCTATTCCCCAATCCTAGGGTTTGTAGCAAGGTACTCACAGGCTGAATGAATGAATGAATAACTGAGAATACTGCCCTCCATTGAAGTCAGTATACTAGGCATTCGTATTAGAGTGCTTGGAATGTCACCATATTTTGGAGGGTTTTAATACCTGCTTCATCGTGGCCAACTCTAGCCAAGGGTTTGATCATTCAAGCTGATCAGATTTGAAAAGCCAATTATTTCTCTCACCTTGACTCTAGTTAATTAGGTCAAACTTACCAAACTCAAGAGATGTGGATTTCTATATTAAAATAATCCCATATTAATAGTTGATGATAAAAACTATAATTGCCAGCCAGGCGTGGTGGCCCACACCTGCAATCCAAGCACTTTGGGAGGCCGAGGCGGGCGGATCAAGACCATCCTGGCCAACAGAGTGAAACCCTGTCTCTACTAAAAATACAAAAATTAGCTGGGCGTGGTGGCATGCGCCTGTAGTCCCAGCTACTCGGGAGGCTGAGGCAGGAGAATCGCTTGAACCAGGGAGGCGGAGGTTGCAGTGATCTGAGATCGCGCCACTGCCCTCTAGCCTGGTGACAGAGTGAGACTCCGTCTCAAAACAACAACAACAACAACAACCAAAAAAAAAAAAAAATATATATATATATATATATAATTGCCAAGTGGACAGAAGTTAGTGTTCTTTTTCTGATTTTTATTACCAAAAGTTTCAAACATAAAAAACTTTGAAAGAACAAAACATCCTTATACTCACCACTTAGATTTACTATTAATATTTTTTATAGTTGTATCACTTAACCATCTACATTTATATGTATATACGCATATATATGACTTCTTTGCTGAATCTTTTGAAAATAAATTACAAACATCATCAACACTTCACCCCTGCATAGTTCTGCATGCATTTCTTAAAACTAGGCCAATTCTTCTTCCCTGGTATCATGCCTAAGAGTGCTAGCAATAATTCCCTGATAGCATCTAATATGCATTGATAATATGTTTGTCAGGCAGACTTGGGGAGCAGGGGCACCTTTGGCCCACAGAGCTACTCTGGTTTAATCTCAATTTGATCTGGCATGCAGTTTTTTCTAAATGTCAATATCCATCAGCTGCAACTGTTGAGATCAACAAATTTATGCACATACCTGAGAGTTCCTTCTGGGTTTCTCTCTGGAAGCACATTCTCAGAGATGAGGCCAGGACTGCTGCAGACAGCAAGTAGCAGGGGCTCAGCAAGAAAGAGCTTTAGTTTTTTCTCCTTTTGTTTCTTTACCTTGTTTCCTAATCCCAGCCCAGAATATCCTTTTTTCTTTTCCTGGTCCAAAATTTATTCTATATGTTTTTCTTTAAAAAAGGAGATAGAAGCCAAGTGCAGTGGCTCACAGCTATAATCCCAACACTTTGGAAGGTTGAGGTGGAAGGGTTGCTTGAAGCCAGGAGTTCAAAACCAGCTTCGGAAACATAGTGAGATTTCATCTCTACGAGAAAAAAAAACTTCGTTGGGCATGGTAGCAAACACCTCTAGTCCTAGCTGCTCAGGAGTCTGAAGTGGGAGGATCGTTTGAGCCCAGGAGTTTGAGGCTGCAATGAACTATGATAGCATTGCGGCACTCCAGCCTGGGCAACAGAGTGAGATCCTGTCTCTTGGGGAAGAAAAGGGGAGAGAAAAATGTAGATGTAAAAGATGACCCCAATGTGGAACTTGTAAAATAATCTAAGCAACTCCATGACTCTTGCTGGGGAGCATCATGGCCACCTTCTCTTGTTGGCACCTAGGTTCCCACAGGAGTGCTGGGTCATGTGCTTTATTTGTTGTCTCAGGTAAAAAAGCTTTAGGTCCCTCATTTGTAATTTACTGAAAAGGAAGTGAAACTGCTGAACAAACTTAAATGGCTTTGATTGGTGTTTTTTCCTCCCCTATGGATCAGTTGACTAACTATTAAAAATAAAGTTTCTTCATCCTTTTGGTTGAGATTAACTATATGGAAGCAGACCTAAGGTTTAGGTGTGAGGACTACTTGGTGAATGCTGAATTTGCACAAAGGAAAGTGGATGGTCTTCAAAGATCTCCATTATGTTAGGGGAAAGTGGTGTGCCAAGCACACTGTCAGAGGCCATCTCCCTTTCCCTTCTCCCTTTACCGACAAGGGATTGGTGGCAGGTGGGGAAAGCCGAGGTATTTCTCTGCTTCTTGTGGGATCTCCAGCTTTGGGCCATCTCCACCATGACTCCAGTTCCTGCAGGAAATCCATTCCCTCCATCGCCCTAGTTCCCATCAAACACCTCCAGTAACACCACCTTCTCCCAATTTATCTTCAGCCTCCTGTTACTATCATCTCAGAGGTGCCTTACCACCCTGTTTGTCTTCCCAGTTCTCTCACACTGTGTAGCCAATTTCCTTTATTAAATACCCCCTGTAAAGATGTAGAATGGTTTCCATTTCCTTGGCTGGACCTTGACTTCTGGATCTCCCCATAGGTTTGCCATGAGATGAATTAAAACATGAATTAATCCAAGTTCCTATTTCAAGGAGCTCACAATTGAGTGGAGGAAAGAGATCAGTATATAATTTTAATAAATGATGATAAATGGTATGGGGACACAGAAAGTGGGTTCAAAATGCCTTCACAGGTGTTTTCTTGTTTATTGGCTAGCTGTGATGGTGTGGCATAGGGACCTTGGCAATTATAGTTTTTATCATCAACTATTAATATGAGATTGCTATAAGAATGGTCAGGACAAATTCAAAATAAATATGAATTTTCTATGTTATTAAGTGCCCCCTACGTGGAAGGCACTGGGTCTAGGCACAAGGGAAGAAAAAATGAATTAATTTACGTTCCTATTTCAAGGAGCTCACAACTGAGTGGAGGAAAGAGATCAGTACATAATTTTAATAAATGATGATAAATGATATGGGGACACAGAAAGTGGGTTCAAAATGCCTTCAAGGTTGTTTTGTTTATTGGCTAGCTTTGGTGGTATGGCATAGGGAGATGGGCACTCACTAACAGCCATGAGAATTAAGCTCTAGGCTGGCTCTGCCACCACTAACTTTTTGTATGGCCTTGGGCAATTCATTAAGCCTTTCTGGGCTTCCATTTCCTATTTATAAGAGATAATATCTGAGTTTCCTTTTGGATTGCAAATGTTATTACCATGACCTTGTAATCACTCATTGAACAATTCTGAGAGCCCACTATGTGCTGGGCACTTATTTTGAAATTCCTTCCAAATAGTATGACTGAAGCCGGACTTGTCTTTATTTAACCCAGGAGTCCTGCCTCTCCAATCCACTGCATAGCACAGGAAAACATGGACACACATGTGCACACACACACACACACACACACACTTAAATACACTTTATCTCTGCTACCCACCACCTCTATGTCCTGGACATCCCACAGACCTGTTGAAGGGATGCATGGTTAGCAACCTAGAACACCCAGCACGGCACACATCACTGTCTGAGAAGAATGAGAAGGTGGGCCCCGCAGCTATGGGCTCTGCACACCCTGGTGGGATGCATCTAGCTCGAACAAGGACAGGTCTCCCTGGTTGAGTTCTTCAGAGACACCCCCACGATGCATATCATAGCCCTTGTGCGATGGCTCCATTTCAGTGGGCACAAAGCAGCTACTTTATGGGGGAGCTAGCAAAAAAAATCAATCATTTCCATATGTTTTCCAAGTATATTCTCTCAACCAAACATGTCAGACACCTTCCCACTGATATGCTTTTCCAGTTATTACATCATCTGCAAAGTAAATATCTTAATCAGTTAAACTTATTGCAATTGAATATTTAATTCCTGCCACTGTACAATTTAAATAATCTCTTCCAAATAATTTGCTTATGGTCATCAGGCTTACATAAGGCCCTCACAGAATGTGTCTCTGTCAAAGCACAACAACTTCTTTTGCTGATGGCAGGCAGACCATATGTAGAGGGGCATTTCCAGCCCTATCCCAGCATAATATCATAGGTGCTGGAGGTACAGTGGTCAACAGACAAGCAGGCATTTCTTTATGGCAATGTAATGAAAGAGAAGAAAATCTAGAGCGGAGGAAAACACAGTGATTTGATGTATTTTAAGGTGGGCCTTAAAAGAAAGTAAATTTGCCATATTATTCTCAAGAGAGTTATGATTTAAAATGTAGTATTTAAAACAGACTTGCAAATAGAGGGAAAAAAATTCTGCCCCACCTCTGCTGAGTGGTTGACGAAAAGCAGGTTTAAGATCTAGCAGCAAATTGAACTTTAGAAATGATCAGCTGAAGCCCTGTGAAGTCCAGCACCTTTGCTCGTGTCTTCTGTCAGAGAAGGGAATTGTGTGCACTTTATATGGCAAACCAGAGTCTCTTCCTTTTGGTGCAGAGAGTGGGTTTCGCCTCATAGGGAGCTTTTGCTATTCTTTCCTCTGCATTCTCCTAAGGCTTGTGCTCAGAATGGGAGGGCCTCCCCCGGCCTCCCGGTCCCCTTTTCCCACAGCCCTAGATTCTGTGTCCCTTACTTCCTGACAGTGATCAGCCACTAGGTTTCTTGTGTGTCTTTTGTGAAGGCAGGAAACACAGAGGAGGTGCCTTGGAGACGGAGGGCTGCTTTCCCAGTGGCACTGCCTCTGCTCCACCCCTCCTGGCCCCATCTTAGGCACTCTGCCAAGGGCACCGGGGCAGCCGTGTGACTGAACGTGGTCCTCAGACACACAAGAATATCCCTGTTCCCACCCTGGCTACACCAGTATCAGCCTGCTAGAGCCAGTTCTGTTCCCTTAAAACTAGATGTGGAGTCACAAGGGCTCACTGGATGCAGAGATTCTGCAGAATCCACATTTAGACATTTACGACATGCCAGGCACACAAAAAAAGCCAGGATTGCATGCTTCACACTATCTTGTTTAAACTAGTGCTCCCAGCCAAGAGTCTCACAAAAATCGTCAGCTTTTAATTGCTTTGTTTTGCTCTTAGCCATGGTCTCAACTCAAATAATGGAAGTAGGAAGGTATCTGTTAAAAAAATTAGTTTTGCTTGATATAACAGAAACACCCCAGTAATAGTGACTTACACATATAGAAGTTTAACTTTTGCTCACATAAAAAAAAGTTGACATTAACTCAGGCTCTTTGTAGTTCATCTCCCCATTATTTATAGAGTGTGGAATTAAACCAGCTTTCAAGCTTTTTGGTCTCCGGATCCCTTTACCCCCTCAAAAGTCATTAAGGCCTGCAAAGAGCTATTGTTTATGTAAGTTACTATAGTAAAAATTAAAACCGAGAAATTTTTTTACATATTTTCATTTTAAAATACAAATAATAAACCTACTGCATGTTAGCAATAACACGGATTTGTGAAAAATAATTATGTTTTCTAAGACAAAAAAATTAGTGGGAAGAATAACCTTTTTACATTTTTATAAATCCCTATCTGGCTTAATAGAAGACATTTTGAATTTCATATACGCCACTGTATGCAATCTGTTGCAATATATTCATAGTTTTGGTTGAAATTTATGAAGAAAATTCTAGACTTGAAATAGATATATATTTGGAAAAGGGAGGATTCTGTGGGCCTCCTGAGCAAGGCTTTTGTTCTCTGTATCCTCAGCCTATACTTTGAGAATTGCTGTCTTAAATCCCATAGTCTAAAATAGCTGCTGGAGCTCCAGCCATTATATTCATATCCAAGGTATCACGATAGAGGAAAGACTGAAGGAAGAATTGGTACTCTTCGTTTAAAGAGAATTCCTGGAAGGCACACACACAGCATTCCTGCTTACATCTCTGTGGTCAGGGCTTTCACATGGCAACATCAAGCCACAAGGGAAATGTTTTAGTGGGGCAGTGATGTGTTCAGCTAAAACTTTCTTATAAAGAAAGGGAGAACGGCTACTGAGAAGCAATTAGTAGTCTCTGCCACAGGAAGCGCGAGTTAAAAGCATTCCAATGACCATACACTTCATCTGTCGTTTCCATGGCTGCAGATGGTCAAAACACCACAGAGTCCTGAGGAGTTCCCTGGGAAGAAATTATTGTTTACTTTGCCAAATGATTCATCTGTGGTGTTCAAGTGGATTTTAAAGTGTCTACGAGGGGCAGGGTGTGGGATGGGAGTTTAAGGGGCAGGATATGGGGAAAAAGGCAGCAAGATCTGGGCTGATCAGAAGTCCCTCCAAAGAAGTACTGACCAGAACCATGTTGTGAAATGGAAATGAAAAGTCCCAAGAAAAGAAAGGCTCTCCTGGCAAGATGTCACTGCAGCTATACAGACATTCCTCTGTTTCGAGAGACTGACTGACACTCAAAGAATAGCTGTCAAGGACAAAATTTATTGGAAAAAAAGGAAAATGTTTTCTCTCTAACAAGAAGTAAACACCACAGGATTTTCCAGTTAATAAGAAAGTGTTAAGAAACGAACATAACATACTTTCACTCAGCGTTTGCTTTGTGCCGCCAAGATTCTATGCACTTTACATGTATTATTGACTCTTTTGATCCTCACGGCAAACCTAAGGGGAAGATACTATTAGTATCCAATTTTTCTAATAAGAAAATCGAAGCAGAGGGAAGTTAAGTGACCTGTCTGAGATCACCCAGTTGGGAAGGTTGTATTTGGCTCTATAGTCTATATTCTGAAACTACTAAGCTACACTCACTTATATTTTGAAAAGGAGCTTGGAGCCAAGGTTGAAGCCTGAGGAAGTCCATTGGATGAGATAAAACTTTATCACAACATAATTTAGTACTCTTGAAATTTACTGTTAGGCCCTATATTACCTGTAACTGGATATTATAGTTTGTTTGCATGTGCCTTTCAATTTTCCCTGTGTTTAAAAGGAGATATTAGCATTACTAAAAAGTGATATCTCTATATAAGGATTGGTAGTGCATTAAGGAAATCCTCATGTACTTTCTCCTCATTTCTTTCAGTAACCCAAACCTAACGAGGCATACTTCATCACAGCCTGTGGCTTCATATTCACCTTCCATCACTAACCCAGCGGCAGCTACCTAAAACGTGAGCGTGGTGCCTAGCAGGAAGTAATCAGCCTTGTGGGATGTATTTTAATCATCCAAACCTTTCAGCAGAAGGTGCAAATTGGTAGCCTGCGGCTAAAATTTTGCTTATGGACATGCTTTATTTGGTTCATAAAATATAATTTTAGAAAACAGATTTTTTCCTGGCCAAAATTCAAAATCTAGATTTTACCTAAGAATCCAGAGGAGATACTTTGCCTTTTAGATAGGCCATGTTCTCCCTGGTTCAGCTTGGCCCCCAATACTCCAACCTCTTAAAAGTGGCTTTTTCCTGCAAGTATGTTACCTGTCTGTCCCCTGAAGGCATTTGAGTTTGCAGCCTTTTCTTTACAGGTATTAAACTTCAAATCATACTAAACCCTATATTTTATTGTAGCAGAACCTGTTCTGGAATTACTCCACCTGCAATTTCCACTTGAACTAATTATGCTGTCACAGCTTATCCACATGGTGGGTTCTGCAATCAATGGAAACACAGAAGTTATGATTCCAAACTGCATGTGGGTAGATAAATGATGGGCTGAAAATGATGGGATAGGATAGAACCACAAAATAATGGGATAAATATCTGGAGTTTGATAATACAGATCCTGGCACATAGTTCTAGAGTTTAAACAGTTATTGCTGAAGGTTTGATGGTGCACAGGCAGAGGTTTACTAAAGCTGCTAGGACTTCTGTTTTGCCTTGACTATCACCATCATCACTGATAACAGTGACAATCAGTCATTGATGCCATTCACCAAGTATTTCTGGCTATGTGACTTCAGGTATATAAGAGGATTACATTTCCTGCCCCTTGAAGTTTGGGTGGGGGCATGAGACTAGTTCTGTGGAATGAGGTGTGAGCAGAGCTGATATGTGTCCCTTTGGGCCAGATCATGTAACTGGCAGGCTAAGACCTTCCAGAGTAATCTTTCCTCTGACATGGTGACCAGCAGGTTTTGAGATGGTGGCAGCTCTAGTAGCCTAGGTCCCTGAGCCACTACACTGGGCAGATGCTTCTGCAAAACCGTGAGAGACGTCGCATGAACAAGAAACAAAATTGTTATTATAACCCACTAAGATATTTGTTTTCTCTTTTTAGCAGCAGCATAACCTATCCAATCCTGATTAAAACAGTCATCAAATGTTCACTAACAAGTGCATACTAAGTTAAGATTTCTAAAAATCTGAATTCAGTGACTTGGGCTATCACTAATGTTGAAATGAAAATCCTTCTTTGGGCCTTGTGTTTCTGTGATTCACTGATTCTAGGTCCATTTTCTGAAACCTCCGGTCACCCGTGCACTCTCCTCTAGCTGTTTCAGCCTTTATCCTTTGCCACTGAGCTTGTCAATAATAGAGCTTTTCTTCTTGCTTGGGGAAAGACATCCATCAAGCATCAAGAGACAGAGTCACTCTGAAAGCAAATGTGCAGGGTCTTTCCCAGAGCTACATTTTGCAGCAGGATTATACTCTCAGCCCACAGACAATAAAAACCATTTGTATCTCAGCTCTGCGGCAGCTTGGCACAATCTTTCCTATCAGAACTTGTGTGTGTCTGATGGTAACAGAGCTAAGGAAAAGCCCAGGTCTTACTGCTCTTTTTAAAGACCAGGTCCTGATCAATCCAGTCAGCAGTATAATCCATTTCTTACAGGTTTCTTTCTGCGTCTGTGTATTTTAACATTGCATCCGTAATTAAATTTACTTTCTGAACTAGGGATGTATTTTCTTGTTAATGCTATCAACATTTAAAAAATAAATCTCTTTTAAGTTTATTGTTTCAAAATGCAAGAAGTGTCCCTCAGGACCCACCTACTGGGAAGCAGATGATCTCATTTGTCAGTGGAAAATGCCTGTCTGGATGGTAAAAACTTTTCTTGGTCCTTATTTTAGACCTTTTTGGTCTGAAAAATGTAAGTTTGGGATGGTCATTCATGGGTTTAATATATTGCTGGAGAAGTTGGTGTTCTGGTTAGCTCTTTCTTCATGCTGAGCTTTTAAATATGATATTTTAAAGAATTTCAGTAAATCAAGTGTTGTTAAGTAGGCGGGACTGTCAAGTTTTAAGTTTCAAAATCCATTTACTTAATCAGTGAAAAAGTT
Source organism: Homo sapiens (assembly GCF_000001405.40). Taxonomy (NCBI): domain Eukaryota; kingdom Metazoa; phylum Chordata; class Mammalia; order Primates; family Hominidae; genus Homo; species Homo sapiens. The sequence goes on along the minus strand of NC_000002.12, from coordinate 204,449,504 downwards.
ATTGAACACTTGGCTCAATAAATGACTTCTTCAACAGGAAAGACCATGTCTTATTTACCTTTTACCTCTACCACCTAGCCCAATGCCTATATTGGGGTGCCCAACATGTGTTTTCACAGTTGCTAGTCAAAGTACTATGCTAATGCACCCCGGAAAATACAAGAAAGTCCTCACACTTTATGACCTAATAGTCTGGTGGTTTAGATAAAATAAATGTGCAGTTAACTATACTCTGTGGCAGTGAAGAAAACATTATTTGCTGAGAAGTGTGATGGAAAAGGATGTTCGATGGGTCACACAAATAATGCAGGAATTTAGAGTCCCTGGGTTTTACCGAGTCTCCACTGACTAGCAGTGCAGCTGTGGGAGAATCTCTGGGTTTCTGGGACTCCAACTGTTAAATGAAGGAGTTGACAAAACAATTAGAAACTTTTTGAAATTATAGCACTTGAACACATTTTTATAAATTTCAAACAATGCAGGTAGAGCAAAAGTTCCTGACAGCTTTAGCTGTATTCTGTAAGTTCTGAGTATGTTTGTTTTCATTTTTATTTATCTCAAAGTATTTTCTAACTTCCCTTGTGATCATTTTTTCTTTGACTCACTGGTCATTGGGAGTATGTTATTTAATTTCCATATATTTCTGAATTTGCCAAATTTTCTTTTTTATTTATTTTTTGAGGCAGGGTCTCACTCTGACTCTCAGGCTGGGGGGGGGCAGTGGTGTGATCACATCTCACTGCAGCTTCAACCTCCCCAGCTCAAGTGATCCTCCTTCCTCAGCCTCCCAAGTAACTGGGACTACAGGCATGTGCCAACATGCCCAGGTAATTTTTTTCCTTTTAGACACAGGGTCTTGCTATCTTGCCCAGGCTGATCTCAAACACCTGGGGTGAAGCAATCCTCCTGCCTTGGCTTCCCAAAGTGTTGAGATTACAGGTATAAGCTACTGCTCCCAGCCTGTTTCTTTCTAATTTTATTTCTTTGTGCTTGAGGAACATACTTTGTATTATTTAAATCCTTTTAAATTTACTGAGATTTGTTTTATGGCTTAACATATGGTCTATCCTAGAGAATGTTCCGTGTGTGCTTGAGAAAAATATTTATTCTTCTGTAGTTAGGAGTTTTCTATAAATGTCTAGTTGGTTTATAGTATTGTTCAAGTGTTCTATTTCCGTGCTTATCTTCTGTCTAGTTGCACTATCCATTATTGGAAGAGGAATATTGAAGTCTCCAATTACCATTATTTAATTGTGTATTTCACCCTTCAATTCTGTCAGGTTTTGCTTCACATATTTTGCAGCTCTGTTATAAGTATATACACTTTCATTATTATATATTCTTGCAGAGTGACCCTTTTATCACTATCAAATATCTTTTTTGTCTCTAGTAACAATTTTTTGTCTTCGAGTCTAGTTTGTCTGATATTAGTATAGTCACCCCAGTTCTCTTTTGGCTACTGTTGTATGATATATTTTTGTATTTATTTGCTTTCGATCTTCTGTGTCTTTGAATCCAAAGTACTTCTCTAATAGTACATAGTTGAATCATGTGTTTAAAAATTCATTCTACCAATCATTGTCTTTTGATTGTAATGTTTATTTCATTTACATTTACTGTAAGTAGTAAACATAGGATTTATACTTGATATTATCTAATTATTTTCTGTGTATCTCATGCTTTCTGTTCCTCTATTCTTCCATCATTGCATTCTTTTGTGTTAAATAATTTTCTATATACCATTTTTTTATCATTCCCTTTACTATATATGTTTGGGTTATTTTCTTAATGGTTGCCCTGGGATTACAATTAATATCTTAATTTAAAAGTGTCTGGTTTGGATTAATACAACTTGATTTTAACAGTATATAAAACCCTTGTTTCTAGGGATGTGAAGGACCTCTTCAAGGAGAACTACAAACCACTGCTTGAGGAAATAAGAGAGGACACAAACAAGTGGAAAAACATTCCATGCTCATGGATAGGAAAAATCAATATTGTGAAAATGGCCAAACTGCCCAAAGTAATTTATAGATTCAGTGCTATCCCCATCAAGCTGCCATTGACTTTCTTCACAGAATTGGAAAAAAGTACTTTTAATTTCATATAGAACCACAAAAGAGCCTGCATAGACAAGATAATCCTAAGCAAAAAGAATAAAGCTGGATACATCACTCTACCTGACTTCAAACTATACTACAAGGCTACAGTAACCAAAACAGCTTGGTACTGGTACCAAAACAGATATATAGACCAATGGAACAGAACAGAGGCCTCAGAAATAATGCCCCATGTCTACAACCATAGGATCTATGACAAACCTGACGAAAACAAGCAATGGGGAAAGGATTCCCTATTTAACAAACGGTGTTGGGAAAACTGTTTAGCCATATGCAGAAAGCTGAAACTGGATCCCTTCCTTACACATATGCAGAAAGCTGAAACTGGATCCCTTTCTTACACCTTATACAAAAATTAACCCAAGATGGATTAAAGACTTAAACATAAGACCTAAAACCATAAAAATCCTAGAAGAAAACCTAGGCAATACCATTCAGGTAATAGGCATGGTCAAAGACTTCATGACTAAAACACCAAAAGCAATTGCAACAAAAGCCAAAATTGACAAATGGGACCTAATTAAACTAAAGAGCTTCTGCACAGCAAAAGAAACTATCAGCAGAGTGAACAGGCAACTTACAGAATGGGAGAAAATTTTTGCAATCTATCCATCTGACAAAGGGCTAATATCCAGAATCTACAAAGAACTTAAACACATTGACAAGAAAAAAACAAACAACCCCATCAAAAAGTGGGTGAAGGATCTGAACAGACACTTCACAAAAGAAGACACTTATGCAGCCAACAAACATATGAAAAAAAGCTCATCATCACTGGTCATTAGAGAAATGCAAATCCAAACCACAATGAGATGTCATCTCATGCCAGTTAGAATGGCAATCATTAAAAAGTCAGGAAACAACAGATGCTAGAGAGGATGTGGAGAAATAAGAATGTTTTTACATTGTTGGTGGGAGTGTAAATTAGTTTAACCATTGTGGAAGAGAGTGTGGCAATTCCTCAAGGATCCAGAACTAGAAATACCATTTGACCCAGCAATCCCATTACTGGGTATACACCCAAAAGATTATAAATCATTCTACTATAAAGACACATGGACATGTGTGTTTATTGCAGCACTGTTCACAATAGCAAAGACTTGGAACCAACCCAAATGCCCATTAATGATAGACTAGATAAAGAAAATGTAGCACATATACATCGTGGAATACTATGCAGCCATAAAAAGGGATGAGTTCATGTCCTTTACAGGGACATGGATGATGCTGGAAACCATCATTCTCAGGAAACTAACACAAGACCAGAAAACCAAACACCGCATGTTCTCACTCATAAGTGGGAGTTGAACAATTCGAACACATGGACACAGGGAGGGGAACATAACACACTGGGGCCTGTTGGGGGACTGGGGGCAGGGATAGCACTAGGAGAAATACCTAATATAGATGATGGGTTGATGGGTGCAGCAAACCATCCTGGCACGTGTATACCTATGTAACAAACCTGTACATTCTGCACATGTACCCCAGAACTTAAAGTATAATTTTAAAAAACCCTTGTTCTTGTAAAATTCCTTTGTGCCATTATTGTAATAAAATTATATCTTTGTATATTGTATGCCCATCAACACAGATTTATAGGTTTTGCTTTATGCAGTTGTCCCTTAAATCACATAGGAGAAAAAAAGTATTGCAAAAAATATATATCAATACTGTGTTGGTTTTTGTTTATCTGAGAATGTCTTAAATTCTTCTTCATTTTTTAAAGATAGTTTTGTCTGATATAAAATTCTTAATTGACACCTTTTCTCTCTCAGCACTTTAGATACATTATCTCACTGTTTTCTGGCCTTCATGATTTCTGATAAAAAAAATTGACCGTTAATCTTACTGAAATTCCTTGTATGTGATAAGTCACTACTCTCTTGCTGCTTTCAAGATTCTTCCTTTTCTTTATCTTTAGAGTTGTTTGCTTATGATGTGTGTGGTTGTGAATCCCTTTGAGTCCTTGAATGTACACATCAATATTTTTCATCATGTTTTAGAAGTTTTCAGCCATTATTTCTGTCCACTTTTCTCTCTCCTTTCCTTCTGGGACGCCTATTATGCATATGTTCACACGTTACAGGTCTCTGAGGCTTTGTTCATCTTTTTTCATTCTTTTATCCTTCTGTGCCTCATACTGGATCATGTATGTTGACCTATCTTCAAATTTGTTGGTTATTTTGCCTGCTCAAATCTGTGGTAGAATCCCTCTCATGAATTTTTTAAGTTATTGTACTTTTAAACTCAAGAATTTCTATTTGGTTCTTGTTATAATTTCTTGTTTTAAATTGATATTCTCTATTTGGTAAGACATCATTTTACTTTCCTTTAGTTCTTTAGTCATTACTTCCTTTGGTTCTTTGAACATATTTAAAAGTTTCTGATTGTCTTGTCAACTCCTTCATTTAACAGTTGGAATCTCAGAAACCCATAAAAGTTGGACAACTCTCCCATAGCCACACTGATAGTCAGTGGAAACTCAGTAAAACCCAGGGACTCAAAATTTCTGCATTATCTGTGAGACCCATCAAACGTCCCTTCTTCTTCAACTGCATTTCTCAGTAAATAATGTAATGCAGCAACTCTGGAAATCAGATCCTCCTTTCTCCCCAGAGTTTATTGTTTTTATTGTTATTTGTAGTAATAGTTGTTTGCTTAGTGACTTTTCTGAACTAATTCTGCCTGTGTTCTTTGGCATGTCAAAGCTACTGAAGTCTACTCGCTTAGCTTTACGGTTGGCTAATGAATCAACAGAGATTTCCTTAACCAAAGGTGAAAGCTTAGGGTCTTCTCAGGATTTTACAAATTGTGTGCACAGCCCTGGGCATGCTTATAACCCTGTGCCTAACTTGTATATGAAATCACTGAAATGACATAATTTGTATGTCACAGCTTGTACATTCATATGTATTTCATTCTTAACAGAACAGTGGAAACACTGTACAAAACTAAGTTGACTCTTTTGACTTCACCTTTTTCATACATGAATATTCTACCAACCCTCTCTACCTTTGGCTTACTGATAAGGAACAACGGATAAGAAAAGGAATTTGGGTTTCTTCCTTATTTCCTTTCCCCTATGTAATCATAGTTGAAAAAGCTTAAGAGTTTACTTTATGCAGGGAAAAGTAACATGAGTTAGAAAGGAGATGATAGGGTTCCTAGATCATTTGTGTTTCTTACACACTGTTGCCTTCTCTCAGTTTGTAGTAGGTTCTGGTTTTAATGGAAAGCACAGCCTCTCAGGGCTGTCAGCATCCCCACTTCTTCAGCTACAGATGTAACAGCCTTCCTTTGCACTCATTTTGAGTCTCACTAAATTTCCATGCATCATGAGTCTACCAGAATTCCTTGCTCCTGACATATCATGAATGCTACATGCAAATGGGGCAAGGACCAGGGAGCATGCATATTGTACATATCTCTTCTGCTCATGCACGGGTTCCATTGTCCCATTGGACTTCACTTATAAAATACAAGTTCAAAGATAAAACAATTAAGCATTTCAAGATGGCCATAAAGGGCATTACACCAAGTATGGGGTCTTATGTGACTGCATAAGCCTCACATCCATGAAGCTGGCCCAGTGAGGCAGATGCTGTTAAATGCCTTCCTACCCAGTTTCCCTTTCTTATTGATGGAAAAGACAAACTTACTATTTGCTTATGGTATCACTGTGCTCATTTAAGAACCTACCTGTCCTATCCCTTTTATTCCATTTTTTAATTGACAAATACAAATTGCATATATTTATCATATATACCATGTCATTTTGAAATATGTATACATTGTGGCATGGCTAAATGCAGCTAATTACCAAATGCATTACCTCACATATTTATTAACTTTTTTTGTGATGAGAACACTCAAAATCTACTCTCTTATCAATTTTTGAGAGTATAATGTATTGTTCTTAACTCAGGTCACCATGCTGTATAATAGAGCTATTGAACTTATTCCTCCTATCTAACTGGAATTTTGTATCCTTTGACCAACATCTCCCTAACCATCCGTCCATCTTCCCTCCCATCCATCCATCTGTCCTCCCATCCGAACATCTCCCCTCCCATCTGTCTGTCTCCCCTCCCATCCGTCTGTCTCCCCTCCCATCCGTCTGTCTCCCCTCCCATCAGTCTGTCTCCCCTCCCATCCATCCATCTCTCCTCCCATCTTCCATCTCTCATCCATCCATCTCTTCTCCCATCCTTTCTTGAAGCTACAGAGAGGACATGACACAATTCTGACCAATGAAATGGAAGCAGAAGTCTCAGCCTGCTGGGACTTCTGGAAAAGTTCTGCATCTAAAACCTAGCTCTTCCTCCTGTTTATTTATCCCTGAAAGGGGAATGCACCACTGAAGAAGGGGCAGCAAAGTATGCATGAGGTGGTGAGCATGAAAGCAAGAACTTGGGCTAAGGAGCAGGATTAGAAAACTGAAGGGAATGTGGATCTCCAAAGCTTTGCAATAGCCCTTAACTGCAATCCTCTGTATCTTGTTATGTGAGGAGAGTAAATCCCTGTTTGATTAAATTACAGTTTTTCAGGTGTCTGCTACTAGCTGTAGAACATAATCATAACTTACATCCATTAATTTTGAATACCACCTTTATCATGCACAAAATTCCCATAGATACATATTTTCTTTCTGTATTCTTAAACTGTCTCACTGATTTTTAAAATACATTTCTGTGCCGAAATCACATCAGTTGATTGGCTATAGATTTATAGTATGTGTTGTAATCTGTTAGAGCAATGCCTCTTCTCTTTGTTCTTTTATTAAAAGTCTTATTTTTATCTGTATTCACTTCCATGTGAATTTTAGAACATCCTTGGTACATTGAATGAAAATTAGTCAAATTTCGATGACGATTATGTTGAATTAAATGCTTAATTTGTGAAGAATTGAAATCTTTTACATTTTCATGATTTCCATCTAGGAACATAACATAACTTTCCTTTTATTCAGACCTTTCTTCTGTCCTTCAGTAGATTTTGTTTCACTTGCATGGATTCTGCACTTTCCTGTTAAATGTATTGCTAGGTATTATATCTTTGGTTACTATTATAAGTGGGATTTTTCCCACTGTATTGTCAAATTTGTTTTTTCAATTTTATAGTAAGGTCGTTATTTTTTATTAACCTTAATTTCATACTCAGCCAGCTGGCTGGAGCTCCATTTCCCCTAGATGCTTTCTAGGATCCCATTTCAGCCCTAAAAATTCTAGAACTTAGGTGTTATAGAACTTTGTCATTGGAAGAGGTTATATCTGGTTCAGGCCAAAGGAAAAGCTTCATGGAAAGGGTAAGATTCATTGTCATTATCATTTAAGGCTGTCTAACTCTTCTGGTGGTAATGTCTCCAATTCTGTTTATTTATAATTTTTAGTGCCAGGCTTTTTAGGGTTCCTTCAGACTCCTCTGCATTTCTTCATTGTTTAATGCTACCTCCACAATTGTTCCCAAATCTGATATGACATGACAGGCTGAGTAAGGACTGCTGTAAAATAAATCCCCAAACATCTCCTCTAGTGCTCACAGTTTTCTTAGTGGTGATCAATATCTCCTTTTGTCCCCCAAACCAAAGCTCCAAAACCTAAATTTACATTCCCTTCCCAGTGAATATATTGAAAGGCCACAGCTAAGTTTTTTTATCGAGCATTTTAGAGTTTTGGCACAGTAAATTAAAACTGAACTTAGAACAATTCTGAAAGAATGACTGTTAGCCAGGAAGTCATATTATCTTCTCTCACTCCACAACCCCCACTCATATTCCCAAGTCCCTAAGAAATAAGTCACCTATTGATAGTGTTAAAAAATTAGCAATCAACCCCCAATCATGAGTCATGGGAGTATACATGGTTTAATGAACCAGTCTTCAGACATGGACTTACCATAACAGCCAGGAAGATGTCATCCATGCATTTCCACATCTGGAACATTTTAGGTCCTTCCTAAATGAGCAGGGGAGGAAAGAAGTAGGGAGAGATAAGAAGCTTTATTTTCCAAATAGATAAGTTCTTGAAATTTTTCCTGAAAAGCCTTTGAAGGTCCCTCTGAGGGGTATTGATTTTAGAATCGAGAGACTTGTATTAAAACCTGGCTTTAAGACTTACTATGCTACTTCCATAATTCATTCTCAACCTCCTCAAGTCTAGTTTTCTGCATACAAGAATGTTTAGAGGATAAAATGAAATGAAGTTGACAAAAGAATCATGTAAACTGTAAAGTGCTTTGCAGATGTAAGTTGTTAGTAATTTTGGCATGTTGAACACTTCCCCTTGCCTGTTACATAACATGTCTGGGGATATATAATTCAAAGGGGAAAAGAACCCTGAAGTGGCCTCAATGCATGAGAAAATCATACTTAAGCATGATGGAAACCTTTACAAAATATATAATTAAAGTAAAACTCATGACTTCATGATAAAATTTTGATGAAAATAATCAAAAACAAGTCATAAAATATAAATGCAAAGTAGTTAACTTTGTTCTGATGTTTGAACTAGTGGCTTAGAAATCTAAATAAAATGATGACAGGGTGATTTAATCAAATGCACAGAGTTGCCTAGTTTTTATAAAGCCTCCTACCTGACAGACCTCCCTAGGGCTAGAGAGCATGCACTTCTCTGGTTGGAGAGACTCAGTTTCTTCATTGTGTCAGGGAGGTTCTGGTTTTCAGATTGTCAGCAACAGCAGCATCGGCATCATCCTCATTGCATTAATTCCCTGTTGCTGCTGTAACCGAGTAGCAAAAAAAAAAAAATGACTAGGTTAAAATGACATGGATTTACTGCTTTGCAGTTCTGGAGGTCAGAAGTCCAAAATGGGTCAGCAGGGATATAGTCCTGGAGGCTCTAGGGTAGAATATTTTTCTTGCTTTTTAGGCTCCTAGAGGCTGCCTGCATTCCTTGGCTCACAGCCCCTTCCTTCCATTACTCTAAGCTCTGCTTCCACAGTTACATCTCACTCTCTGACCCTCCTGCTTCCCTATTATAAGGACCCTTGTGAATACACATTGGGCCTACTGGATAATTTAGATTATCCAGTAGATAATTGAGATCCTCATCTCAAGATCTTTAATCACAGCTGCAAAGTCCCTGTTACCATGTAAGGTACCATACTCATAGGTTCCTATGAATGTGAACATCTTTGGGGGTAGAGGCATGAGCCAGCCCATAATAATCCTCAACAACAATGAACACTTATTGAGCATTTTTAAAATGTGACAAGCATCATTCTAAGTACCTCATACACATTAAATCACAAAAATCTTATGCAGAAGATATCATTCTCTTCACTTTAGGGTCATGACATTGAGGCATGGAGAGGTTAAGTAATTTGTCTAGTCACACAGCTAGGACATTAACCCACGTGAGCTGACTCTGGATCCCAAACTACTCACCAGTATCCCCTTAAGAAGTGAATAGATTGGCCCATTAGACTTAAAGGACACAGAAGCCCCTAAACAGTTTTTGAAGAGGCAGTAATTTTACAGTAACAACACTAACAATGGCAGTATTTTATATTTTTGTAGTGGTTCACAATATCCAAAACACATTCTCAAGATGTTCCACAAAAATTTCTCATAATTCTCAAAACAACATTTTCCTCCATTAAATCCCTTTCTGATTTATCTAAATAACAAGGGCTCATATTATGCCTTTTACTGGAATTTGTATACCTGTTTGTCCTGTTAAACTGTGATCTCTTTAAAGGTAGAAACAACCTCCCCTTCAAAGAAAACAGTATTAGTGAGTTGAATATATTCAATGAATAGGTGTTGAATTGAATAGTATACCTGAGGCAGAATATGGTTTGGGGTACTGGAAACCTAAAATACACGTGGTAGACTCTTCCTTTAATGACCCCCAATGAACCATGACTTCCAGTATTCATGCCCTGTGTAATCACCTCTCAACTTGACTTGGGATGATATATAACTATTTTAACCAATTGAATATGATGAAAGTGATATTGTGCCAGTTCTAGTTCCAGCCCTTCCTTGACCTAAAAGTTTCTCTTTTCTCCATCTTGATATTCTCACTCTTGGAATACTGCTTTTGAACCCAACCACCATGCTGGGAGGCAGTCCAAGCAGCCATGTGGAGAAACCCATATGGAATAGGACTGAAACCCCCCACCAATAGCACTGAGTTCCAGTAGACCCTCCAGATGACTACAACCATCTGACACCACAAAGAATAGAATTACCCAGACAACCTGCAGAATTGTGTGTTATTTTGAGCTTCTAGGTTTTGGGGTGATTTTTAATGTAACAGTACTTAACCAGAATACCAGGACAACCATATGTGTGCAGCACAGGGACACCATGCTCTCTCTTCCTCCTGCTGAAGCATTCTTGGTGGGACCATAGATTCTAGGTTGAGAAGGCAGAAACTCTGCCACCTCTAAGCCATTGAATGGTTCCTGCAGTTTGGAAGAGAGTCTTCTTGCAGTTCCAGAGACTGAGGAGTGTAGGCTGAATGTGGCTTTCAGAGTCTGGGGACATGAATAGTCAGAAGGAGGATTGCTGGGACCTGTGCTGATTTGAATTCCTTAGAATCTGAGTCTGGCTGTCCTCTCTTTTTATCCTCTGAAGACTTAGTAACTAACACACACTTTCCTTTCTCCTTTTCCAGTGGTTTCACCTTCTCCTGACAAGGGGGTCTTGTTTCTTATTGTTGAGAATGGCAGTCTTGTGTGTGCAGTCTTTTGATCCCTAGTTGGCCACATAAGAATGAGCTCTGGGCTGGGAACACTTCTTTACCAAGAGCTAAGGAGCCCACCCACCTATGCTGGGCTTGCCACCTGGTGTGGAAGTTATTTTCCCTGTTTGGACCCATTGTGTACTCCTTTGTTCTGCTTAAGTAAATGCGTCCATCAATGGCTCTCAGATGTGCCCCCAGTTTTCTGCATGTCAGAGCTCACAGGGGAAAGCTGGAGTCTTTCTACTGCAGCACACAATAGGGTACGTGCAGCCAACACTGCCCTCACGGGCTGCGAGTAGACCCACCCGCCATCGGGGACGGAGGTGTTTTAAGGGGCAGGATGTTTCCGTGAGCACTCTCTCGTCTCTTGCTCTAAGTAAATGCTGAGGCTGCTGTGCGCTTTGTTTGTCATCAGTGACCTTGAGCCATGTGCTGGTCTGTTCCCAGAGTGGCACTTATTTGCCTTTTAACCTTGGTGGCACCCATATCCTATCTTGTGGCACAACCCAGGGAACGGCAAAATATTTGCTTTGCAGCCTTTCAACTTCCCTCTTGACTTCCTGTCTTTGACTGTACTTTTTCCAGTTCTAGTTCTCCACTGTGGGGAAAAACAAGAAACATAGAATAAAACAGAATCCGTCCCTGAAGCCAAGTGATCCCAGTTGCCTAGAGAGACATTACTGGAAGGCGCACCTGTCTGACCTTGCAGGTTCCTGCAGAAGATGCTGTGCTGTTGATTCACAATAGGCTCGTGTGCTATTAACATGAAGACAAAACCACATGGCGCAAAAAGATGTGGCTCAGGAGCCGGTTCTGAATGACGAAGGCGCCCTTCCCACTCCACATTCTTCCTTCCTCGCCCTCCACCCACTCCCCATTTTAAGACCCTTTAGGAAAAGACAAAGGCATTGACTCCATGGGCATTCAGTCCATCATGAGCTTCTCGTGCTTGTGTGTTGTTTGGGGAGGGGGTGAGATGAGTGAGGGATGGAATGGAGCCTGTGGTTTCTGTGAGGGACAAGTGGGAGGGGCAGCAGTGGTGACAAGGGTGGGGGCATGCATGCAGCTGAGGGTTCACCTCCCTCCTCCCACTCCCTTTATCTACCATCTGCCAGCCTAAACGCCGTTCTACCCTCACACTGGGGTAATGGGAAGGACGAGAATGGGGGTGGGTGTAAACAATTGTCTAAATTAACAGCCTACACTACCGTGGGAAGGGAAAAAGGAGGCTGGAAGATAGTTGCCATCATTGTTTCTGGGAGAGATTTCAATCCCTCATTCTCTAGAACAAGGCACAGTTGTTTATGTAAAGCATGTATTGACAGCTCGAAAAAAAGGTCGGTCAGATTATTTATTTTGTTAACAAATATTAGTTCTATTGTCTGCCAAGTCCTGCTCTAAGCACTTTACAAATACTAATACACTGAATTCTTATAACAACTCCATGAGCTGAATACTTAGAGGAAAATATTATTTTTTAGAGACAGTCTCACTTTGTCACCTAGGCTGGAGTTCAGTGGCATGATCTTGGCTCACTGCAGCTTCAAACTGTGGGGCTCAAGAGAGCCTCCCACCTCAGCCTCCTGAGTAGCTAGGATGACAGGTGCATGCCACCATGCCCAGCTATTCTTTAAAAAAATTTTTGTAGAGACAGGGTCTCACTATATTGCCCAGGCTGGTCTTGAACTCCTGGCCTCAAGCAGTCCTCCTGCCTTAGCCTCACAAAGTAGTGGTGTTACAGGTGTAAGACACTGCACCTGGCCTAGATACTCAGAAAATACTATTTTTATCTCCATTTTGTGGATGAGGAAAGTGAGGTCTATAAGGGTTAAAGGCCTTGTACAAGGTAAGAGTTGCCAGATTTTGCAAATAAAAATAAAGCTCAGTTAAATTTGAATTTCAGAATGCGAACTGATAATCTTTTAGTAAAAATATGTCACATATATTGTCTGCTCACAAATTCTTGCTAACAAATCAAATATTGCATGCAACATCTAAGATACACTTATATTTAAAAATTATTTATGGTTTATTTGAAATTCAAACAGAACTGGGCATCCTGTATTCTATCTGGCAACCGGAGCTCCAAGAACAGACTTCCAATAAGTGGTGGATCAGGGCTTGAACCTTGAAAGTGTGGCTTCTAGTCCAGGCTTCTAAGAACCTTGCAATGCTGCCTCTCTATTGAACATTGGAATGCTAATTGGTTAAACAAAACATGAATCAAGTTGTGTTTTCTCTCTTGCAGGCCATTTGTGAAAGATTAAACAGTATTTTCTCTTTCTGTCTCTTGGAAGGTGGCCAGGGATTTGTGTCCAGTGGCCTAAGCTTCCCTGGATCCAGGAGAGAATTGAGAAGCTGTTATTTTTTTAAATTCTGAACCCTTGAAGCCATTGGACTGGTTTGTCTAGAGGTGTTTCTCAGGCTTAAAGGACTTCAAAGACTGATCTGTTCTAGGCTCTGGGAGGGCATAGGTCTGCACCATGGTGGAAGGAACTCAAATAAGGATAGGTGCACATATACCTGGAGAGAATGGACACCAGGTCACACTTGGGAACCTCAGCCTAGAGGCCCATGGTTGAAGGCTGGCACAAAGTGGGCAGAGCCACGTCCTCCCAGTGGAACAGGAGGGCTGTGAAGCAAAGAGCCCAGAAGGGGCTGCTGTGATCCCAGCCTAATTTTTCTGAACTACTTAAACCATAGAATTGATGACTTCAAAAAGAAAAAAGAAGTGACTTTCCCTTCCACGCTGTGTAGAAATCCCACCCCAGTTTTGTTAAAATGAATATATTAGTAAGCAGTTACTGTCTGCCTGGTTCTTGCATATTATACTTTCTCATTTGATCATAACAGCCCTGATGCCATATAGACCAAGACATAGAGCTGGAAAATGTTTGCTCTTGAAAACACTGATTATTTCCGTCGAAAACATGGGGTCTTAACTACCTCCATTGTACTACCTCTCTCCATTCAAAACCCAATTTTAATTTCTTGAGCCAAATTTAGATGTTTGATCTCCTGATGCTGGAGGGCAGCAGGGGAGTGGGGAGAGGGGGTGTAGTTCAAGAACCACATGCAGAAAACATTCTTTTTAGACTCTGTAGAGGAAAATTATACTCAAACATCAAGTACCGTTGGATTAAAAAGATTGTATTTCAAATAGTTGTCATTTTTTTTCAGAATTACACACCTTCTTTTTAATATCCTGAATTTAAAAGCTTAAATATAGATACCCAGTTTGTAAAGCATTGCAGAGAACAGGCTTCTCTCTACAACACAAACTCTGGTGTGATGTAGCCCTGGTCTTAGTTATGCCCCTCATCTACATTGCTCTGCTGCAGCCATGGTTGAGTCACCATTTCTTGACAGTCAGAGCTCCTGTGGACCCCACGAAGGTCCCTGTGGGGACCAGAAATACAGTACACTCAAAGGAGTCAAAGATGTTTACAACATGAATCAGCAATCCATAGCAATTTTTCCCCCTAAAAGTCACATCTTTCATATAAGCAATACTAATTATGCTGTTTAGTTTTGTTTTTCCAAGGCGAATGACAAGAAAAATGTATAACCAAGGAACTGGTTGACAGAAGTGAAGAAATATGAGACAACTAAAACAGAGAACAAAAAATAATGAGAAAAATTATTAAAAGAACTGAATTGTGTGGGTTGCTCTACTGGTAATGAGCCTGAACTAAATGAAGAAGTTGCATGTATTTATGGAACCTGCAGGAGAGATAAGGAAGTAGCTTTCTCCTAATCTCTAACTGGATTTTGTTTTCCAACTGGGTGGATAATGAAAGCAGCATGAGAAAGCTGTCCTGGGGTCACCCCTGCAGTAGTCCTACAAGGGGAGCTGGCCTCATAGATAATTTTTGCTTTTCCTCGCCTCTGCCTTTGGATCCCACTCTGCCTGGACTTACTTGTAATTTCACAGTAATTCATACCCAGTTACATCTTTCCACACCTATATATTAATTGCCTCTCCACACTTACCCAAAGGCCCACTTAACAACAGTGTTTTATTTATGGGCTCCATCTACCTCCCACTCTGAATTAGTTTATTGTGGCGGTGTAACAAATCACCACAAACTGGGTGGCTTTAAAGCAATATAAATTTATTTTCTGGAGGCCAGAAATCTGAAGTTGTGTGTTTGTAGGACCTCACTCCCTCTGAAGGTTCTAAAGGAGAAGGTTTTTGTCTTTTCCAGCTTCTGGTGGGTCTAGGCATTCCTTGGTTTGTGGCTGTAGACCTCCAATCTCTGCCTTGTCTTCACATGGCTTTCTTCTCCCCACCTGCCTTTGTCTTATAAGGATACTTGTCATAGCATTCAGGGCCCACCCAGATAACCCAAGATTATGTTATCTTGAGACCCTAACATATCTGCAAAGACCCCTTTTCAAAATAAGCTTATATTCACAGGTTCTGGTTTAATGTATCTTTGGGGGCAAATCATCATTGAACTAGCTATACTCCCTTTCCTAAACACAAGGTACTCTTATTCCCTAAGTAAGAGAGTAATCAAAGAAGAATCAATTTGTAATTCACCAAGACATTTTTTAACATCCCCTTTCCTCACTGCTCCAATTTTCTTATAAGCCAAAGCTACTTAAGATCATCATTGTCTTGTAAACTTTCAAAACTCCCTTGAAACTTACAGTCTGCTTTGTCTGAGTTCCATATATTCAGCTCTCATTCTAGTAAGTCTACCTTCCACAGTCCTTCCACCATTGCTGAATTATGTAGACCCATTTAGCTTTCCAAACCAGTGGTTATACATCCTGGTTTATAGGGACAGTTCGGGCTTAAGCCTGTTTGTCCCAATGTCCTTTCTTGTTGGCACCCCCTCTTTAATTCTCAAAATCTACTTGAAATGATACCCCTAACTAGAACACTTTCTCTTTTGTTGAGAAGGTTTGAGGGAAAATTTACAGAAAGAATTCTGTTGAGTGAGTGATGAGTGATGAGGAGGGGGAATTTCTTTGCCAGAAGTTGCAAAGTTGGAGGCTAAAATAGGAATGGGAAAGATCTGGAGACAATTGGCATACAGAACATATTATAGTGTAATTTAAGACAAGACTTCTGTTCTTCTCACTGGGGAGAGAATGAGCATCTACTAGTAGCTTGGGACCTCAGTTTTCTTATTTAAAATAGTCTAGGAGCAATTAGCTTCTGAAGTTTGAGTCTCAGATGTAATTGTATTATTTGGTTTGGTGAAATATGGTCTCTACAATTTTGCAAGCAAAACACTCCCCAGTGGTGCCCCTGAGCTCTGCTTGGGGGCCCAAGGACAAGCCCATCTGGGTCACTGCCACCACTACTGGTCCCCACATGGGCTGCAAGGGAGACTGAGGACCTGCCCAGTCAGTGCTTTTGCATTCTCCTGCCCCAGGGACCCAAAACTGGCCTGCCTAGAGTTCCCATCCCCAGAAAAGCTTTGTCATAGCCTTCACAAAAACCATAACCTAAACTACTGAGGAAATCACAGGACACTGCTGATATTGATTATAGCTGAAGAAATTATACGGAGACCACACTAGTGCACCCACCCAGAACCAAAGCCAAAGCACCCTACTCAACTGGCACTATAGATAGATCTATAAGAAAAAGTCATTCCCTACAAAAGCTATTGAATAAAATTGGAAGAAGTGTTTGGTACACCAGATGCACAGATATCAATGTAGGAACAGAGAAAGCATGAAAAAGCAAGGAAACATGGCAACTTTAAATGAACATATTGATTCTCCAGTAACAAACCCCAAGAAAAGAAAAATCTATACAATGCCTCAAAAGGAATTCAAAATAATGATCTTAAGGAAACTCAGTGAAATACAAAGAATACAGACAATACAAAGAAATCAGGAAAACACTTCATTATCTGAATGAGAAACTCAATTCATTCAAATTCATCTATCAAAGAGATAGATGTCATAAAAAAGAACCAAACAGAAATCTTGAAAAGCCCAAGAATAGACAGTGTTACTGCTGAATTCTACCAAATTTTCAAAGAAGAACTAAACCAATTCTTCTCAAACTATTACAAGAAATTGAAAAGAAGGGACTTCTTTCTGCTCATTCTACAAGGCCAGCATTACCCCGATAGTAAAGCCAGATAGGAACACAACAAAAAAATACAAAACTATAGGCCAATATCCCCAATGAACATAGGTACAAAAATTCTCAACAACATACTAGCAAATTGAATGCAGCACACCAAAAAAATAACACATCATGATCAAGTGGGATTTATTGCAGGAATGCAAGGATAGTTTAACACACGCAAGCCAATAAATGTGATGTATAACATCAATGGAAAAATTACAAAAACTATATGATCATTTTAATAGACACAGAAAAAACATTTGATAACATTCAACATTGCTTCATGATAAAAACACTCAACAAGGCCGGGCACGGTGTCTCACACCTGTGATCCCAGCACTTTGGGAGGCTGAGGTGGGCGGATCACGAAGTCAGGAGATCGAGACCATCCTGGCTAACATGGTGAAACCCCGTATCTACTAAAAATGCAAACAAGTAGCCGGGCATGGTGGTGGGCATCTGTAGTCCCAGCTACTGGGTAGGCTGAGGCAGGAGAATGGCATGAACCTGGGAGGTGGAGCTTGCAGGGAGCTGAGATTGCGCCACTGCACTCCAGCCTGGGCAACAGAGCAAGACTCTGTCTCAAACAAAATGCTCAACAAATTAGGTATAGAAGGAACATAGGTTGACACAATAAAGGCCATATAAGAGAAACCCTCAGCTCACAGCAAACTGAATGGAGAAAAGCTGAAAGTATTTCCTCTTAAGAACTGGAACAAGACAAGGATGTCCACTTTTATCACTCTTCTTCAACATAGTATTGGAAGTCCTAGCCAGAGCAGTTAAACAAGAGAAAGAAAAAAGGGCATCCAAATTGGAAAAGAGGGAGTCAAATTGTCCCCGTTTGAAGATGACATCATCTTATATCTAGAAAAACCTGAAGACTCCACAAAAAAACTCTTAAAACTAATAAATGAATGCATAGCCAGGCACAATGGCTCATGCCTATAATCCCAGCATTTTGGGAGGCCAAGGTGGAATAATTGCTTGGGCCCAGGAGTTCAAGATCAGCCTGGCAATGCAGTGAGACCCCCATCTCTACTAATTTTTTTTTCTTAATTAGCTGGGCATGATGGAATGCACCTGTAGTCCCAGCTACCTGGGAAGCTGAGGTGGGAGGATCACTTGAGCCCAAGAGTTACAGACTGCAGGTGAGCTATGATCATACAACTGCACTCCCACCTAGGTGACAGAATGAAACCGTGTCTCTGAAAACAAAACAAAACAAACAAAAAGCCACTAATAAAAAAAATTTAACAAAATTTCAGGATACAGAAATCAATATGAAAAATCAGTAGCATTTCTATACACCAATAACAAACTAGCTGAAAAAAATCAAGAAAGTAACCCTATTTGAAATAACTACAAAAATAAAGAAAATACTTAAGAATAAATAAAATGCTCAGGAATAAATAAAATAAAATCAAGGAGGTGGAAAGATCTCTACAATGACAACCATGAAAGAAAGAAAGAGAGAGAGAAAGAGCAAAAGAGAGAGAAAGAAAAAGAAAGAAGAAAGAGAGAAAGAGATAAGTCAATCAATTAATCAATCAATCATACTGAATGGGCAAAACTGGAAGCATTCCCTTTGAAAACCGGCACAAGACAAAGATGCCTCTCTCACCACTCCCATTCAACATAGTATTGGAAGTTCTGGCCAGGGCAATCAGGCAAGAGAAAGAAATAAAGGGTATTCAAATAGGAAAAGAGGAAGTCAAACTGTTTGCAGGTGACATGATTGTATATTTAGAAAACCCTGTTGGCTGGGTGCAATGGCTCACACCTATAATCCCAGCATTTTGGGAGGCCAAGGCGGGTGGATCACCTGAGGTCAAGAGTTCAAGACCAGCATGGCCAACATGGTGAAATCGCGTCTGTACTAAAAAATACAAAAATTAGCCAGGCATGGTGGCAGGTGCCTGTAATCCCAGCTACTCAGGAGGCTGAGGCAGGAGAATTGCTTGAACCTAGGAGGCGGAGGTTGCAGTGAGCTGAGATCATGCTATTGCACTCCAGCCTGGGTGACAAGAGCAAAACACTGTCTCAAAAAAGAAAAAAGAAAACTCCATCGTTTCAGTCCCAAAACTCCTTAAGTTGGTAAGCAAAATAGGCATTATTATACCCAGTTTGAAAATGGATGAAAATGCCTCAGGTTAAGTAACTTGCCTGAGATCACACAGCAAGTAAGAGCTGGAGCTAGGACTACAGTGAGTTTTAATTCACCCCAAAGCCTATGTTCTTTTCATGACAACGTTCATATGGAGGGTGACAAAAGAGGGGGAATGCTGGAAAATTATTGAATTAATTTTATTTATTGTTTTTGTGCAATGTAGTCTGAACACTGGCTATAACTTATCCATATTATATACATAGCTTAAGATTAAACTTATGTAAAGAAAGCAAAAGGCCAAAATTCTTCAGAAAATTTGATGGCAATTTAGGAGACTATCTTTAGCTTCCTCTACCCAAGGAAACGAGATTTTGACTCTCCGGGGACGTGCTCATAGACACGTCAAAGACAGGCTTTATCTTCACCTGTCTGCCTAAACACACAAAACATAGGGAGCTGGTTAAAGGTTCCAGCATGTTGTTCTTTGGTTCAAGGGAACCCACTCGACTTTTTCTTGTTATGCTTTTTCTTGTCCAATAAATCACCAAAGGGGGTGTAAAACTGTCCACTTCAGAACAGTGTGGCAGCTTCTTAAAATGCTGAATATACACCTCCTTCGTGACCAAGCAGTTTCACTTTTAGGTATTAAAATAAAAATATATATTCATAACAAGAGTTGTACAAGAATATTGATAGCAAAGCTATTTATAATAGCAAATAACTGGACAAATCCCAAATGTTAACAGAAGGATTCATAAACATGATAGAGTCACATAATGATTAGCCATTTTAAAAAAAGAATTATTGATTCAATCAATCAATCACCGGTCCTAGAGAGTCCCCCTCCAAAATAGACCTGCTTCCCTCCTTATCACCACCCTTGTCTAAGCTTCTGTAATCATCCTATGTTCTGAGGAATTCAATGGTCTTCATCCGTATCTCCTTAGCTGCTTTTAACTTTCTCAGATTCATTCCCCACAGAGCAGCCAGAATGATCTAAAAACACCACAAACCTGATCTTGGCACCCACTTACTACAGCTCTTCAGTGGCTGCGTCTTCCTTTTGGATGAAGTCTAAAATCTCTGCAGGCCACGAAGCCCTCCAGAATCCATTCCATCCCCTTGCTCACTGTGCCGCTTCTCCCCCAGCCTCCACTGTGTCAGATTCCTTTAGGCATCAGACAGCCTTGCTGAGGCTGTTCTGCCTTCAGCACAGCACTCCCAACCTCTCCTGGTCATTTCACCCTAGGCCTCCTCCAGAAAAAGCGAAATAGAGGGAAGTTAGCTCAGCCCATCTTAGGTTCGGCCTCTGTTATGTCTCCTTATGGGATTCTCTGCTTTTCCTTCATGGCACCAATCACAACGATAGTGATACAGGGTTTCAGATAATTATTTGCTTATTTTTTGTATTATTTTCCCCTATTGCTGCTGTAAAAAATTACCACAAACTTACTGGCTTAAAACAACATAAATGTATTATCTTACAGGTCTGAAAGTCAAAAATCTAAAATGAGTTTCAGTGGGTCAAAAGCAAGGGCTGTCTCAGGGCTATGCTCCCTCTGGAGGCCTTAGCAAGGGATCCATCCACCCTCTTGCCCTGTCCAACTGCTACACATCACCTGTATTCCTTGGCTCATGGCCTCTTCCTCTATATTCAAAGCTAGCAGCAAAACACCTCTCCTCCCTGCCATCTGCTTTGCTATTTTATCTTCTCTCTCTGACTCTGATCCTCTTGCCTTCCTCTTATAAGGACCCTGATGCTTACATTGGGCCCACCTGATAATTTAGGATCATCTCCCCATCTCAAGATCCTTAATGAAATCATGTCTGTGAGGTAACCATGTGAGGTAACATATTCACAGGCTCTGGGGATCAGGATGTGGCCATATTTGGGAGACCATACTTTGAGCCTACCACGTTTGACATCTCCCAAGGTTTTAAGCTCCATAATGGATAGAAACCATGTCTGTCATGTCCAGTGCTGAACTCTGACTTCCTGGAAGGAGCTTTGCACAAAATAGGTGCTAAATAATTCATTTGCTGGATAAAATAATAGCATTGAAGCCACTTGTATGCAAATTGATTAGATTTTGTAATATTTATTTTTCAGTTTCCAAGTTATTTTTCAGTTGCTTTTCCACGTTTCAGACTGGATCGCCTTTTGTGGTTCCGTAACCACTAAGGAGGGAGGGCCTGTTTTACCTGAACTTCCTAGTCTCATCAAAATGGCTCTAAAAAAATTACCTGAACCATGATTCAGTTACTTACCAATTCCATTTGAGTTTTTTGTGTTAAATTCTCTTTGCCTAATCATGTAACACCTAGGAACAAACACTCCTGAACTCCTCCTGCTTTAAAAATGTTCTCACCTGCATCACAAACTCCAGAATTCACGTGAATCAGCATGCATCCTCCAGCTCAACAGGCTTCTGAGAGATTTATGCCCCTGCAGTGCTTCTATAAGCCGGCTATGTGTTTTTTTTTTTAACTCCTATTGTAGGTTCAGGGGTACATGTTCAGATTTCTAGTTGAACTGCATGTCATGGGGGTTTTGTTTACAGACTATTTTGTAACCTAGGTAATGAGCATAATACCTGATAGGTAGTTTTTTAATCCTCTCCCTCCTCCAACCTTTCACTCTCAAGTAGTCCCTGGTGTGTTGTTCCCCTCTTTTTGCCCATGTGTTCTCATTTAGCTCCCACTTGTAAGTGAGAACAGGTAGTATTTGGTTTTCTGTTCCTGCATTAGTTTGCTTACGATAATGGCCTCCAGCTCATCTATGTTGCTGCAAGGGACATGATCTCATTTTTTATGACTATATAATATTGCATGGTGTATATGTACCACATTTTCTTTATTCAATCTTCCATTGATGGGCATTTAGGTTGATTCCATGTCTTTGCTATTGTGAATATTGCTGCAATAAACATACACAAGTATGTATCCTTATGGTAGAGCAATTTCTTTTCCTTTGGGTATATGCCCAATCATGGGCTTTCTGGGTGGAATAGTAATTCTGTTTTAAGTTCTTTTAGGAATCACCATACTGCTTTCCACAATGGCTGAACTAACTTACACTCCCACCAACAGTGTGTAAGCACTTTTTTCTCTGCAACCTCACCAGCATCCATTATTTTTTGACTTTTTAATAATAGCCATTCTGACTGGTGTGAGATGGTGTCTCATTGTGGTTTTGATTTGCATTTCTCTAATAATTAGTGATGTTAAGCATGTTTTTTAGATGCTTATTGGCCACATGTGTTTCTTCTTTTGAAAAGTGTTCATGTCCTTTACTCACTTTTTAATAGGCTTGTTTTTATACTTGTAAATTTGTTTCAGTTCCTTATACATGCTAGATATTAGATCTTTGTCAGATGTGTAGTCTGTAAATATTTTCTCTCATTCTTTAGGTTGTCTGTTTACTCTGTTGATAGTTTCTTTTGCTGTGCAGAAGCTCTTTGATACAATTAGTTTCCATTTGTCAATTTTTGTTTTTGCTGCAATTCCTTTTTATGTCTTTGTTATGAAATTTTTGCCAGATCCTGTGTCCAGAATGTTATTTTCTAGGTTATCTTCCAGAATTTTTATAGTATCAGTATTAGGTTTTACATTTAGGTCTTTAATCCATCTTGAGTTAATTTTTGTGTACAGTATAAGAAAGGGGTCTAGTTTCATCTTCTGCTTATGGCTAGCCAGTTATCTTAGGGCCATTTATTAAACAGGGAGTCCTTTCCCCACTGATTGTTTTGACTTTGTTGAAGATCAGATGGCTGTAGGTGTGTGGCATTATTTCTGGGCTCTCTATTCTGTTCCATTGGTCTATGTGTCTGTTTTTGTCCCAGTACCATGCTGTTTTGCTTACTGTATCTTTTAAGAATAGTTTGAAGTCAGGTAATGTAATGACTCCAGCTTTGTTCTTTTTGCTTAAGATTGCCTTGGCAATTAGGGCTTTTTTTGGTTCCATATGAATTTTGAAATAGTTTTTTCTAATTCTTTGAAGAATGTCATTAGTAATTTGATAGGAATTGCATTGAACCTGTGAATTGCTTTGGGCAGTCTGGCCGCTTTAACAACATTCATTCTTCCTATCCATGAGCATGGAATATGTTTCCATTTGCTTGTGTCATCTCTGATTTCTTTGAACAGTGTTTCATAATTCTTGTTGTAGAAATCTTTCACCTCCCTGGTTAGCGGTATTCCTAAGTACTTTATCCTTTTTGTGGCTATTGTGAATGGGATTGTGTTCTTAATTGGCTCTCAGCTTGGATGCTGTTGGTGTATAGGAATGCTACTGAGTTTTGTATGTTAATTTTGTATTCTGAAACTTTGCTGAAGTTGTTTATCAGATCAAGGAATTTTGGGACAGAAACTATGGTGATTTTTAGGTATACAGTCATATCATCTGCAAACAGGCATAGTTTGACTTCCTCTCTTCCTGTTTGAATGCCTTTTTTTTTCTTTCTCTTGCCTGATTGCTGTGGCCAGGATTCCAGTACTATGTTCTGTAGGAATGGCAGAGAGGGCACCCTGTCTTGTTCCGGTTTTCAAGGGAAATGCATCCAGATTTTGCTCATTCAGTATGTTGGCTGTGGGTTTCTCATAGATGGCTCTTATTATTTTGAAGAATGTTCTTCAGTGCCTAGTTTGTTGAGCGTTTTTAACATGAAGGGATGTTGGATTTTATCAAAAGCCTTTTCTACATGTATTGAGATAATCATGTGGTTCTTGTTTTAAGTTTTGTTCATGTGGCGAATCACGTTTATTGATTTGTGCATGTTGAGTCAACCTTGCATCCCAGGGATAAAGCCTACTTGTTTGTAGTAAATTAGGTTTTTGATGTGCCACTGGATTCAGTTTGCTAGTATTTTGTTGAGGACTTTTGCATCTGTGTTCATCAAGGATATTTATTGGCCTGAATTTTTCTTTATTTGTTGTATCTCTGCCAGGTCTTGGTATCAGGATGATGCTGGCCTCATAGAATGACTTATGAAAGAGCCCTCCTCAATTTTTTTGAATACTTTTAGTAGTAATGGTATCAGCTCTTCTTTATACATCTGGTAGAATTCAGCTGTGAATCTCTGTGGTCATGGGCATTTTTTAGTTGGTAGGCTTTTTTAACTGATTCAGTTTTGAAACTCATTTTGAATTTGAAATTCTACCAGATATGTAAAGAAGAGCTGGCACTGTTCAGTCTTGGGAGGTTGTATATGTCCAGGAATTGATCCATTTCTTCCAGGTTTTCTAGTTTGTGTGGATAGATGTGTTCATAGTAGTCTCTGAGGGTGTTTTTTTGGTTGTTGTTAATTTCTGTGGGAACAGTGGTAATGTCCTCTTTGTCATTTCTGATTATATTTATTTGAATCTTCTCTCTTCTTTTCTTTATTAGTCCAGCTAGTGGCCTATCTTATTAATTCTCTCAAAAAAACAAACTCCTTGATTCGTTGATCTTTTGTATTTTTTTTCTAAGTTTCCTTCAGTTCAGCTTTTATTATGGTTATTTCTTATCTTGTGCCAGCTTTGGGGCTGGTTTGCTCTTGTTTCTCTAGTTCCTCTAGTTGTGATGTTAGGTTTTTTATTTGAGACCTTTCTAACTCAAAATATGCCCACATGAAATTTGATGTGGGCATTTAGTGCTATAAAATTCCCTCTTAACACTGCTATGACTGTCCCAGAGATTCCGGTATGTTGTATGTTCTCATTAATTTCACGCTTTCTTTTATTTCTGCCTTAATTTTATTATTTACCCAAAAGCCTTTCAGGAACAGGTTGTTTAATTTCTATGTACTCGTATGATTCTGAGTAATTTTCTTAGTCTTGATTTCTATTTTTATTGTACTTTTTATTGTACTGTGGACTGACAGTGCAGTTGATATGATTTTTGTTTTTTTTTAATTTGCTGAGAATTATTCTATGACCAATTGTGTGGTCGCTTTTAGATTATGTGCCACACTGATGACAACAATACATTTTCTGTTGTTTTGGGGTGGTGTGTTCTGTAGATATCTATTGGGTCCATTTGGTCAAGTGTTGAGTTCAGGTTCTGAATACCTTTGTTAGTTTTCTGCCTTGATGATCTGTCCAATACTGTCAGTGAGGTGTTAATATCTCTCACTATTATTGTGTGGAAATCTAAGTCTCTTCCTGGGTCTCTAAGAACTTGCTTTATGAATTTGGGTGGCTCCTGTGTTGTGCATATATATTTAGGGTAGTTAAGTCTTCTTGTTGAATTGAATCCTTTACCATTATGTGATACCCTTCTTTGTCTTTTTAAAAATCTTCGTTGGCTTAAAGTCTGTTTTATCTGAAATTAGGATACCAACCTCTGCCTTTTTTTTTTCCATTTGCATGGTAGATTTTTCTGCATCACTTTATTTTGAACCTATGGTTGTCATGATATGTGAGATGGGTCTCTTGAAGACAGCATATGGATCTTGCTTCTCTATCCAACTTCCCACTCTGTGTCTTTTAATTGGGTTATTTAGCCCACTTACATTCAAGATTGATATTGTTATGTGCAGATTTGTTCCTGTCATCATGTTTATAGATGGTGATTATGCAGATTTATTTGTGTGGTTGCTTTATAGAGTCAATAATCTGTGTATTTAAGTGTGTTTTTGTAGTGGCTGGTAATGGTCTTTCTATATTTAGCGCTCCTTTCAGGCCCTCTCATAAGGCAAGTCTGGTGGCCATAAATTCCCTAAGCATTTGCTTGTCTTAAAAGGATCTTATTTCTCCTTTGCTTATGAAAGTTAGTTTGGCTGGATATGAAATTCTTGTTTGGAAATTCTTTTCTATAAGAATGCTGAATGTAGGCCCCCAGTCTCTCCTGACTTGTAGGGTTTCTGCTTAAAGTTCTGCTGTTAGTCTGATGGGGTTCCCTTTGCAGGTGACCTGCCCCTCTCTCTAGCTGCCCTTAACACTTTTTCTTTCATTTTGACCTCAGATAATCTAATGATTAGGTGTCTTGGGGATGGTCTTCTTGTGTAGAATCTTGCAGGGGTTCTCTGCATTTCCTGAATTTAAATGTTGGCCTCCCTAGTGAAGTTGCAGATGATTTCATGGACAGTTTCCTGAAATGTGTTTTCTAAGTTGCTTGCTGTCTCTGCATCTCTCTCAGGAACACCAGTGAGTTGTAGATTTGCTCTCCTTACAGAATCCCATATTTCTCATATTTCCCATATTTTGTTCATTTTTTTCTTTTTTTATTGTTTGACTGAATTACTTCAGAGAACAAATCTTTGAGCTCTGAGATTCTTTCCTTAGCTTGTTCTATTATGCTGTTAATATGTTAAGCCAGATCACTATAAACTCTTTTCCCAAACTCAGCATCACTATTTCATGGGCAACTCAGCAATGGAGAACTTGATGACCGTATTCTAAAAGCCAGATGACAACATAAAAATTTAGAATAATTGCAACTCAATTATACTAGTACTGTTTAGCCTCTGCCATATTGGGAGTCTCCCTACTTAGGAGATGGGAACAAGAGATTAAAGAAGGAATGTGTGTGTGTGTGTGTGTGTGTGTGTGTGTGTGTGTCCAAAACAGAGACACATCAACTGTACATTGAATACATTTCAAACAGAAAACTTTCATAAATAAGTGAAATGAGTGAATTATTCCAATCAACGAAAATAAAAGTAGAGAAAATAAAGTCAGACAAACCATTTTCTTGATACAATTTTTTTGGTCAAGAAGAGAAAAATTTATCATCAGTTGTTCTGATTCTACATGGACACAATCTGAATGTGGATACTGCTATGGTTTGAATATGTCTCCCGGAAGTTCATACCTTAGAAACATAATACCCAGTGCAACAGTGTTAAGAGGTGAGACCTTTAAGAGGTGATTAGATCATGAGGGTTCCGCCTTCATGAATAGATTAATGCTGTTATTGTGGGAGTAGGTTCCTTATCTCAAGAGTGTGCTCCTGACGAAAGGATAAGCTTGGCTTCTATTTATTCTGCCTCGAGTGTATCCATGTATTTGCCATGAGATGCCTTCATGTGGGGATATGCACAGATGAGCAATTAAGGATGCAGTAAGAATATCCTCACCAGATGCCAGTGCCAACCTCTAGGACTTCCCAGCCTCCAGACCCATGAGCCAAATAAACTTCTTTTCTTTATAAATTACCCAATCTGTAGTATTTTCTTACAGCAGCAGAAAATTAACTAAGACAGGCACACTACCTATTTGGCAAATAAAATCACCAAACAGATTTAGAAGATCTTAAACCTAATTATGCCCATGAACTTCTTGTTCTATCTGGTCTGTTTTGAATTTTTGTCTTGGCTTGCTTCATAAGGACCTTATAGAGAAGCCCTGACTCCAAAAAAAAAAAAAACACCAAAATAAAAAAATAAACAAACAAACAAACCAGTAGACAATTTGTTAAGCCCATTGTCTCTTCTACCTAGCCTTGCTTGGACTTAAAGGACATTGCCAGGACATATGAGGCTGTGAAACGTTATTTATTTCTCACAGAGAAGCTAAGTGAGTTGGAATTAGCCTCAATAATGAATGCTTTGATTTAGCCAGGAGCAAGGTTCTTCTCTAATACAATGCATGTACACACTTAGCTAATTGCTCATCTGTGCATATCCCCAAATGCAGAGAGAACTTTTACAACCCAGAGTGACAACCATGCACCATGTGTCTCCATTCCAACCAAGGTGAGGAAGGAGAATGTTCAGTTCTCTGCCTTTTTTCTCATTGGCTGCTTATCCTCAAATGCAATTAATTATCTGGGCAAAGGACTAGAGGGTACTTGGAGTCTGTATACAAACAACTTATGCTATTTATTAAGAAATTTTTATTAATAAAAAACTATTTGACTTACCCTCACATGGGGACAAAAGCATCCAGACATCATAACTAGAAGTTCACTAGATAAATACTGGAAAATTATTTCAAGCAAAGGGAAATCAAGCTGAAGAAAAACTAAGGCCAAATCCCCTATTTTTAAATATTGAAACCCATGTTTCTGAACACAGGTAGCATGTTTGAAGAATAGACGTAAATTTTATCAAGGAGGATGATGGTATGCCCTTTACAGTGCTAAAAATATTATAAAATTTCTAATTCCAGGTCTTGTAAAGCCATTGCCTCCCTTCAACTCTTGTGTAATTTGGGTCCCTCTGGAGGTGGAGGTGGAGGCTGGGGACATTCTTCTGACTCACAGGAAGCCAGTGTCGCTACAAGCATCTGCCTAATAGCTACCCATAATTTTATTCCAGACATTTATTATAGTAACAGAGACTGATGACAAATGACACACACTTCGAATTTAGTCCTTCATATACCAGCACGCAAATGACGATCACCACTATCTGAGGAAGTTCCTGCAGATGGGTGGTTTACTACCCTAACAACTTCACTGTTGGACAGGAGCAAAAGTTAACCATTTTATTCAACATCTGTATTAGTTTCTGATCACTACTGTAACAAATTATTACAAACTTAATGGTTTAAGAAACACAAATTTATTACATTCCTGGAGTTCAGAGGTCCAAAATGGGTCCCACTGGGCAAAAATCAAGATTTTGGCAGAGCTACGTTCCTTCTCAAAGTTCTAGGGAAATCTATTCCCTTCCCTTTCCAGTTTCTAAAGGTTGCTGTCAATTCTTGGCTCATGGCCCCCTTACAGCCTGCAATCCTATCCCTCTGACTTCTGCTTCCATTGTCACATCTTCTTTTCTGACTTTCCTCCCTCCATTTACAAGGAACATTGTGATTACATTGGGTCCACTCAAATAGCCCAGGATAATCTTCCCATCTCAGCATCTTTAACTTAATCACATATGTGCATATGTGAAGACCACTTTGCCATGTAAAGTAAAATTCACAGTTTCCATGATTAGGACTTGGACACCTTTGTGGGGTTGGGGCAGGGAAGGACATTCTTCTGCCTAACACAATATCCTTTTCCATTTTCAAACCAGAAGCTATTGGCCATTTTTGTACTTAACCCTTTTTTCTCCACTTATCTCAACTTACCACCTGGCTTTTCTTTTACCCTAAAGTATTATTTGTAAATTTCCTACTTCTTTACAAGATTGAGAGTTACTTAGAACAGAAGATGTTGTATTTTTTATTATTACTGAAACAATTTAAAAACTGGACAAAATATATGGCACAATGGTTAGAAAGACTTTGGACTCTAGCAATAAAAAACAATGAGCCCAGAATGATGGGAAACAAATGCAGTGAGCCCCCAATTGGCCCAGTTGGCTGTCTGGAGAGAGTCTCTGGCTGAGGCACAGAGTGAGATCCCAGCAGAGAACAGTGGCCTCCTGGAGTGGAGAAGAGACAAGAGTCTGCATGGCTAGAGTTTACAGGGTAGAGAATAGAGAGAAGAAAACAGAGATCTACTGAGGGCTCTGCTTCCACCTTCAGCTGAATCCTGATTCCTGTATGTTTCAGAGAACTCTATCCAAGTCTGGGGAAAGAACTCTCTCAAAAGATGAAAGGGACAGTGATAGGCCCACACATAAAGCCAGGAATAGTTCCTGCTCTTACCAGCTAGGGTGGAAAACCTCATAATTCACAGGCATTGGGTCGAGTTTTCAGAAAGGCTTAGCTTGTGTCTTGAAACAAAGATACCCCTAGATTAAAGGCTGCTCTAGTTCCACTTGGCAAAGCTCAACTGCAAGTTCTGAAAGGATCAAAGTGTAAGTAATTCAAGTGCATCCCAGAAAAAAACCTCAAGAATATTTACAGGAATACAAACATATCTACCACCCAAAAGGGTAAAACTTACAACGTCTGATAACCATTCAGCAATTAGCAGAATTAACATTCCAAATTGGCATTTGGAAGTAGGAAATTATGATTTGTAATGAGGACAAAAATCAATCAATTGAAACTGACATAAGAATCACACAGATGATAGAATTACTAGACAGGACACTAGAAGAGTTAGTACAACAGTTCAAGAAGCTAGAGGAAAGATTGCACATGATGACTAGAGGCATGGAAGACCTTCTACAGATAAAAACTACAATATCTGACATGAAAAATAACAGCAGATTAAACATTGGAGAAAAAAAGATTAGGAAACTTGAAGACATAGCAATAAAAGCTATCCAAAATGAAACTAGAGAGAATAAAAAAAAAAAGAAAATGAAAATGAACAGAGTATCAGGGAACCAAGGGACAACTTCAAACATCAAATATACATGTAATTGGAGTTCCCAAAGCACAAGAGGGATTGTTTCCAGTTTTGAGCAATTTTGAATAAAATTTCCATGAATATTTATATATTTGTACGGGCATATGCTTTCAGTTCGCTTGGGTATATACCCGGGAAAGAAACTGCTGGGTCCTAGGGATTGTATATATTTAACTTTTTAAGAAATTGTCGAACAATTTTCCAGGGAAATTGTGCCTGGGTGCCAGGCAATTTTACACTCCTGCCAGGGTGGATTAAAATTCCAACTCCTTCACATCCTCACCAACATTTTATAGTATCATTACTCATTTTAATTTTAGCTATCCTAGTGGATCTGTAGTGATATCTCATTGTGGTTTTGATTTGCTTTCCCTGATGGCTAATACTGTTGAGTATCTTTTCATGGGTTTATTGGCTATTCATATATATATATATATATATATATACACACACACATATAATTATATATGTGTATATATATACACACACACATATATATACATATATACACATACATATATATACACATATATACTTTTTATGAATGTCTATTGAAATATTTTGCTTATTGTTTTATTGGGTTATTTGTCTCATCAAGTGTAAGAGTTCTTTATATATCCTGGATACAAGTCAGATTTAATTATTGCACATATTTTCTCCTTTTCTGTGGCCTTCATCATTTTTTTAATGATGACTTTTTAAACAGGTTTTTGAGATATAATTGACATACAGTAAACTACACACACTTACAATATAAAATCTTATCAGTTTTAACATCTGTGTACATCCCTGAAACACTCTGTACAATCAAGTTAATGAACATATCCACCACCGCCCAAGTTTCCTGGTGCCCCTTTTGAATACCTCCCTACTACCCTTCCATCCCCATCCTCAGACAGCCATTAATCTGCTTCATGTCATTATAAGCTACTTTATATTTTCTATAATCTTATATCCACAAAATTATATAGTATGTCTTCTTTTTGTTTGTTTTCTTTCATGAGCATAATTATTTTCAGATGCACCACATTGCTTGTGTAATAATCTGTCTCCTTTTATTGCTGAGTAGTAGTCTGTCAAATAAATAATAGCACATTCATGTATTTATTTACCTGTTAATGAGCATTTGGGTAGTTTCCAGGTTTGGGCCATTAAAAATAAAGCTTCTATGAACATTTGTATAAAAGTCTTTGTGTGCATGTGTGATTTCATTTCTCTTTGGTCTAAAATCAATGACCTCAGCGTCTACCTTGACATGCAGGAAAAAAGCAAATGAAAGGTATAGATAGTACATGAAAGGAAATAAGAATTAGAGCACGAATCAATGAAATAGAAGACAAAAACAACGGATAAAAATCAATGAAAACAAAATCTGTTTTTTGAGAAGATAATAAAGTAGATAAAATTCTGGCAGACCGATTAAAGAAGGAAGAAGACACCAAAAGATATACATCTATATTGTTATTGATATCAATATATCTTCATCAAAAGTTAAAAATTCTGCTCTTCAAAAAGATAGTGCTTTGACAATGAAAAAAGAAGATTCAGAGTAAGAGAAAATATTTCCTAATCATATATGTGATAAAAGGCTGTATCCAGTATATATAAAGAACTCTCAAAACTCAAGAATAAGGAAACAAACAACTGAAGTAAAAAATCAGCAAGAGATTTGAAGAGTTACTTCACTAAAGAAGATAAACATGGCAAATAAGGACATGAAAAGATGCTAACATCATTAGTTATGAGGGAAACACAAAACCACTGCAAGATATAATTACATACTTATTAGAATGTCAAAAATTATAAAGATTGGCCACATCAAGTGTCGGCAAGGATATGGAGAAATTGGGTCTTTTACGAATTGCTGGTGGGAATGTAAAGTGGTACAATGACTTTGGAAAACAGATTGTCAGTTTCTCAACAGGCTAAGCATACATCTCCCAAATGACCTAGCCACCCCACTCCTAAATATTCACTAAAACCCAACATTAAATCTGCAAATTTGAATAACCCAACCATGGAAGGGAGCTTCAAATTTGTGGTTTGGTTTTCCTCACAAGAAAATGTTATTCAAATGTTAATGTAGATAAAATATTATGGTTACTTTGAACATTGGCTTTCCTGTTGCTGGCTGGAGAGCCACATACAGAATTCTAGGTTGAAATGTCATTTTCTGTCCTTCAAGCCACAGCATTATTTGAAGAACATCATTCATTCATTCAACCTTTAAGTATCAATTCTTCTTAATGACAATTTTTTCTCTATGCATGTTTAAAGGTCTTAAACACATGTCTGAACAAAAATTCTTTAACTTGAGCACTTTTAGACTCCTTTTGATGATACACCATTATTTTGCATATTTGCCAAGTGACTATTCCTAAAATCTGAAATCCTTTCATAGTTTAACTACATTTGGAGTATGTTTTCCCTGGCCTGGCTCCGTTTTTCTATTATGATGTCAAGTTCATATTTTCTAGTGTGTAAAAAATCATTTTTTAAAATAAATGCATCTTCATTCTGGAGTCTTCAAGACAAAAATTTTAGCCATCAGGAACTAACTGATTACTTTGTGCCTGAAAACCAATTCGATTCTTGTTTCCTTTGTGTCATTGTAACTCTGGACATGCATAGAAGCTGGGTTTACAGATCAGTAGATGTGATATGAGAAATACATTGGGTCAAGCCTCTATCATGGAATCAGGGAAAATCAGTTTGCACTCCAATAAAAACAGAACAACTTGTTTTCAAATCTCCCAGCTTCCAATAAGCCCTGGTGCTTCCATTTGTTTGGTGAAGCAGCCCAGCCTCACACTCTCCTGCTGTTGTGAGAGTCTTTGTCTCTGCCTCTGCAGCGCAAAGACCAAAGGAGATCTCAGAAAAAGCGACGGGTAGCTGCGTCTCTTGCAGTGGGGAGATATACGTGATTTCACAGTAAGAAAAGACATCTGATCTTTCTAGTCCCCTTTGTTTCCTCTCTCCAAGTTTTACAGCCCTTTTTATCTATAAATAATAAAGTTGTACATACATTTTCAAAATGTGCTGCATAATACAACTTCATACATTTAGGAAGTTGACAGCTGCCCTCTGAGGTATAGCCTGACAGTCTAAAATCCAGAAATCAATCATTTAGATGTAGTGATGCCATGCTACCGCTGCCGGTATGTATTGCGGCACCCAGGAACCACTTATTTGAGATATGCCATCGTAACTCTGATAGATTAAAGCACCACATCCAGGAAACAATTGTGTGTTGAGGGGAGGGGGGATGCTATCATAGATCTGCCATGTTACAGCCCAGAATCCAGCAGCCAACCAGGCAAGTCTGTGCTGAATCGGAGCTTCCAGAAACCTGCGAAGCAGCAGGATGACAGTTCTGTTCTTCAACAGCCCATTATGAACTAATTAGCATACATGAATTGCAGATTTGAGGCATTAAAGTGATGTACAAATCATTAATTTTTTGTCAAATCTATGTCATCCTTGTGTATGCCTTCCTATTTTAATGTTGCATGACAGTGAAGAGAGGTACAATCCTCTGTATATAAAGAGGAGAGATTTGGTGTAGCTGATACAATGAGATCTATTTAAACACTATGTATTTTTCAGCTTTGAATATATCTGCTTGGGAAAAAAAATGCTACACTTGTCCCATTAGGGTTAATTGTGAAAGGATGTTAATATATTCAAAACCCCAGGGGTAGTTCTACATATTGTCTGAATGAAACAGGGGATGTAAGACCAACTTCACATTTGAGCTTTCTTTTATAAAAGTCCTCCTTCTGAGTAATAAAAGGAGCCATAAAATCGTTCTCACTGACTATGGAAGGTGTAACTATCTAGAATAAGAGCTCAGCTTTTAGGTGTGTGAAAGCTCCTATTCAGCAAGCAGATCTATTCTTGTTAACCCAATGCCAAATTTAATTTATAAAGATGTATAACATAATGCAGTGGAAAAGGGAAAACAACATCAAAGCCAACTTTCATACTGCAAAAGGCTTCTAAGTATTAATTTGCAGTTTTCTGTATTGTCTCTATGTATTTAATTACTAAAGCTATTTGTGCTTAAACAAATGCTTGGTATTTCATTTGAATTTCTTATTTCATATTACAGTGGAAATTTGTTAGTACTGTAATAGTTTCCGTGGTAACAGAGTCTAATGTTATACATAAATATGTATGTGGTATGTATACATGTGTGTATTATAAATATATGCTATAGGTGATTATGACTGTATTCCAAGAGCACATCTCCAAAGAATTAGCTCTCAAGGAAAATCCTAATTTAGAATGCTGGTATATTTTGTGAATCTAAAGTGATGGTCACAAACTGGGTTCTCTTTTTCATATGGGAAGAATGTAAGTTCTGAGAAGCAGGGAGATACTTGCTTTCCCTCTTCTCGTAAGTTCTCTTCTGTCTGGGAGCAAAGCCATCCATGCCTAGGGTCCATACTCTATGGACTTCTTCTCTTCTCCCTACCTGTTTCTCCACCAACCTTTTTCACAATAACTTTCCAGGAAGCTGTAACCCAAAACCCATGCTTACTTAATTGTCATTGGCCAGTCTTGTGTCATATAGCCATCAGGAAGGGAAAGGAAATATATGGAGTGAGTCATTTTAACTCAGCCTAATGTTGCCCATAGTAAAATGAGGGTCCTCTTAGTAAAGAAGAATTGGAGTATGGTTATTAAGTGGGCAATGAGCAGCTGTCATCTGTGATAGATATTTCCATGTGACCTAATCAAAATACACACTGATGTACGGAAAAGGGCCCTTTGCATCAAGAGAAATCACTAAACACATATTCTGGCACACAGTTAGACATCAGCTGGACATTACTCATTTCTTGCTATTTCTTGAATCTTCAGTTTCCATTCTGAGCCTCCTCTGCTTACTTTCTCTTATTTGGAGTACTGATTGGCTACCTGATTGGTATTTGACCTTTTGCCTGTTCACTTGATACCTCTACAACACTAGTGAAATGGTAGCTCTGTGCACAGTTTGATGTGTTTTGCAGAAGCTGTGCAGCAGAGTGGTTGTATTAGTCTGTTTTCATGATGCTGATAAAGACATACCTGAGACTGGGCAATTTACAAAAGAAAGAGGTTTAATGGACTCAGTTCCATATGGCTGGGGAGGTCTCACAATCATGGCCGAAGGCAAGGAGGAGCAAGTCACATCTTACATGGATGACAGCAGGCAAAAAGAGAGAGCTTGTGCAGGGAAACTCCCCCTTATAATACTGCCAGATCTTGTGAGACTTATTTGCTATCATGAGAACAGCATGGGAAAACCTGCCCCCATGATTCGATTACCTCCCACCAGGTCCCTCCCACAACATAGAGGAATTCAAGATGAGATTTGGATGGGGACACAGCCAAACCATATCATTTCATCCCTGGACCCTCCCAAATCTCATGTCCTCACATTTCAAAACCAATCATGCCTTCCCAAGAGCCCCCTCAAAGTCTTAACTCATTTCAGCATTAACTCAAAAGTCCACAGTCCCAGGTCTCGTCTGAGACAAGGCAGGACCCTTACACCTATGAGCCTGTGAAATCAAAAGCCAGTTAATTACTTCCTAGATACAATGGGGGTACAGGCATTTGGTAAGTACAGCCATTCCAAATGGGAGAGATTGGCCAAAACAAAGCGGCTGCAGGCCCCATGCAAGTCTGAAATCCAGCAGGGCAGTCAAATCTTAAAGCTCCAAAATGATGTCCTTTGACTCCATGTCTCACATCCAGGTCATGCTGATGCAAGAGGTGGGTTCCCATTGTCTTGGGCAGTTCTGCCCCTGTGGCTTTGCAGGGTACAGCCTCCCTCCCAGCTGCTTTCATGGGCTGACATTGACTGTTTGTGGCTTTTCCAGGCACATGGGGCAAGCTGTCAGTGGATCTACCATTCTGGAGTCTGGAAGATGGTGGCCTACTTCTCACAGCTCCACTAGGCAGTACCCCAGTAGTAACTCTGTGTGGGGGCTCCAACCCCACATTTTCCATCCTCACTGCCCTAGCAGAGGTTCTCCATGAGAGCCCTGCTCCTGCAGCAAACGTCTGCCTGGACATCCAGGTGTTTCTATACATTCTCTGAAATCTAGGCAGAGGTTCCCAAACCTCAATTCTTAACTTCTGTGTACCCACAGGCTCAACACCATGTGGAAGCTGCCAAGGCTTGGGGCTTGTACCCTCTGAAGCCATGGCCTGAGCTGCACCTTGATCCATTTTAGTCACAACTGGAGCAGCTGGGACGCAGGGAACCAAGTCCCTAGATTGCACATAGCATGGGGACCCTGGGCCCGGCCCACAAAACCATTTTTTCCTCCTAGGCCTCCAGGCCTGTGATGGGAGGAGCTGCCATGAAGACCTTTGACATGCCCTGGAGACATTTTCCTCATTGTCTTGTGGATTAACATTCAGCTCCTCATTACTTATGCAAATGTCTGTAGCTGGCTTGAATTTCTCCTCAGAAAATGGGATTTTCTTTTCTATTGCATTGTCAGGCTGCAAATTTTCCAAACTTTTATGCTCTGCTTTCCTTATAAAACTGAATGCCTTTAACAGCACCCAAATCAAATTTTGAATGCTTTGCTGCTTTTGAAATTTCTTCTACCAGATACCCTAAATCGTCTCTCTCAAGTTCAAAGTTCCACAAATCTCTAGGGTGGGGCAAAATGCTGCCAGTCTCTTTGCTAAAACATAACAAGAGTCAACTTTGCTCCAGTCCCCAACAAGTTCCTCATCTCCATCTGAGGCCACCTCAGCCTGGACCTTATTGTTCATATCACTATCAGCTTTTTTATTAAAGCCATTCAATGAGTCTCTAGGAGGTTCCAAAATTTCCCACATTTTCCTGTCTTCTTCTAAGCCCCCCAAACTGTTCCAATCTCTGCCTGTTACCCAGTTCCAAAGTCACTTCACGTTTTCAGGTATCTTTTCAGCAATGCCCCACTCTACTGGTACAAATTTACTGTATTAGTCCATTTTCACGCTGCTCAAAAAGGCATACCCAAGACTGGGCAATTTCCAAAAGAAAGAGGTTTAATAGGCTTACAGTTCCACATGGCTGCAGAGGCCTCACAATCATGGCAGAAGGCAAGGCAAGAAGGAGCAAGTTACATCTTACACGAATGGCAGCAGGCAGAAAGAGAGAGCTTGTGCAGGGAAACTCCCCCTTATATACCATTAGATCTCATGAGACTTATTCACTATCATGAGAACAGCATGGGAAAGACCTGCCCATGATTCAGTTACCTGCCACCAGGTCCCTTCCACAACACCTGGGAATTCAAGATGAGATTTGGGTGGGGACACAGCCAAACCAAATCAGTGGTCAAGAGCTAAGGAGTCGCACAGAACTAGGTTCAAACTTGAGCTTCACCTCTTATAACCTGTGTGATTCTAAGCAAGTTCCTTAACTTTTCTAAACTTTGATTTCCTCATCTTATAAATGAGGACAATGAAAACACCTTCCTCAGAGGGTTTCTATGAGGAAGAAACAAGTCACTGTACATAAAGCACCCAGAGAAATACCTGACCTATGGCAAGCGTTTGAGCAACGTTAACTGTTATTATAATAATTTCTGTCAGTCAAGTTATCTGCCATTTTCTTGGACAAGCTATTAAAAGTCTTTGTTCCTCAGTAGATCATATGGAAAATTATTACTTTGCAAGGTTATAGATTGTAGATATGGAAAGTACCCAGTAAAGTGGCTGATGAATAGTAGGAATGGTAAACCCTACTAGTTATCTGGCAATATCAATTCTCTTTCTCCCTGTCAGAATTTCATTTTGTTCAGAACAGTGATATGCTCTGCTAAAATAACTTCACCTCCATTTGCAGCTAGGGGATGACAAAGTTCTGGCCAATGTAACGTAAGTGGAATTTTCAGGAGAGAGATTTCTTTCCTTAATAAACTGGCAAAAGCTTACCTTGTGAAATCCCTTTTACCTCTCTCCTTCTTCTTTGTACACCTGGAGATGCTGCTGCCATTTTCAAAGCATGAGGACAAGAGCCATGAACAAATGATGACAGAGCAGGAATGTAGACCTTGGGTCTCTGACAGCATCATTGATCTTCACATTTCCCAACTCTAGATTTATAATATGAAGAAAACAAACCTAACTGCCTTAAGGCAACATTCCCGAGTTTTATTTTATGTGCAGCCAAACAGAATGGGTTTTTAATATAGGTTTTTTTGTCAGGTGGAAATTGCATTAATAGTAATCATCATCAGCATCATCATCATCATCACCTGTATCTATGACACGACCCACCCCCTCCAGGATATCCATATCTGTATTCTGTTCTTACAGCACTTACCAAAGGGTTTGATCATGGCTTTGTGAAAGAAACTTAGCAGGAAATATTGATGAGAATTCCTCTAGGGTCTTCATTTTTCTGGAGAGAACAGGAAAAATCCTAACAGTCTCTGTGACTTGGGGGCAAGGAACAGGCAATAGTCAGACCAAGTCATAGGGTCCTGAAGTGACTGCTAATCCAGGAGAGCCCTGTGCCTACACTGAATCCCACTGAATCCCTCTGGATCTGTAGTCTGGAGATCTGTGAGTCTTTTACCCTCTAATTGACCATAGGCACCTAGGTAACATTAAGAACATCTGGGACGAGCTAAAGCAAGATCAAATGCTGAGTGGAGGGTAATGTTGCAGATTATTTTGTCAATAACAGTAACTACCGATAATTAGACATGGATGATGAATAACTGTCTCCCCCACAACCTCTTCACTAGTTTATATTGAAAGCAAATCTCTGACCAAATTTGGCCACATATAAAAATGTACATTAAACATTTATTAGGAAGCGGTCACAAAACAGCTCATGTAACCTATTCTATAATTTGATGAAATTGCAACTGTTGGCCTTTTAGGTATTCTAACTGCACTGGTGCATGCAATGCTCACTTGAAGCAGATATGATCATATTCTAGAAGCTGGTTTCAATTAGTCTTATAGTAGATATCAGGCAACTCAAGAACTGAAGACCGAGTCAATGGTCGGACTCAGGACCGTACAGAAATCAGTCTCCAGAAAATATCCCTAAAGGTATAGGACACAGAGTTTTCTACATTTTTATTCTGTTTATGCAACTAGGGAGAGTCTAGAATTTGAACATCACTATTTTCACCAGTGAAACCCCATTTCTAGCAGCCATAATGCTAATTGACAAGCTATTAATTTCACCAATGAAAACCCATTTTAACATGCATCCTGCTAATTAAGAATAACTTGGGTGGTGTTGGGAGTTTAAGATAGCTGAATCACCTCTGGAAGGTGGGCTTCTAACTGGAAGTCTAGGTGATGACACCTAGGGTATGAATTTTTGGTTTGGGCAAATGACTGCCCCTCAGGAATGGCTTAAACTGACTGACATTTGCATAATTTTATACTGCCTATACATTAAGGGGAGGTTTAAATTACAGACATTCTGTTAAGTAGTCCATGCAATTAGTAAAAGGTAAAATCAGAAGTAGCCCTTGTATTCTCTGACTCCCAAATTTCAAAGTCTTACCACTATAGCATCCCAGCTCGGTGTTAATCCGACAAACTGTCCACACTCATTGCCTTAAGAAGTAGCCTTTTCTAAGTCAGACTATTACTATCATAGAAAATGTTCCCACTTAGAGTGAAAACAGCAAATTTAGTTGCTGATATTTTTCTTGGAGCAGTCTGCACATAGAATAAGGCAGGGTTAAAAAACAGAGCATCAAATAGTAAATGTTTGGATTTATAAGAGGTGGTCAAATGTAAAATAACAAAGCTGGTTCCTAGAAAACTAGAAGAAAACAAAGTAAGTGTTGACTAAGAAGTTCAAAGCAAATCTTGTCTTGTTATCATCCCTCCTTTATTTTGACCCTGCAATGTCCGTACTTTGCAGGCCCATGCTGATTTCATTACTATTTATGTTCATCTCTTTGATAATTTCTCTTTTATTAGTAAGCATCCACTCCATGACTTCTAATTTATTTTTACATGGCAAATTATGAGAAAGCAATGAAAGAATTCCTAAATGTGATAAATGGTTTCTAGCGGCATTGCTTATGCTTTCTAAAAAGCTAAGAGATTCCAGTGTGGGGGTTCCCATGGGGGATTCTGATATGTTCTTCTGAAGAAATAAGGAAGGTCTGTATCTACCATCCCCAGGCCTCTACTTAGCAAACCATGTTCCTCCCCGGGCCAGGCTCACCACTCCACCCACACGGAGGGGACGACTTCTAATTCCTGCACTTGCTTTATGACTTTGTGTAAATGTGTTCAGTGCCATTTGGCTGTTCTTCTGAAGAAAACTCAGTCTCAATTGTGCTCCCTGGCTTAATTGTTGTCAAGGTGAAGGCTGGATATTGCCAACAGAGCCTATCAAGAAGATCTTGTTTTACTGGAGAGTATGATTCAGGAAGAATGCACACACTGATTGAAGCCAAAACTATGATGAAGTTGTTGGATATTTTTGAGAGGGTGTTGAAGGATGGGTAGAATTAATTTCCACCTGAAGAAACTGGTACTTCTCTCCCCACCCCTAAACAATTGTATATTGATATATTTTCTCCATCTGTAAAACAAAGATAATTTTTCAGTCTCATTCATCAAAATGGCAAAGGCTCCTATAAAAAGCTTAGTAAGACACTAAATGTTAAGTCAGTGCTTAATGATAATCTACCGGAGTCTTTATGGCTTGATCTTCTGAGAATTAAAAACCACTTGGCCTTCCCCGAAACTCTCCACTGGGAATAGCAATGGCTCCTAGATTCTGTGTAATTAAACTTCCTGGAAAGGAGGGGGCTGGGAAGCTGTAGA
This sequence comes from Homo sapiens, assembly GCF_000001405.40. Taxonomy (NCBI): domain Eukaryota; kingdom Metazoa; phylum Chordata; class Mammalia; order Primates; family Hominidae; genus Homo; species Homo sapiens. The sequence continues at coordinate 204,408,478 of NC_000002.12, read as the reverse complement.
CCACTAAATCAATAGATTAAAAAACAACAGGTAAATGGGTTAAATGGTTAAGTGGTGATCCATCTGAGTATTGGCCCTTTCTCTAATAAACCTAATATCAAAGAATGAATGCCATGATACGGAGTTCAAAAAGCACCCTAAACTTAAAACACCTATTGAAAAACCAAGCTGGTTTAACTGACATAATTATTGTGGATTCACTGAAGTCTGAACAGCAAAGTATTTAAAGCACTGTCAGGAAATATTAAATCCCCCTTCTGAGACTAGGATTGAAAAAAGGTAGGACAAGGCTCATTTTTTACATTAAAGCAAGATTGGGCCTGATTAGTATTTGAAATATTTCTTTCCCAATTTTGGACAGCATTAGATTTTGGCTAGTGAAATATAAATGAACATCAATTGTATATGACAAATGCTGATCCAAGCCACTTAAAATTCCCTGAATGTCCTTTTCTCTCTTAGACTGACTGCTAGAGTCTCATCATCAAAGTCTGCAGAGCCGACCAAAGGTAGCTCTGTGGTGGAGGCCCCGCCTAAGCTATGAAGGGTTAGAAAGATAGCTGTTTGTTTTGTAAGGACATGAATCACTATCAGGGCTATCACAACATTGCAAGCTAGGTCACAGGACTCCAAGTCACTCTGCATTTTGCTCAGAGGTGAGGGAGCTTAGAGACTTGTTGCTGCCTTTCTGTTTCACTGGAAATGAAATCCACTTGTGTCACCATTCCCTCCTGTTTCAGGTTGAGACCAAAGAGATTAAGAGAAATATACTAGTGTTAAACATTAAAGCCACAATAATAAAGATGGCCAGAGTACCTAGTAAACATTTTTGTTCACAATTTGGAAAATGAATGAAGACCGAAAAAAAGGAAAGATCCTTCAGTTTGTCCTGGAGAGAAATGTAATTATGGTTTAGTCCTTAGCCATCATAATGGGTTCTTTGAAGCGGCTTCCTGGGCCAAAATAAACAGTTCATTATATACAAATTCAAGAGATAAGGTTGATTTGGCTCTTTGGAATCAAGATCCTTATCTTTCCATTAGTTTAGTCTAGAAATATGGTAACCAGATTCACCCAAGACACCGACTCTCTCCTCCGACTCCTAGATTTGATTTCAAGGTCTTGTCTATGAGATCTATTAGAACAAAGAGCCCACTAATTAAGCAGCTAACCCCAAGACTATGCTGTTAGCCTGGGGGGACTTGTTTTATTCCATTAATTTGAGAGCAGCTACTTTATATCCAGTGGTAATTGGTGCAGGACTATCTCTGTCTACTTACACGGGAGGAAATACCACAATTTACTCTAATTTGAATTAAATATTTTACAGTTTAGACTGGCTAGCCCCACATTTTTCTTTGTTAGTGATGCTGAAGAAGCCTCCTTTATAGTGTTCTGGAAGACTGCTCCATCTTTATCTATTACCCATGCAAATGTTTTGTATTTAGCTAAGGCTGTAGCTGATAGAACCAAAATACTTAGCAGATTTTGGATTGATTCTGCTCTCCACAGCCCAGTCGGCTCTTTGCTGTATGAATTGAGCATGAAAGGTCACAGTGAATCAATGCCGGCCTGGCTTTGCAAAAATGTGACTAGAAGGTAGTCAGTCATGGTAGCTCCCTTTTGTGAGAAGGTTATTAAAGTTCACTGGAAAACAATTTCCCCAATCTCACATTTATAATTGAAATTGCTGTTGTGAAGTTTCAATGAGATAAAAATATGTGAAAGTGCTTTGTAAACTCTGTAAAGTAAAAAGTCTAAAAGAAGAGCTGCATAACCATTCACTGTGGTTCATGCTGAAAAATGAGATTCTGGGGGAAACTTCACTGTCTAACTTGTATCCTTCTCTAATGTTTAAAATTTTAAAGCTACAAATATGTCTTTCTCATAAAATCAGGAAAATAGATAAGAATCTTTCCCTTTTTTCCTGTTTTCCACAGGAAGGGATGTAACAGTAGGCTACCTTTTATCTTTAAAACTTACTGTGTCCTGGATTTCAGATGACTAAAACAGGGGTAATTATCAGCAGATTTTCAAGGAGAAAAAACTCAAATATCACATATGTAGCAGAGAGGAGGAAAACTAAAGCTAGACTTTTCCAGAATCATATCGTATTCCATAGATATAATTTTAAAGTTGCTTTTGAGAAAATTTGAAATGATACCTTATTGTGCATTTAGCTCCCTGTATAAAAACAACACAATTGTGAGTATTCTGAGGAACCTGTTTGAGAATGGAACATTAGGTGTTTTCAGGACACCAAGAGGATTGTTCTGTGTTTCAACGTAAAGAAGATGAGAACAAATATAGAAATGGAAACCCCAGGCCCACTGGGGCAGCCTAAGGAGGCCCCATTATGAAGGGCACAAGCACCCACACCTCCTGTACCTTATTCAAGATGTCCTCACTCTGCTGTTCTCTTATTCTTTAGTGTTCTCATTCGGGGCTCCTCAACCACCAGTTCTAGGTCTGCCATTTTCTAGCAGTTTTAGGTTGGATCCATGCTTTAAGCTTATTGGGCCTCCTCTGTTAAAGTTCTGTGAGAGTTAAATGAGATTGATAACAAAAGCAATCCAAAGAGTGTATATCCACCTACAAGTGTAAGGTGAAGTATTATGTATTTACTTTCTATACCAACTTGTCAACATTTAGGCAACTGAAGTCCCATTGCCTCAGGACTTTGTTTCTAGTAGTTGATCTGATAAACTAAATACTGCTTATATGTTTGGGGTGCTAATGAGCTAACTTAATGTCCATTTCAGGTAATACATTTACAATAGGAAGGAACTAAAAGGAGCTTTTCCTAGTTGGGTTAGGGAAGGGGAAGAGAAGCTGGAAAGCGTGTCTACACTTAGTGCCTTATGTGCACTCTAATGGGAACTCCATATTCATTGCTTTTTAAATCCATATGAAGTATGTACAGGTGTAAGATTTCATAACAAGCACTGGAGATATATAAATGGATCAATTCATTAGGGAAACTTTAAGATTGTAATGTGATCAAAGCAGGAACAAGAACCATAATTTGGAACTTGGGTCCAAGTGACAGGAGAAAAGCTGCCACTTGCAGTTTAACTGCATTATTTTGTGCTTTCTTTATCTAATAATAGGTCATCAGGATTATAAGAATGCAACCCAAGGCTAATGATAGTTCTGGAGGGGACTGGAGAAGAAAAAGACTTTCTCTTTCAGTTAAAAATTTCAAACAACAACAAAAAGACACAATAGTATAGTGAAACTCCACGTAGCAGATTCAATCCAGATTCAATATTTATCAAGATTTTCCTTCACTTCTTTCTTCTATTCCTCCCTTTTTGTTCTGAAGCATGTTAAAGCAAATAGTTAATAAAGTTAGGTTAAATGTTTAATTTTCCCCAAATTGTGAATTGTGAGAGTGTAGTATTATATACAAGTTACCTCCAACCTGACCAAGGAGGTGTGTGTGTGTGTGTGTGTGTATGTTTCATTTTGATTTTGTTTTTATTGCTTTGACTACCCTCTCTTTGTTTGAGAACCATAACAGACTCTTGGGTTTTTTAGATATTCAATTTTGTGGCCGATGTTGTCAATTCCCTGCCCAAGTCATCCCAACACTCACCATTCCCAAATAGAAAGAAGGAAAGCACCTGCAACTCCCCACCTGAGAGTTTTATGTCCTCCAATGCACAAGGCAGACGGAAGTGCCAGAGAATTAACATATTTTGAGCATTCCCTCCATCAGCAATGTAAGAGGACAAGTCTGAGGTGTGTTCCACACCATTTCCCAGGAGTCCTGGCAGGATTGAGCCCCTGTTGTCCTGCACGGTAACCTGCTTATTAATACACCTTATATTCGCTTCCTACATTTTCCTGTCTCGCTTTATTCTTGTCTCCTGCAGTCATTCCCCAGTAAACCACATGCACTCAAATCCTTGTCTTGGGGTCTGCTTCTTGGGGAACCTAGTCTAAGAAAGTTGATCCAAGAGTGGTTATAGTAAGCTGATTGGTGACGTGGAACAGCTCCTACAACTGGTAAATGGGGCAATGATTACCTCTGGCAGGGCATACCATTACAATTTCTTAGATTACACCTATAGTGGATTGAGATGGGGAACATGAAGAAGGGAATGTACTGGCTTATGCAATAGATCTAATGGATGAAAGATATAAGGCAAGAGAAATTATGAGGATTGGGGAATTAGCTGTTGCTAACAGCCACAGGAGGAAAGAAAATAACAGACTGAGATCAGTAGTCTATTAATTCACGACATGATATGAAAGCTAGAATGCTTTAATAATAGTGTTTATAGAGGCCACCATCTCCTGCATCCAGAAGGCTGTGCAAAAAATCTGAGTGCCATGTTTATACAGACCACTATCTCTTGCACCCAGTGGCTGAACTAAAAAAAGGCTAAGTCCACAGCTCCTACACTACAGTGTCTCCTACACTAAAGTCAAGACCGACCCTAAGACCTATAATGAGAACCTCTGGGCGGATGTGCTTGACCACTGCCAAGGCCCAGAGATTCCTTTGGGCCGTCTGGTCCAGGTGGGGTGGTCTCCTTCTGCTGGCTAGTGGGAAGCAACCTTCCATTTTTCAGAGGCCATACAGAATACTTACTTGAGATGGATTCCCTTCAAGATGGTGTTTTTTCTCTTTAAAATCTCTACTCCTTCCTGACTCCTTTCATTGCATTTAGATCTGTTTCGTCAAATCCAATAGCCACTAGCCACATACAACTATAAGCCAATTAAGGTAAAATACAATCAAATTTTTTGGTCTTATTCACAGTAGCCACATTTAAAGCAAGTCAATAGCCACACGTGGCTAGTGGCTACCATGTTGGATGGTGCACAGGTGATAGAACATTTCCATCATTGCAGAAAGTTCTATTGGACAGTGCTGATCTAGACCAGAAATTGGCAAACTTATTTGAAAGAATCAGATAGTAAATACTGTAGTGTTTGTAGGCTATATGGTTCCTGTCACTACTACTAAACTCTGCCATCATAGCATGAAAGCAGCCCTAAACCATATATAAATAAACTAGCGTGGCTGTGTTCCTTAATGTTACAACAGTTTTAAGTGTCAGGCCAAAGGGCCTTAGTTTGCCCATCTCTGGTCTACACTAAAAACTAGGGTCAACTCTTAGTATGGTGCAAGTAGGAAGTATTGTTCACACTACAGAGAGAAAAGGAATTATTCACTGAAGGGCTTATGTGTACCAATGTGTTTCAGGACAACACGCCCGGGAATGCATCTTGCAGCTGCTCAGAGGAGATGATTACAAGGTTAGATGGGAAAGAGTGTATTGATATGAGTGCAGGCAAGATTTAACATCCCAGAAAGGACTTCTGGAGCCAAGCTTAACAAATGACTTCTTAACTCTCAAGCCTACCATTTTCTGGAGTCTTATAGTAAATGAAATGGAGATTCCAGAACTCTTGGCAGAGTACTAGGGAAAGGATGAAAAGGATCAGAGATGTGCCAAACAAAAACAAAAGTAACAACAACAACAACAAACCCCAGATATCTATGTTCCCCAGGAAGGCCCAGAGGATATCCCTTCCCTAAAGCAATGAGGAATGGAAGGAGTTAATAGTTATAGTCATTTGTGGGCCAGGGGTGGCATGGGAGGTTGTTACAGACCTGGCTTACTTAGTATCAATGGAGATGATAAACTTCTGGCATAAGAGAGGCCAGGTGGTAACACTTAACCATCAGAAGCAAAGTGAACATAATTTCCATAACAGGCAGTGCAGCTGGAATGGCAATAAGGAGCCCTTGATCCATGGGAATCTGTGAAGATGTTCAATAGACCATGGTATTTTTAGGGTCAAGGAAGTTGGGCAGCTGATGATCAATTGTGGGTGAGCAGAAAGCTGCCATATTGGAAAATCATGATCTCTCACACCGTTCTCAGGCCCAGAGTTAATAGAAGGGGAGGCTATTTCCCTTTGAGGAAATATGCTATGATGCTACAGTAGCTATTTTCCCAATCCATTCCCAATGGATTTATGTTCATTTACCAGATAATTGTACACTCGGGGAAAGGAGATTTTTCAAGGGCTGAGGGTATTGAATTGTAGGTGATACTGATAAATGAAGAGAATCAAATTGCCCATGGGCTATGGAAGCCATGTGATAAACAGAGTCTTATCCCAGGTCTATCTCACAGTGAATACAATGAATCTGTTGTCCTGCCCTATGATGATGTTTTTCCAGCCCCCAGATGCATCATCAGGATGAATTTACCTAGAACTTGGTAGAACCCTCATATTTATGACTTGATTTTGTGAAGTAGGTGTGGTATGATAAGGGAAGTTAGTGGAAATATTGTAGGCAGAATAATGGCCCCTTATATATGTCCATGTCCTAATCTCTGGAACCTATGAATATATTCGTTTACATTGCAAGGGGTAATTAAAGTTGCAGATGAAACTAAAGTTGCTAATCAGCTGACTTTCAGTTGAAGAGATTATTCTGCATTATCTAGGTGGCCCCAAACAATCCTGAGTCCTTATAAATGGAAGAAGGAGGCAGAAAAAGAAGTCAGTCAGATTTAAACATGCTACGCTCCTAGCTTTGAAGGTGGAGGAAGGGTTCATGAGAGTTCTTCCCTGCCTGCCAAGGAATGCAGGCAGTCTCTAGAAGCTGGAAAAGTCTAGGAAACAGATTCTCTAGACCTCAAGAATAAATACAGCTCTGCTGAAAACTTGATTTTATTTCATTGAGACCCATTCTGGACTTCCAATATCCAGAACTGTAAGATAACAAATTATGCTGTTTTAAGCACTGCATTTGTGGTAATTTGCTACAGCAGTAATAGAAAACTAATATAGGAAGCTCTTAAATTTGTACCAATAACCTCCATCCCTGTGAGAAATTAGAACTTAAGCAATAACATGTCCCAGATGAATAGCAGAGATGAGCACCACCCTCAAGGACTTAAAAGATGTTGAGGTGGCACATCATATTCTATTTTAACTCATTGAAATGAGCTAAAATAGAACCCCCTGAAAATCAAATGGTTCATGGCAGAGCATGGTGAACTACCATAAACTTAAACAAGTGGGACCCGCAGTTTCAGCTGCTATGCCAAGTGTGGTATCTTTACTAAAATAGATCAAAACAGTATCTGGCGGACAGAATGCAGCTGTTGAGCTAGGAGATGCATTCTTTTCCATTCCTGTCATGAAGGAGGATCAAAAGAAGTTCTCGGGAATGACAGCAGTACACGTTCATTTACAGTTGTGTCAGAGGGATGCTACTTTGCTAGTCATGGTAGTCTTCATATTGCAAAGAACGTTATGTTGGTCCAACATGTTAATGATACCATGTTAACCAGACCTGGTGAGCAGGAAATGTCAAGCACTCTGAATGCTCTGAAACTCATGTGCATACCAGGGTGAGAAGGAAATCTTATGAAGGAAGTCTTATGAAGACCACATTGGTGATGTCTTCAGGGGTCCAGTTGTTTGCAGTGTGCCATGACATTACCTCTGACATAACAGACAAGTTATTGCATCTTGAACATTCTATCACCAAGAAAGAGATAGGCCTTTTAGAATTATTTATTTTTTAAAATTTTTTCATATAGTATGAAGTCTGACTCTTAAGTGTACAACCTGATGAATTTTACATACAAATATAAATATATAAATATGTATATATATATAGCTAGAGAGAGAGAGAGAGAGAGAGACATCTCAAATATTCATGATGCATATATATCAAGAACATTCCTATTGTCCCAGAAAGTTTTCTCATGCCTTGCTCAGTCAATAATTTCCCCCAAAGGTAAGAATTATTCTGACTTCTATCACCTTATGTTAACTTCACCTATTTTTCACCTCATCTCAATGGAATCATAGTGTATATAACTTCTGTATTTTACTTATTTTATACAATATGTTTCTGATATTTATCTATGCTGTTTTTTGTTACAGTGATTTGCTCTTTTTTACTGATGCATAGTATTCTATTGTATGGATGTACTAAACTGTATTTATCAAATGTCTTGTTGATGGATGTGTGTGCTGTTTTCAATTTTGGGATATTATGAATAAAGCTTCTGTGACCATTCTTGAACACTTTTTTGTGGACATATGCACTCACTTATTTGGGTAATATAGCCAGGGGTAAAATTGCTAGGCAAAAAGTGAGCATATATTTAACTTTATTAAAACTGCCAAACAATTTTCCAAAGTGGTTTAACCCTTTTGTACTTTTACCAGTAATATATGAGAGTTTCACTTGCTCTGCATCCTTTTCAACACATGGTTTTGACAATCTTCTTAAAGTATTAGCTATTTCGTGTATGCATGATAGCATCTCATTTAATTTTCAGTTCTCTAATGATTGATAATGTTGAATGTCTTTTTGTATGCTTACTGGCCACTTGGATATATTCTTTTGTGAAGTGCCTAGTAAGTCTTTTGCTATTTGTTTTATGGAATACTTGTCATTTTCTTATTGGTTTGCAGTTCATTATATATTCTACCTATGAATCCTTTGTCAAATATATGTGTTTAAAATATTATCTCATAGCCTAGGGCTTCCATTCTTACTTTCTTAAACACATCTTTTGATGAGAAGTTTAAAGTTTTTATGAAGGCCTATTATTATTACATTTTCTTTCGCGGTTAGTACTTTTTGCATTCCACCCAAGAAATCTTTCTTCACCCCAAGGTCACTGATGTTTTCTTCTAGAAACTTTATGGCTTATGTCCTTCCATTTAGGTCTTTGATAAATTTCAAATTAATTTATGTGTACAGTATGAATTAGGGGTCAACATTTACTTTGTCCCTATAGGGACATCCTGTTGTTTCAGCATTGTTTATTGAAAAGACATCCCTTTCTTCACTGAAATGCACTGGGGCTTTCATTGAAATCAAGTAATTAAATGGATGTGGGTCTATTTCTGGATTTTTTTATTATGTTCCATAGATCTATGTATTCATATCCAAACACCACACTGTCTTAATTACATAGCTTTATTAAAGGTCTCAAACTCTGACAGTGTACATACGGTAAATTTATCCTCAAGATTGTCTTGGCCATTCTAAGTCCTTTGCATTTCCATATAAATTTTAATATCATCTTTCCAATTTACATAAGTAAATATTGCTAGATTTTGATTGGAATTATATTAAATCTATAGGTCAATTTGGTGGGGTTTTTTAAATTCACCTTGCTTCTACTCTGTTTTATTTTATTTATTTTTTAATTTTATTTTTCCATAAGTTATTGGGGTACAGGTGGTATTTGGTTACATGAGTAAATTCTTCAGTGGTGAATTTGAGATTTTGGTGCACCCATCACACAAGCAATATACACTGCACCATATTTGTAGTATTTTATCCTTCGCCACCTCCCAATCTTCCCCATAAGTTGCCAGAGTCCATTGTATCATTCTTACACCTTTGCATCCTCATAGCTTAGCTCCCACATATCAGTGAGAACATACAATGTTTGGTTTTCCATTCCTGAGTTACATCAGTTAGAATAATAGTCTCCAATTTCATCCAGTTCACTGTAAGTGCTGTTAATTCATTCCTTTTTATGACTGTGTAGTATTCCATTATATATACATGTATTCTATTTTATATATGTATTCATATATATGTACTCCATTATATATGTATTAATATATATATATAACAGTTTTTTTTAATCCACTCGTTGATTGATGGGCATTTGGATTGGTTCCATGATTTTGCAATTGTGTATTGTGCTGCTATAAACATGCATGTGTAAGTATCGTTTTTGAATAATGACTTCTTTTCTTCTGGGTAGATACCCAGCAGTGGGATTGCTGGATCAAATGGTAGCTCTACTTTTAGTTCTTTGAGGAATCTCCACACTGTTTCCCATAGTGGCTGTACTAGTTTACATTCCCACCAACAGTGTAGAAGTGTTCCCTGTTAACTGCATCCATGCCAGCATCAACTGTTTTTTGATTTTTTGAGTATAGCCATCCTTGCAGGAGTAAGGTAGTTTGCATTGTGGTTTTAATTTGCATTTCCCTAATCATTAGTGATTTTGAGCACTTTTCCATATATTTCTTGGCCATTTGTATATCTTCTTTTGAGGATGTCTATTCATGTTCTTAGCCCACTCATTTTAATAGATTATACATTCCTTTTGATTCTTTATGGATACAATCATATCATGTGCAAACAAAGACAATTTTATCTTTCTAATCTATATCTATTTATTTCTTTTTCTCACTGTTGAATGCTAGCTAAGACCACAAGTGCAAGAGTTGAATAAAACTAGAGATAGTGAAAATCATTGCCTTGTTCCCAATTTTATCAGATTTACTAACTTGTAAAGAGACCTCCCACTAATGTCATATATAAGGTTAAAATATAAAGTACTTTCCCAAACTTTGGAGAAAGTGTGCTGATCCCCCTCACAGCTCTCAGCCTTCTGAATCATCTAGTAAAAGGTTTGGAGCAATATTCTAAACTATGATATATGCTGTCTGGATTTCCATTTCCAGTTAGTATGCAGACTTTAACAGATCATTGTTCCTAGGGTGAAAATGAAAAATTAAATTTAATAAAGTCATATTTCTAATAGATTTATTTTTAGAGCACTTTTATGTTCACAGGAAAATGGAACAAAAAGTACAGGGAGTTCCCATATAGCCTCCCCACTCCCTGCACACATGCATACACACAAATGGCTTCTCCAACTATCAACATCTCGTACCAGAGTAGTATATTTGTTATAATTAATGAACCTACATTGGAACACCATTATCAACCAGAGTTCATAGTTAACATTAGAGTTCACTCTTGGTGTCTTACATCCTAAGGGTTTTGACAAATGTGTAATGACATGCACCCATCACTGTCGTAGAGAACAGTTTCACTGCCCTAAAAATTTCCTGTGCTCTGCCTATTTACCCCTCCCTTCCCTTAAGCCCTGGCAACCACTGATCTTTTTCTTGACCCCATGGTTTTTCTTTTTCTAGAATGTCATAATTGGAATCATACAGTATATAGCCTTTTCAGATTGGCTCCTTTCACCCAGTAATATCCATTTAAGTTTCCTCCATGTGTTTTCGTGGCTGATAGCTTATTTATTGTTAGCACTGGATAATATTCCTTTGCCGGTACATACCACAATTTATCCTACTGAAGGATACCTTGGTTGCTTTCAAGTTTGGGCAACATGAATAAAGCTGTTATAAACATCTGTATGCAAGTTTCATATGAACATAAGTTTTCAACTCAATGAGTAAACACCAAGGAGCTTGATTGCTGGATTGTATGGTAACGGTATGTTTAGTTTTGTAAGAAACCGCCAAACTGTCTTCCAAAGTGGCTGTAGTATTTTGTATTCTCACCAACAATGAATGAGAGTTCCCATTGCTCCACATCCTCACCAACATTTGGTGTTGTCAGCGTTTTGAATTTGGACCATTCTAACAGATACGTAGCAGTATGTTATTGTTTTAATTTGCAATTCCCTAATTACATATGATGTTGAGCTCTTTTCATATTCTTATTTGCCATCTGTATATCTTATTTGATGAAGTTCTTTTCAGGATTTTTGCCCATTTTTAACACAGGTTGTTCAATTTTTCTTTGCTGAAGATGGAATGTTTCTGCCCCACTAAAATTCGTATGTTGAAACCTAATTCCCAATGTGATGGTATTTGCAGGTAAGGTCTTTGGGAGGTGATTGGGTCATGAGGATAAAGCCTTTGTGGATAGTATTCATCGTCTTACAAAAGAGACCCCAGAAAGCTCCCTCATTCCTTCCACCATGTGAGAACACAACAAAAAGTTGGCTGTCTATGAGCCAGGAAGCAGGCCTTCATCAGACAGTGAATCTGCTGGCACCTTGATCTTGAACTTGAAGCCTCCAGAACTGTGAGAAATAAATGTCTCTTGTTTGTAAGATATATAGTCTATGATAAAATTCTGTGATACCAACCTGAACAGAATTTTAAGAGTTCTCTGTATATTTTAGATAACAGTCCTTTATCAGTTGTTTTTGCAAATATTTTCTTTCAGTCTGTGGCTTGGCTTTTCATTTTCTTGACAGTATTTTTAAGTAGGGCAGAAATATTTAATTTTAAATAAAGTCCAGCTTATCGATTCTTTCTTTCATGGATTGTGTCTTCAATGTTGTATCGAAAAAGTCACCTTCATACTCAAGGTCACCCGGGTGTTCTCCTAGATTATCTTCTAAGAGTTTCATAGTTTTCTGTTTTACTTTTAGGTTTATGATCTTTTTGAGTTAGTTTTTGTGAAGAGTATAAGGTCTGCATCTCAGTTCATTTTTTTTGCCTGTGGATGTCCAATTGCACCAGCACCATTTTTTAAAAAGACCATCTTTCTCCAAGATCATAATGTTTGAAAACATATTAAAACACTGTGGATGCAAATAAGTCTATAGGAAGTAAATTACAGAAAGCAACAGGTCCTTCCTAGATGGGCAGAGATTTCATTTACCCTTCACAACAGCTCTATGAAGTAGAGATTATTATTAAATTACTTGTTCAAGGTCACATAGCCTAATTCCCACCAGGATAGAGTAAATGGAAAAAATCCCAAGTGACCTCCTGTTTGCCAAAATCAATGAAAACACTTCAGCTCTTATCTCACTGGCAACATCTTGGCAATGTTCTCGAAAATCCTCCCTCTTAACTCCTATGACACTGAATTGTTTTTCTTTTCTCTCTGGCCCCTTTTCCTCATCTCTCTTCTCCTGAGTTGTCGATATTCCCCAGAGTTTCAATTTCCGCATTCCTCTCATTGATGTCTTCCCTGAGTAATGACATTTCTTCACGCCAGTGGCCCAAGCCAAAGCTAATAGTTCCCTAAATATTTACTACCAGCTCAGATACTTTTCCTAATGGCATAGCAGGATCCCCCTTGAATTATGCCTATCCAACAGCAGCCCAAACCCAACCTAACTAAAACTGACTTCATATTTTATGTTGTCCACTTTAGGGCATGGAACTACCTGAAAAGTTCTCAAGCCTGAAAATTGGACATAAGCCTAGATCTCTCCTACTACTACTTTCAAACAGGATTAATTAATCTCTTATATATACTCCTTCTATTCATTCCCCCTTCATTCCCCCTGCTAATATCTTGTTCCAGATCTTTCTCATTTCTTGTCTGCTTATTGAAACAATCCCTTAGCTTCTCTCCTGCCGCTAGCCTGATTTCTCTCCAATCCATCATCTGTCACGCTGTTAGAACAATCTTTCTAAAGCTGCATTTGTTCATGTGCCCCCCACAACTGAAAACCCTTCAACAGCATCCCACTGGCTTTGGGGGGAAAGAAAACACATCTCATAACATGATTTCTCAACCATTCAGAAGGCATGAATCTCTAATGTCATTTCTTATGACTCCCATTTTCATTTTCCTAAGTGAGAAAAGCTCTCCCTTACCTAAGAAATGTATCATGTGCCATTTCTTCTTCCTGCTAATTAGAATGCTTCTTTTTTGTGCTTCCCTTCTACCCTGATATGTTATTCATTGTGCTTTATTTTAATTGTGTGTTGACTTCTGGCCTTCTCTCTTACCCTGAAGACACCTTAGGGGCAAGCACAAGTTGACTTTAGCACCTCCAACCTCTGTAGTTTGGTTGGCACCTACTTAATGGGTGAGTGAATGAAGTCCCCCTCCACAGCCGAGCTTCCTACTCTGCTGACACTGACTGACTATTCTGCTTTTTGTCTGGGGCTTTCTATGCCTCAGTGTGACATTCTTGCTCTTCCTCAGTCCTCAGTAGACTGGTTTTATCATATATAAAGTCTTGCTGTGGTTCCTATGTGATGTTCTATTACCACCCCACTCACTGACCTAATACTTCCTGTCATTGACAATGTAAGCGTCGGCCTGCAGATTGGGCCTCTTTTCCCATGTAATCTCCATACCCAGTTTAATTCAGCTTGGAGTTCCCCTAGCTGCAAGCTCAAAACTGCCTAAAGAGCTATACTCTTGACACCTACTGGCCTCTGCTTTCCACCTTAATAGTAATTGACACTTAAGGTCCAAGCTACCTAAAATTAAAACATCATCAAGATAATTATACCAAGGATTTGGGATAGATGGATGGTTACTAATGTATAATTTAAGGTTATAACCTAGGTACATGTCTGGCAGAAATTGTTGGCACAAATTAAGGGGGAAAATAAGATGGCTTTACAATTAGCAAATGGAAAAACTGAACCCCCACATACCTTTGCCACAAGGAGGGAGGGAGCAAGGAAAAGCAACATAGAAAACAATAACCAGTGTAGAAATATAGCAGCCAAGAAATAGTATTTCTTGCTAGGGTACTCCTAGAAGTAACTTTGAGATAGTTGTTCAAGAGGGATCCTCAGAAGACGTTTCCAAGTCATGGTTTGAGCCTCAGGCCTCTCTGAGAATGACATAAGAGGAGCTTCAGATCTCTGGTAAGTGAAGGCAGCAGAGCAAAGTTTTGGCTGGTATGGTGAGGAGTGGGGCCTTGGGGGTGTGATGAAGTGGGTGGAGAAGTTTTTCTGCAGCCAGACTGCCTGTTTCTGAATCCTGGTTCCACCACTTACTAGATCAAATCATTAACCTTTTTTTGCCCCGGTTTTCTCATATACTCATTGAGGATATCATGATACATCAGTATATAATGAAGATCCCATGAAAGAGCTGATGTAAAGTGCTATCTCAACATACAGAGTTCAATAAATTTCAGATGATGGTGATGTGATTATTATTTTCCTTCTTGTGCCAACATTCTTAGCACTGAGTTGGCTCAAGAAAAATCAATGGGGATTTGGATGTACCTGCTTCAGTGCTGAATTGTGCCAAACATTGGAAGAATAACGAATGCCAGTTCTCAAATTATTCCAAAAAATTAAAGACGAGGGAATTCTATCTAATGCATTCTACTAAGCAAACATCACCCTGATACCAAAACCAGACAAGGACACAACAGAAAAGAAAACAATGAACCAATATTCATGATGAACATAAGTGCAAAAATCCTCAACAAAATACTAGCAAAGCAAATCCAATAGCACATCAAAAAATTTATACACAATGATCAAGTTGAATTTAACCCAGGGCTGCAAAGATGGTTCAACATACACAATCAATAAACGTAATACATCACATCAGCTGAATGAAGGACAAATACGATATGATCATTTCAGTAGATGCAGAAAAAGCATTTGATAAAATTCAACATGTTTTCATGATAAAAAATAAAACTCTCAATAAATTAGGTGTAGAAGGTACATACCTCAACACAATAAAGACCATGTAAGACAGACCCACAGCTAACATCATACTTTTCCTCTAAGAACTGGAACAAGACAAGGATGTCCACTTTCACCACTCATATTCAACATAGTACTGGAGGTCCTAGTCAGAGCAATTAGACAAGAGTTCAAAATACAGCCAAATTGAAAGGAGAAAGTCAAATCATTCCTGTTTGCAGATGGCATAATTTTATATATAGAAAAACCTAAAGCCTATACCAGAACTAGTAAAGTTCAACAAAGTTGCAGGATACAAAATCAATACATAAAAATCAGTAGCATTTTGATACATTAATAACAAACTAGCTGGAAAATGAACTTAAAAAACACTCTCATTTGCAATAGATACAAAAATAAAATACCTTGGAATAAATCTAACCAAGGATATTAAAGATTTCTATAAAGAATGCTATAAAACACTAATGAGAGAAATTGTAGAGGACACACACAAACACAAACACACGTAAACATAAACACAAACACACACACACACACACACAGAAATGGGAAGACATCCCATGTTCGTTAATTGGAAAAATTAATGTCATTAAGATGACCATACTATCTGAAGCAATCTACAGATTAAATACACTCCCTTTCAAAATACTAACGACATTCTTCACAGAAGTAGAAAAAAAAATCCTAAAATTTTTTATAGAACCAGAAAGGACCCAAACTAGACAAAGTAATCTTGAGCATAAAGAACAAAGCTGGAGACAACACATTACCTAACTTCAAAGTATACTACAAAGCTAGAATAATTAAAACTGCATGCTACTGGCATAAAAACAGACCCAAAGACAAATAGAACAGATTGAGATTTACAAAATAAATCCACCTGTTTACAGCCAACAGATTTCTGACAAAGGCACCAAGAACATACATTGGGGACAGACCACCATCTTCAATGAATGGTGGCTGGGAAAACTGGACAACCATTTGCAGAAGAATAAAATTAGACCCCTATCTCTCACTATATATAAAAACCACCTTAAAACAGATTAAATGCTTCAATGTAAGTCCCAAAACTATAGAACCACTAGGAAAAAGATAGGGGAAATTCTTCAGGACATTGGTCTGAGCAAAGATTTTATGAACAGGACCTCAAAAGCATAGACAACAAAAGCAAAAATGGACAAATGGGACTATATCAAGCTAAAAAGCTCCTGCACAGTGAAGGAAACAATAAACAGAGTGAAGAAAGAACCTGTAGAATTGGAGAAAATATTTGCATCCTATTTATCTGACAAGGGATTAATATCCAGAATATACAAGGAACTTAACAGCAAAATCATCATCATCATCATCATCATCATCACCATAAGAGTAAAAATATGCAAATTATCTATTCGGCCAGTGCAAAAGTAATTGCGGTTTTTGCCATGACTTTCAATGGCAAAACTGCAATTACTTTTGCACCAACCTAATACATAGACATTTCTCAAAAGAAGACATACAAATGGTCAACAAGTATATGAAAAAATGCTCAACATCACTAATCATCAAGGAAATACAGATCAAAACCACAATGAGATATCATCTTATCAGTCAGAATGGCTGTTATCAAAACACATATCATCTGTTAAGATATCATCTTAGCCAGTTCGAATGGCTGTTATCAATACGACAAAAAAATAACAAATACTGGCAAGATGGGGAGAAAGGGGAACTCTTATTTGCTGTTGATAGGGATGTAAATTAGTATGGCCATTATGGAAAACAGAATGGAGGTTCCTCAATAAACTAAAAATAGAACCACTATATGATCCAGCAATCCCACTACTGAGTATATATCCAAAGGAAAGAAATCAGTATGTCCAAGAGATACCTACACTTCTATGTGTATTGTAACACTATTCACAATAGCCATGATATGGAATCAGCCTAAGAGATGGTGTACAGACGAATGGATAAAGAAAACATGGTATATATAAACAAAGGAATACTATTCAACCATAAAAATGAATGGAATTCTGTCATTTTTGCCAACATGGATGAACCTGGAGGACTGTGTTAAGTGAAATAAGCCAGGCACAGCGACAGAAATATGTTCTCACTCATATGTGGAAACTAAAAAAGTTGATCTCATAGAAATGGAGTAGTTACTAGAGGCTGGGAACAGTAGGGGGATAGGGAGAAGTTGGTTAATGAATACGAACTTACAGCTAGGAGGGATAAGATCTAGTGTTCTGTAGCACTGTAGGTTGATATTTTAATTACCCTGATTTGATCATTACACATTGTATACATATATTGAAATATCACACTGTACCTCAGAAACATGTACAATGGTTACGTGTCAAAAAGAATAGTAATTTCAAAAATTTCTTTAAAAATTGTTCATTAAAAAAGCCAACAATGCCATTTTTGTGAAAAAAAAATTGCAGGTTTGGATGCATGGTTCCATCCCAGTAATTTCATACTTTCCACTCTATGCTACTCAGTCTTGGCCTATTTGCTCTCAGATCCTTCCCAGTCTTCTCCTTGTTCCGGTCTATATTGCAGGCTAGCATCCCAGGCTACCATGTCCGTTGCCTTATGGTTCATTTAGCGTGAGGCACTGCAAGAAGATTGGAGGGTGGGAGGAAGGGAGGCCGGGGTATTTCTTCCTCTCCCTGTCTGCTCAGGAGGTGTCTCTGGCAGTCACTGAGTCTCTTCCTTGGCTCAGGATGTCATGGGACAAGCCCATCATGGTTCCCACTTCCATGGAGCTTGAGTAACTCTGGCTTTCCCTTTTCCCTTCCACTCCTAGGTGGTAAGGGGCTTCCTACTTTGGCTAATCTCTGAGTTGTCTCACTCTTTCCTATTTCATTTTTGTCTTCCATTACCTGTGCAGCCAATCCCTTGAATTAAATTCTCACTTTTGAAAAATAGAGTGGTTTCTGTTTTCTGGTTTGTAGTCGACTAATACTCTCTCCTTTCCTATCCCAGCCATCCTGTTACTGTCTGTGGGCTGATGAAGTTAAGGGACACTGCTTGGAGTTGTGCAGCTTAAAGAAGGGGATGATAACTGATTCTGCATCCCTCTCACTTCTGGGAATTCTCAAAGTCTGGGTGGGAAGTCCCTCTGTACACACAAAGGCTGTTAAGCAGAAGCATTTCCTATCCTGAGCTGTGTAGGATGATACCCCAACAGTCCCAAACATTGCTGCTGTCTATATGACAGCAAAGAAATGTTTTGGCAGAAGCCAGTCTGGGCATCAAAATGCGGAGGCCCATATGTTTCTGCTAACTTCCTGCCAAAATGTTGTTGTTTGAGTTATGAAAAATATACCTTTTAATTCAGAATAAAAAGGGGATTCTAACCCAGATTTTAAAATGTTTAAAATTTAACATTTTAAATTGAAAAAAAAGCAAATAGAAATTAGTTTAAAATAATGAAAATAATAAAAGGGAAAGAGGGATTGAGAATGGGGCATGCAGAAAATGTTTAACAGGCTAGAAGTTTCTGCTGTCTGCCACATCCTGGGATTATAACCTCAGTGGCTTACCCCTGTACAAACTGGGTGAATGTACCAGCTGGGCAGGCCTGAACCCTTCAATATGCTCCTACCAAAGAAGGAGAATTTGGTCCTTGCAAAATATAGACAAAGAAAGAAAAGAGTAACAGAACCTAGTAGAAAGAGAAAACACAGCAGTGGACTGGGAAATAAAGCAAATTTTGCAAGTGTAACCTTTTCATTCCTTGTCAGAAATCATAATTTGCAAATTATAAGGTACATTCACAAGTTGGTAATAATAAAAAAGGAATGCTAGGAAGGGCTTTGGGATGCATGGCCCCAGTGATTGAGAAATTCTGAGGGGCATCATTTTAAACATAGGTTCCTGCTGTTGGTCCCACCCATCCCCCAGGCCCACTCCAGAGGTCACCTGCATATAGTTCCCAGATATGCTGATGGCGTCTTGCCTCTCTCTGCCTGTGGGGTTCCTCTGGCATGCTCATTTGTGCACAAGGCAGGCTGGAAGTGCTGGAGAGTAAGGATAGAGAAAAAGAACTTCAGCCATGGAGAGACAGGAACTGATGGATAAACACCCAGGTTTTTCAAGCCCTGATGGGACAATTATAAAGTGTCTTCCACAGTGACCTAGAAGCTCCCAGGCAGCCCATAGTTTCCCACATGGTAGCCCAGTCATTAATACATCTTTTACAGCCTTTACTTCCTTCCTGATTTCTCAGCTCACCATTACTTCACCATGCTTCCTGGGATCACCCCCAAATAAACTAACTGCACTGAAATCCTTATCCTAAGTACTTCCTTAGTGGCAACCCAATCCAGAGACAATATTATTCCCTCTAGCTCATGGGTCAGTCCTTCCTACCACATCCTTCAGTAGTTAACCAACCTACACTTCAATCAGGGCTTTTAAAAACACCACTAAAGAATGCCAAGAGCAGAACAAAAAGCTAAAACCTTAATGTTAATGTTGCAATCCACATACTACTGAAAGGGGACTTGCAGGGCTGCCAATGGTCAAAACAGCTTTCTGTAATTATTTTATAAAGAATGCTAAGTCTGAATATTAAGCCTGAATATCCCCATGCATAAAACTTAGAACAAATTAGAAATTCTCTATTGAGATTTTATTAACCTTCTTAAAAGAGGCTATTTTGCATCAGATATTATGCTAAGATTTTATATGTCATGGTATTAAATCCTCACAATCATTCTATTATGATTAAATAAAATTAAGCTCATTTTCTAGTTGGGAACACAAAGAATTAATGGTAAAACAACTTGTGCAAAACTTTAGATTTTTTGTGTGGGTAATTTTGGATTTGGTGTCTGTCTTAGTCTGTTTTCTGTTGCTTGTAACAGAATGCCTGAAACTGAGTAATTTATAAAGAAAAAGAATTTATTTATTACAGTTACAGAGGCTGAGAAGTGCCAGGTCAAGAGGCCACATCTGGTGAGGGCCTTCTTGCTGGTAGGGACTCTCTGCAGAGTCTTGAGATGGCAGAGAGCATCTAATGGTGAGGGGGCAGTGTGCTGGCTTAGGCTTCTCTTTCTCTTATAACACCCCACTCCCATAATAGCCCATTAATCCATTCATTGATTAATCAATGATTCATTGATCAATGAATAGATTAATTCATTCATGAGGGCGAGTTCTCATAACCCAATCACCTCTTAAAGGCCCTACCTCTCAATACTGCCACATTGGGGATTAAGTTTCAACATGAGTTTCAGAGGGGACAAACATTTAAATCATAGTAATATCTTTGGGGATATATGTGACCGAGACTGAGTACTTTCCTTTAAATCCATATGCTCCAAGGTGTTTCCTAGCTTCTCCTACAGTTTGGTTGGAACTAATTAATGGGGACCTGGCCAATGAGAAATTAGTTAAAATAATGTAAGCCTCTTCCAGAGCATCCCTAAGGTTTTCCAGTGTGGTTATCCAGCCCTTTCATTCCAAAACTTCAGCAGTGTTGGAGGCCAGGTATTCACAATGACACAGCTGTAAGATAGGAGAGGGCTACCTACCATGCATTACACATTGTGTGAGCTGAAAATAATCTTCATTGTCAATGTCACTGAAAGCTGGGAGGTTGACCATTTTGTAAATTAGGGATTTTTTATTTTTGTTTCTGTTTTTCATTACATCTCTGGTACTCAAGCTACTAGCATGTAGCATTGGATTCATGGGTGGCCAGTAGATGGTGAAGAAACCAATAGTGGAGGCTGGAAAAGTCTTGATTTATGTCATCCAGTGGCAAAACATTTGAAAATTTGCTCCTGCAATAATTTGCAAGGTGGCCTATGTGATTACTGATCTGACATCTCTAGGGGAAAAGGTTGGAAAACAATAAGTTAGTATTGTGTGTTGGTTCCTATTGGCTGCGTTTGGCGAGATGTTATATAGAAGAGATGAGTTCAGAAGAGAACTGATGAGTTTATAAACAGAAATCAAGTCCAGAAATTTGAGGCATTGCAGGATTGGAAAAGGCTACTGCTTCTAGATTCCAAAAGGTAAAGGTGGAATTTAAAAAGATTTTGATCAGCAAATATCTAGCAAAATGTGAATAATATTATTATGAGCACAGATCAGATTAAAGAAGTGACCTTTCTCTCCACACTGGAAATACGAACATAGCCACCATTAAGTTAAAATAAAAAATAGAAGTAAGAAAAGAGTAGATTTGAGGACTATATCTAGAAGATAACTTTAGATGTGTTTATTAGCACATGCAACTGATTAGAATCAAATAGATCAAAGGTCTGCTGAATTTTTGAAGGATGTTATTTTCCCCACAAAACTTTATGAGCAAAAGGGAGGGGCCAAGATGGCTGACTAGAAACAACTGTGGTCAGAGGCTCCCACCAAGTAGGACAAAAGCAGTGAGTGAATCCTGCACCGGCAACTGATGAGCCATTAACCAGAATAACTAGTTTGGAGAGGAACATAAATGACCTTATGGAACTGAAAAACACAACACGAGAACTTCATAAAGCAACCACAAGTATCAATAACCAAATAGACCAAGCAGAGGAAAGAATTTCAGAGCTTGAAGACTATCTTGCTGAAATAAGACAGGCAGACAAGATTAGAGAAAAAAAAAATGAAAAGGAATGAACAAAATTCTGAGAAGTATGGGATTATGTGAAAAGATCAAACCTACGACTGATTGGGGAATGGAACCAAGTTAGAAAACATACTTCAATTTTGGAATAGGTGTGGTGTGGTGCTGAAAAACATGTATATTCTGTTGATTTGGGGTGGAGAGTTCTGTAGATGTCTATTAGGTCTGCTTGGTGCAGAGCTGAGTTCAATTCCTGGGTATCCGTGTTAACTTTCTGTCTCGTTGATCTGTCTAATGTTGACAGTGGGGTGTTAAAATCTCCCATTATTATTGTGTGGGAGTCTAAGTCTCTTTGTAGGTCACTCAGGACTTGCTTTATGAATCTGGGTGCTCCTGTATTGGGTGCATATATATTTAGGATAGTTAGCTCTTCTTGTTGAATTGATCCCTTTACCATTATGTAATGGCCTTCTTTGTCTCTTTTGATCTTTGTTGGTTTAAAGTCTATTTTATCAGAGACTAGGATTGCAACCCCTGCCTTTTTTTGTTTTCCATTTGCTTGGTAGATCTTCCTCCATCCTTTTATTTTGAGCCTATGTGTGTCTCTGCATGTGAGATGGGTTTCCTGAATACAGCACACTGATGGGTCTTGACTCTTTATCCAATTTGCCAGTCTGTGTCTTTTAATTGGAGCATTTAGTCCATTTACATTTAAAGTTAATATTGTTATGTGTGAATTTGATCCTGTCATTACGATGTTAGCTGGTTATTTTGCTCGTTAGTTGATGCAGTTTCTTCCTAGTCTCGATGGTCTTTACATTTTGGCATGATTTTGCAGCAGCTGGTACTGGTTGTTCCTTTCCATGTTTAGTGCTTCCTTCGGGAGTTCTTTTAGGGCAGGCCTGGTGGTGACAAAATCTCTCAGCATTTGCTTGTCTGTAAAGTAGTTTATTTCTCCTTTACTTATGAAGCTTAGTTTGGCTGGATATGAAATTCTGGGTTGAAAATTCTTTTCTTTAAGAATGTTGAATATTGGCCCCCACTCTCTTCTGGCTTGTAGAGTTTCTGCTGAGAGATCCACTGTTAGTCTGATGGGCTTCCCTTTGTGGGTAACCCGACCTTTCTCTCTGGCTGCCCTTAACATTTTTTCCATCATTTCAACTTTGGTGAATCTGACAATTATGTGTCTTGGAGTTGCTCTTCTCGAGGAGTATCTTTGTGGCGTTCTCTGTATTTCCTGAATCTGAATGTTGGCCTGCCTTGCTAGATTGGGGAAGTTCTCCTGGCTAATATCCTGCAGAGTGTTTTCCAACTTGGTTCCATTCTCCCCGTCACTTTCAGGTACACCAGTCAGACATAGATTTGGTCTTTTCACATAGTCCCATATTTCTTGGAGGCTTTGTTTGTTTCTTTTTATTCTTTTTCCTCTAAATTTCCCTTCTCGCTTCATTTCATTCATTTCATCGTCTGTCACTGAAACCCTTTCTTCCAGTTGATCGCATCAGCTCCTGAGGCTTCTGCATTCTTCATGTAGTTCTCGAGCCTTGGCTTTCAGCTCCATCAGCTCCTTTAAACACTTCTCTGTATTGGTTATTCTAGTTATACGTTTGTCTAAATTTTTTTCAAAGTTTTCCACTTCTTTGCCTTTGGTTTGAATGTCCTCCTGTAGCTCGGAGTAGTTTGATCGTCTGAAGCCTTCTTCTCTCAACTCGTCAAAGTCATTCTCCGTCCAGCTTTGTTCGGTTGCTGGTGAGGAACTGCATTCCTTTGGAGGAGGAGAGGCACTCTGCTTTTACTGGGTATATACCCAAAGGACTATAAATCATGCTGCTATAAAGACACATGCACACGTATGTTTATTGCGGCACTATTCACAATAGCAAAGACTTGGAACCAACCCAAATGTCCAACAATGATAGACTGGATTAAGAAAATGTGGCACATATATACCATGGAATACTATGCAGCCATAAAAAATGATGAGTTCATGTCCTTTGTAGGGACATGGATGAAATTGGAAATCATCATTCTCAGTAAACTATCGCAAGGACAAAAAACTAAACACCGCATGTTCTCACTTATAGGTGGGAATTGAACAATGAGAACACATGGACACAGGAAGGGGAACATCACACTCTGGGGACTGTTGTGGGGTGGGGGGAGGGGGGAGGGATAGCATTAGGCGATATACCTAATGCTAAATGACGAGTTAATGGGTGCAGCACACCAGCATGGCACAGGTATACATATGTAACTAACCTGCACATTGTGCACATGTACCCTAAAACTTAAAGTATAATAATAATAAAAAAATTTAAAAAATAAAATAAAATAAAAAATAAAAATGTTAAAAAAAAAAAAAAAAGAAAACATACTTCAAAATATCATCCAAAATAACTTCCCCAACCTAACAAGACAGACCAACATTCAAATTCAGGAAATCCAGAGAACTCCAGTAAGATACTCCATGAAAATATCAACCCCAAGACATATTATCAGATTCTTCAAGGTCAAAATGAAGGAAAAAATATTAATGGCAGCCAGAGAGAAAGACCAGGTCACCTACAAAGGAAACCCCACCAGACTAACAGCAGGCCTCTCAGCAGAAACCCTACAAGCCAGAAGAGATTGGGGACCAGTATTCAAGTATTCAACATTCTCAAAATAATTTCCAACCCAGAATTTCATATCTGGCCAAACTAAGCTTCATACGCAAAGGAGAAATAAAATCCTTTCAGACAGGCCTGCCTTGCAAGGGGTCCTGAAGGAAGCACTAAATATGGAAGGGAAAAACCATTACCAACCACTGCAAAAACATACTGAAGTACAAAGACCAATGACTCTGTGAAGCAACTACATTAACAAGTCTCTAAAATAACCAGCTAGCATCATGATGACAGGATCAAATTCACATATAACAATATTAACCTTAACTGGAAATGAGCTAAATGTCCCAATTAAAAGACACAGAATGGCAGGCTGGAAAAGCAGTCAAGACCCATTGGTGTGCTGTATTCAAGAGATCCATCTCATGTGCAAAGACACACATACACTCAAAGAGATGGAGGAAAATTTAACAAGCAAATGGAAAGCAGAAAAAAGCACAGGTTGCAATCCTAGTTTCTGACAAAACAGACTTTAAACCAACAAAGATCAAAAAAGACAGAGAAGGGCATTACATCACCCCTGTAATCCCAGCACTTTGGGAGGCTGAGGCAGGTGGACTATGAGGCGAGGAGTTCAAGACCAGCCTGGCCAAGATGGTAAAACCCAGTCTCTACTAAAAATACAAAAATTAGCCGGGTGTGATGGCAGACACCTGTAATCCCAGCTACTCGGGACACTGAGGCAGGAGAACTTCTTGAACCCAGAAGGCAGAGGTTGCAGTGAGCTGAGATTGCACCACTGCACTCCATCCTGGGCAACAAGAGTGAAATTCCGTCTCAAAAAATAAAAAATAAAAATAAAAAAAAGAAGGGCATTACATAATGATAAAGGGATCAATTCAACAAGAAGAGCTAACTATCCTAAATATACATGTACCCAATATAGGAGCACCCAGATTCATAAAACAAGTTCTTAGAGACCTACAAAGAGACTTAGACTCCCGCACAATAATAGTAGGAGACTTAATAGTGGGACATTTTAACACCCCACTGTCAACATTAGACAGATCATCAAGAGAGAAAATTAACAAGGATATTCAGGACTTGAACTCAGCTCTGGATCAAGTGGACCTGATAGATATCTTCAGAACACTCCACCCAAGAACAACAGAATGTACATTCTTCTTGGTGCCACATGGCACTTACTCTAAAATCAATCACATAATTGGAAGTAAAACACTCCTGAGCAAATGCAAAAGACCTGAAATCACAACAGTCTCTCAGACCACAGTGCAATCAAATTAGAACTCACTATTATGAAATTCAATTAAATCCACACAACTACATGGAAATTGAACAACCTGCTCCTGAATGACTCCTGGTAAATAATGAAATTAAGGCAGAAATCAAGAACTTCTTTGAAACCAGTGAAAACAAAGAGACAACATACCAGAATCTCTGGAACACAGTTAAAGCAGTGTTAAGAGGGACATTTATAGACTAAATGCCCACATCAAAAAGCTTAAATGTAAAACCCAAAACTATAAAAGCCCTGGAAGAAAATCTAGGCAATACCATTCAAGACATAGGCACGGGCAAAGATTTCATGATGAAAACATCAAAAGCAATTGCAATAAAAGCAAGAATTGACAAATGAGATCTAATTATATTAAAGAGCTTAAAAGAAAGTATCACCAGAGTGAATAGACAACCTACAGAATGGGAGAAAATTTTTGCAGGCTATCCATCTGACAAAGATCTAATATCCAGAATCTACAAGGAACTTAAACCATTTACAAGAAAAAAACAAACAACTCCATTAAAAAGTGAGCAAAGGACATGAACAGACACTTCTCAAAAGAAGATATTTATGCAGCCAACAAACGTAAGAAAAAAAGCTCAAGATAACTGATCATTAGAGAAATGCAACTCAAAACCACACTGAGATACCATCTCACACCAGTCAGAATGACAATTATTAAAAAATCATGAAGCAACAGATCCTGGCAAGGCTGTGGAGAAATAGAAATGCTTTTACACTGCTGGTGGGAATGTAATTAGTTCAACCATTGCGGAAGAGTGTGACAATCCCTCAAAGACTCAGAACCGGAAATACCATTTGACCCAGCAATCCCATTACTGGGTATATACCCAAAGGCATATAAATCATTCTATTATAAAGATACATGCACACTTATGTTCACTGCAGCACTATTCACAATAACAAAGACATAGAATCAACCCAAATGCCCATCAGTGATAGACTGGATAAAGAAAATGTAGTACCTATACATCATGGAATACTATGCAGCCATAAAAAGGAACAAGATCATGTCCTTTGCAGGGACATGGATGGAGCTGACAGCCATTATCCTCAGCAAACTAACACAGGACCTGGAAACCAAATACTGCATGTTCTCACTTACAAGTGGGAGCTGAACAATAAGAACACATGGACACAGGGAGGGGAATAACACACACCGGGGCCTATCAGGGGAGGGAGCGGGACAAGGTGGGAGGTACAATATCTGGATAAATAGCTAATGCATATGGGGCTTAATACCTAGGTGATAGGTTGATCTGTGCAGCAAACCACCACGGCACATGTTTACCTACGTAACAAACCTGCACATCCTGGACATGTATCCTAGAACTTAAAATAAGATAAACATTTTTAAAAATCTATTAGTATGGAGTATAAAATGGCCTTTGATGCTTTGAGACATACAACAACCCTTGGTCCCTCAACCTTCCATGAGCAGAAGCAGGTGCTGAAGCTATGCAACCCAGAGAAGGAGATGATTCCTCACAAATTTCAGATGAGGACAAAGAAGATAATAAATAAGGGAAGACCCTCCTGGAGGACAGAATTAGGGTTAATCCAGGAACATCCCTCACCCAGGATAGGAATCTTCAAAATGTGTCTGGCAGGATTTCAGAATTCCAGATCTGTGACTGCTTTGTGCCTCCCTTTCTTTTCTTAATAGGAGCATTTATTAAGGTGGTGGTTAGGGTGGTACCCATTCCACCAGTGCACATTGGATGGGACAGAGAATTCATCTTTTTAAAGTTCATAAGTCTCTGAAGCCACACTAGATTTGATAGAGAAAAATGTGTATCACCCAGAGATCCTGGACATTAAGCTAAATGCACTGAATTAAGGATTAGTTCACGTAGGGGGAGGGGAGGGGTAACTAACATCTATGTGTAGGATAAAGGGGCAGAGGGGTATTCAGAAATGTTGAATTAAACTAATTTGGCCTGAAGCTGCCTGCATACTTCCGGTCCCTACAGAACAAACTACAACCTAACTTAGTACATGAACTAACTGAAAGCCTAATTCAGGACTGTACTCCTGTAACAGATAGCTGAATCTCAATCAATCATAGCAGCTGAGCTTCAGTCAGTCACAGGTGGCCAACTGATCAGACTATGTTCAAATAAGGCAAATGCAGAGTGTGGCCAATTAAACTGTTTCTGTATCTCACTTCCATTTTCTGTTCCTAAATTTTCTGTTCCTAAATGCTGCCTGCCCACATTGCAAGGCAGAATTCTCTTCACTTCTTTTGGTTCAGAGGGTTGCCTGATTTGCCAATAGTTCTTTACTCGATTAAACTTTGTTAAATGTATCTAAAGTTCTTCTTTTAACAGTTACCATAAAGCAGATTGAGGCAGAGCTGCTGGTGCCCTATGCCTATGCACCTGCGGATTTTCCAGCCTTCCTAGTAGTTAGGTTGAGGTCATGTGACTGGGTCGTGACTATTGGATGTAAGTAGAATCCCTCCCTGTGATTTTCCAGCTTCCTCTTCCTCTATCATACTGACCTTGGAGGCCTCACGTTCCTGATGGTGTGTTGACAAGACAAAAGGGACTACCTCACACATACTGGAGTTTGTGTGAGCTAGAAAGAAATGTATATTCAATTAAGTCACTGAGACTTTAAGGTTTATTGGTAACTATATCATAGCGTAGCCTATTCTGAATAATATCCTCTCCTGTTCTATCAGAGAATATTAATAATATGGAGAACTTTGAGATACTTTTCAAGGCTAGGAAAATGGGTGGTTTTGAAGCATACCTGTTCCTATTTAAGGCTGAAAATATAAAGACAGTTGTCTCTAAGCAAATTTGGAATGAGGGTAGGCATAGTTCATTTTTTATTTCATAGTAGAAATTATATACAAAGTAAAATATGATTTTAGAATTTTGTGAGATGATATTTTATATAAACTGAAAATTTAATCCAAACAACTTTTGGAAAAAAGCTATTTTGAAAACGATTGCACTCTGCCATTGCGGTAAGTATTGGTTCAGCCACTCTGTTAGATTTATCTTGCCTCCTCAGCATAAGGTTTGTCTTCACACTTACAGTCTTTTCTCTTCTGATGCACAAATCCATGAATTTGCCTGAGAAAATTTTTTAGCAGTGTTCTTTCATCTCTGGGTCAGGGAAGAGATTTGTTCAGGAATTACAGCATCATGTTTAACAAAAAAATGAACAATGTGGGGTTCTTCAAACTGTAAACATCTTCAAAATCTTTGACAATGCTGTAGACTGACACTACTACCTGAAATTCTGGATATTTTATTATCAAATGATATAAAGTAACTATACCATGGCAGAACCCAACACCAACCATCTGGGTATAACAATCCTGTTTCAGATATTATATTAGATTTTATAATCAATCTTTTTGGCATTTCTTGATTGAAAACTAAAAGAAAGACTAGTCATTATAGGGTACTGCAGTTCTGGTCCCAGAGAAAAGTCTGAAGCAATGATTGTGTATATATTGCTGCAATTCATATTGCCCATATATTTGGAATCTGGCATTTGTCAGCTTAATAAAGCTTGAATGACAACCACAGCTGTGTCCATATTAACCAGTTTGCTAATATAAGCCTTAAGATGTTCAATTTGGACTCTGTGTCCCATTACTCTATGCTATTACCTTATGGTCAACATTATAGGGACAAGGGAAAGCTCTGTTAGTCATTGAAATGATTAATGATTTTCTGGTTATGAAATTGAAGTACAGATCAGAAATTACTTTCTCGAGCCCTTGGTCTGACATTTCTTCCTAATCACCAGTATATTAATCTGTTTAATGTTGCTAAAAAGGAAAACCTGAGGTGGGTCATGGTGGCTCATGCCTGTAATCCCAGCACTTTGGGAGGCCGAGGCAGGCAGATCACATGAGGTCAAAGGTTCAAGACCAGCCTGGTCAACATGGTGAAACCTTGTCTCTACTAAAAATTTTTTAAAAACTTAGCTGGGCATGGTGGCGCTGTAGTCCAGCCACTCGGGGAGGCTGAGGCAGGAGAATCGCTTGAACCCAGGAGGCAGAGTTTGCCGTGAGCCAAGATTGCACCACTGCACTCCAGCCTGGGCAACAGAGGGAGATTCCATCTAAAACAAAGAAACAGAAACCTGAGGCTGGGTAATTTATTTAAAAAAAAAAAAAAGTTTATTTGGCTCACAATTCTGATGTCTCGAAAAGTTCAAAAATATTGAGCATCTGCATTTGGTGACGACCATAGACTCATGGCAGAAGATGAAGGGGAGCCTGTGTGTGCAGAGATCAAATGGTGAGAGTGGATGCAAGGGAGAGCAAGAGCCGCGGGTTGGGGGTATGGGGGTGGGCTCTTTTTAACAACAAGCTCTTTCGGGAACTACTCACTACCCAGGGAGGGTATAATCTATTTCTGAGGGATTCACCTCCATGACCCAAACACCTTCCATGGGGCACCACCTCCAACATTCGGGATCAAACTTCAACATGAGGTTTCAGGGAACAAATATCCAAACTATAGCAATGAGAAAGAGCATAAAAAGTGAGAAGAGGTTCCTGTTTTCCCCAGACTCAGCGTTGTTTTGTATTCCTTCCCACTTTCCTGCCAGTATTATCACCTCCATATGGCTGCTCCTTCTTCCAGAAATCTACTTCATTATTGCCAATTTCTCACAGGCATGGAATTTTACCTCCCACCTACATAAAGCCCTCCTTTCTGACAGTGAAGCTGCTGTTTTTCATGGCCCCATCCTGGAAACCCCTTTGTATTAGTCTATTCTCATACTAAAGACATACCTGAGACTGGGTAATGTATAAAGAAAAAGAGGTTTAATGGACTCACAGTTCCACATGGCCGGGGAGGCCTCACAATCATGGCAGAAGGCAAAGGAGGAGCAAAGGCATGTCTTACATGGTGGCAGGCAAGACAGCATGTGCAGGGGAACTGCCCTTTATAAAACCATCAGATCTCATGAGACTTACTATCACAAGAACAGCACAGGAAAAACCCACTCCCATGATTCTGTTTCCTCCCACTGGGTCCCTCCCATGACACATGGGGATTATGAGAGCTACAATTCAAGGTAAGATTTGGGTGGGGACACAGCCAAACCATATCACCCAACATCGGGCCCTTTGCCCTTGCTGGTCCCTCTGCATGGGGTAATTTCCCTCTGGATAACCCAACACTTGCTTCCTCACTCTTTTAGGTTTTTGCTCAATGTCACTTTCTCAGTGAGGCCTTCTCTGAGCACCCTATTTAAAATTTCAGTTCCTAGCTCCACCCATAGAATTCCATATCACCTTTGTCTAATGTATCTGAATTACTGTGTATTTCATTTATTTATTTATTTATTTATTTTCTATGTCCTCCTCCCACTTAGATGCAAGTCCCATGGAGATGGGGTTTTTGTCTAGTTATTCACTATGCTATCTCTAGCACTTAGAATAGTGCCTGACTTATAGAATACACTTTGTGAAATCCATAACTAACTTGAGCTGATCTTGTGATTCTGCAATCACATTGGGGTCTCTGAAGGGTTGAAACATTATAGGGATATACTCAGAGGAGTGCTCAGGACCCAGGAACACAAAGTCAATGCTGGGTCAAGCCATTTGGGGTCAGATACGAGAGAAAAAGGCAGTAGCATTGGTCTTGTCTTTAACATTTTGATATTTTATTCACCATGTATTTTTTGCATAATTTTTATTTTTCAAAATATTGTGTTAAGATACCATTTATGTGACTACTGAGTTCTTTGTGCTGCCTTAAATTTTGTGCCTGAGGCAAGTGCCTCACTGGCCTCCCCTAGTCCTGACCCTGAAAGAGGGGCAAAGGGCCCTGGAATTGGTCACTAAATATGTGCTGAGATGGCCTGGAAGATCTGCTGCATCTCTTCCCAAGATGTTCTCAAAATGCTTCTGATTATACAATGTGTGAAAAAGGTTGATGCTTTAAGTGTAATCTTTTAAGGGGAAATCTGAGCACAATGCCAAAAGAGGGGTTTTCCAAGTGACAATAGAAAGTTTTGACAGACTATTAGTAGAGATGATGTTTGATGGGGATGATGATGATGATGTTGACAATGATGGCATTTAAAGTGCCAATGTATCTTATGAAGGAATTCAGATATTAAGTCAAAGCCTAAGGCAAAAATGACATTTTATTAGTTTTTCTCCTTGATATCTTAGAGAGTCATGCTGGAGACCAAACAAACCGCAATTCCGCATAAGCCTAACTTTAGTTGTTCTTCCTATATTAAAGCAGATTGGTGTTTCTTCATGTGTGCACCAGATGAAGTCTCTGGCTTCCATTTAAAGGACTTGATGTATAACAAACATATACTTTATAAAGACCTTCTAGGGGGCATAGAGATGCTCATGGTATGAGAGGCACGCAGAGGCTGACACTGACTGAGGGACCCACAAACTCATAGATCCCTTCTCATGCTTACTCCAAGTCACACACACAAATAAATGGATATTTATTTCTCTTTTTTCTTGTTCTGTTGAGGATGTATGTCAGGCTGAATTAGCCCAGGTTAAATGTGTTAAGATAGGTCTCTACTATCTTGAGTACTTGCTATGTGCAGACATTGTGCTATTTGCTTGTATGCATTACTATTTAGTTTTCATAACTGTATGACATAGGCACCCTTATTATGCTCCTTTAACAGATAAGAACACTGAGGATTGGAAAAGTCCATTGTTCTCAAGGTCACATAACTAATCTTGAATGGGGAATTCAAACAGAAATTCAAAGACCTTTCACTTCACCGCTCTACAACCCTGTCAACTTTTGCCTTCAGGTCTCTCCAGTCTAAAATATCAGAAAAACTTGACCTTAGCCTCATTGGCTGTCATGCCATGTCCTATCGGGTCTTACCTGCCTTTACTATACATATTATATAGAAAAAAACACCTGGCCTGGAGTATAGCTCACTAAAATTCTTCTCTTTGTTCTGCCACTGGTTTCATTTGTAATTTTAGGCAGGGTCCCCAGTTTCTTAAGGACTAAGTTAAGTCGATTGTAAAATAAAAGTTTTATATTAGATTATCTTTCATATAATCTTTTTAGCTCAGGTTTTCCATTATTCCATTTCCTGATTTAATGCATCTGTAGTTGCCACAAAACTCTTAATTGGAAAAGTCATATGGCAACATTTCATTGAACAGTTGCCACCACTTTTAAACCATTGCTCCAAAGCCAAAGTAAGATTTAAAAGTGAGGTAGGGAACAATTATAGAAGAAAGAGAATTTCAGTGAAGGGGATGCATTCAGCCTCAAAGACACTCTTTGTGAGTATGTGTGCTCCAAAAGCCAAGAATATCTATGCCACTCCTTTGATACAAAGGCAGAAGATATTTTGAGAGAAGAGAGCTCTTTTATAAATATATTGCTCTGCGGGACTCCCACTGCTCCAACGTTAACATGGTTTTGGGTAAGAACAGCTAAGAAGAAACCAGACATTGCTTGTGTAGAGAAGTAACATTACTGAACTCTTTACCCTTGAGAGAGAAAGACTGAAGCTTAGGGGCTGAGTGTTCATTTACTCGGACAGAGTAACTGAAAGATTTTTTTTTTTTTTTTGAGATGGAGTTTCGTTCTGTTGCCCAGGCTGGAGTGCAGTGGCACAATCTCGCCTCACTGCAAGCTCCGCCTCCCAGGTTCATGCCATTCTCCTGCCTCAGCCTCCCAAGTAGCTGGGACTACAGGCGCCCGCCACCACGCCGGGCTAATTTTTTGTATTTTTAGTAGAGACGGGGTTTCACCGTGTTAGCCAGGATGGTCTTGATCTCCTGACCTCGTGATCCACCCACCTCAGCCTCCCAAAGTGCTGGGATTACAGGCGTAAGCCACTGTGCCCGGCCCCTGAAAGATTTTTCAAATTCACACCAAAGCACCAGTGCCAGTGCAGTATCTTCAAGAAAGGGATCTGGGTTGGAGATAGATTATGACCTGATAATACCACTTAACCCAAGACCTTCACCAAAGCCTTGGTAAGGGATGATACATAGCCAACAGTAGAATAGCACTTTACAATATTTATGTTGTGCTCTGTGTGTTTACACTTAACTGTGATTTTGCCGTGTGTGGTTCACTTTAGAGAGTGAATTTAGTTTTTCTCAAGTAATTTTTAAATTTCCTTCTAAAGTCCCTCCTTGCTTCTCCTCTTTAGCTCTCTCTCCACCTCACCCCTTCCCCCACTTTCTCTCTTAACATATATTTATTGGCTACCGAGTTGGTATTCGGATGCTGTGTATATAACGATGAACAAAAAACAGACATTGTTCCTGCTTCATAGAGTTTTGGGGCTTTTGGGCCAATGCGTAACCTCTTCCAGTCATATTAAGGAGGGTGAGATAAACCAGGGAAAATAACTGGCATTTCATTCACTATTGTGAGTCCCCAGACTGGTAAGAAATCCTTATACAGAAACATCCCTGTCGAGCAATATAGCCCTGAATAACTCTCCTGTATGTGACATCTACTTCACCTCCTAGAGGAGCAACAGGCAACATAGTTAATAATGCAAGAAGTTTCAAGAGTTACTTTCACTAAGGTAGGGGATGACTCTAGAACAAATACTTTAGAGCAGGGGTCCCCACCCCCAGGAAGTGACCCATGTCCTGTTAAGAACTAGACTGCACAGCAAGAGGTGAGCAGTGGGTGAGCAAGCAAAGCTTCCTCTGTATTTACAGCCACTCCCCATTCTTGCATTACCATCTGAGCTCCATCTCCTCTCAGATCAGCAGCAGCATTAGATTCTCATAGGAGTGCAAACCCTATTGTGAACTGCACCTGCAATGGATCTAGACTGTGAGCTCCTTATGAGAATCTAATGCCTGATGATCTGTCACTGTCTCCCATCACCCCTACGTGGGAACATCTAGTTGCAGGAAAACAAGCTCAGAGCTCCCACTGATTCTACATTACGGTGAGTTTTATAATTATTTCATTATATATTACAATATAATAATAATAGAAATAAAGTGCACAATAAATGTAATGGGCTCGAATCATCCTAAAACCATCCCCACCTGCCGCCCATGAAAAAATTTTCTTCCACAAAACCAGTCCCTGATGCCAAAAAGGTTGGCGGCTGCTACTTTAGAGCTTCCTCAAAAGATTATTTTATTCCATTTCAGTTCATTTATTTCCACATTTATTAAACACATACCTGGTGTTACCTACCAGAGCATGTGCTACAGATTAATAATGGAGCACACGTTACTATTCGTTGTTGGACGTTCGAAAGTGAATGAGACGTGGTTCCTGCCTTCACATTGTTTGCAGTTTAGCTGGGAAGAAAACACAGAAATCATTATAATAGAGAGCAATACAGGGCAATGATGGAAGTATTAATGAGGTACTAAAGCAGTGTAGAGAAATGAGGGATTAATTCTATCCTGGCCAGGGAAGGCCTCCCATAGTAGAATGTTTTTGGAGAGGGTTTAGAAAGCTGAACAGGAATTTCCCAGGCTAAGGGAATAGGAAACTAAGATGGAGGGGGGACCGGTAGAGTGGTAAGGGCATTGCAAGCAGAGGGAACGACATGTGCAAAAGGCATGGAGGTCTGCAGTGAAGGAGAGGACATTAGTAGTTTGTGTTTTTGGATCATAAAGTGAGTAGGAAGATGAGGGTGAAGCTGTAGATAGGATGATGATCCTTATGTGTCTGTTTATTTATTTATTTGTTGATTTATTTATTTTTTTTAAAAAAAGAGACATGGTCTCACTGTGTCGCTTAGGCTGGTCTCGAACTCCTGGCCTCAAACAATCCTCCTGCCTTAACCTCTCAAAATGCTCAGATTACAGGCATGAGTCACCGTGCCTGGCCTGTGTGTCTATTTAGAGTTTGGATTTTTATCTTCTACTCTGGGCAATGCAGGGGCCACTGCTAAATCAGTTGAATACAGGAGAATGACAATGTTACATTTGCTTTTCCCAGTTTCCCTAGGACTGTGTCAGATAAGAACCTGTTCATAGGACCATGCAGATCGCACCCAAAATTGTTCCTTTCCCACAATCATCAATCAATGCTTCAAGTCTCCCATACCTCAGAGGGAATCCTCTCAAAAGCTGTCCTTGGCACGTGCCTCAAACCTTATGGCCCAGGGCCTGACCTTTTGTCCCATTTCAATTTCCTCTCAGGGAACCCTTCAGGTCTTCATGAAAAGGACTTTGGTTCCTGAGAGAGGTTAACTTGTTCAGTTTCCTCTTGAGGGTTAATATATATGCATAATCCCTTAGGTATAATCTGGTTGGCTGAAAGTAGCAAAGTCAACTTAATTTAAATTAATAAAGAAAAATAAACGTTTTAAAATATATTATTTAAGAATGCAATGGTAGCTCAAGGAACCTAAGTGCAGTGACGTAATCAGACTTCAAGAAGAACTCTAAGTGGGAACTGGAACCTTCAGATGCACGGCCAGAACTCTCTCCATTTACCTATTTTTAAGAGTCTTTTTCTTCATATCTTCTGTACTTTTTTCTTATCCGTAAACAAGCTTTCTTTGCTCCCCATTTCTTATGGAATTATGTAGAAAACTTTAATTTCCAACTCTCTGTTATAGATGCAGTCATACTGAAAACCTGCCTAAGTGCGAATTCCAGATTCTCAAGAGAGGATTTGATTGGCCTGCCCTGGGTCAGGTTTTACTGCTGGTTCAATCAGCCATCTCTAAGAATAGATGTTACACTTCCAAGATGGCTGACAGGGCCCCACACCTGTGACTTCAAGGACCAGATGTGGGGTGGAAGAGGACAGTCCCAAAGTAAAGCATTGTAAGTTGAGAGCTGGGCAGATGCCCTGAAATGTCCTATAAATACAAACACAATCACATTGACCACACACATACATGCATTCCCCAACAAGTGAACAGCATCCGAATGCTACCACTATTTAATAACTGGTTAAACAAAATGATAATTACTTGCACTTCTACAGTCAAGAAAAAAACATTGCTTTAAGTAAAATTTTACCCTTATGATAGCCTTTTTATTTCCCTCAACTAAGGGGTTGAATTCTGTAACCCCTAAGGTTTCTTCTAATGCTACAATTCTTTGATTAAAGGCATGAGGGATTATCAGGCACAGTGAGTGTGAATTTCCACATATCTTGCAATTTTCCCCAGGAAATTAACTGAGCTCAGTAGACCTAAGACGTTACTTAAACTAACACGTAGCTGCTCATTCACTAGTTATCTTGGGTCCAGACATATTTGACTATTTGCCAAAATCAAATCTACCCTCACATGACAAAAAATTTCCTCCATTGATGATATTCAATCAAAACTACTATAAGTTTTAGTAGCAATTCTGACTATGGTGCTACAACAAAACAAAACAAAACCATGGTTGACAACTAAAAGCTAAAATGACAAAAACTTGGCTTTCTAAGTTGTCTACTTTTAAGGCATTGATATGTAAAATTCTGGGCTATATATATAAACTCTGGCATTTTTTTTTAAAAAGCACTATTCCCTTATTAATACTACACTTCAAATATATAGGTCCTAACTTGATTTTTTTTTTAAAAAGGACAATTATGATGTTCAAACATTTGACAATATCACCCTTATACTCATAAATACACCTAATCTTTAGTTACCTTCCTGCTTTCTCAGCCTAAAAGAAGACAAGGGGTTAAGAAGATATACACAAAGATCCTGAGGCATATATTAATTCCCATGAAAATGGAAAAGAAAGGGAATAGACAATGTGCATTAATGTCATTTCAGGCTCGTGCATAATTTAGGACTCTCTGCAGACTGATTTGGTTTAGATCACTGGTCCTTCACATGACTATATTCACATAGCCTTACATTATAAATCTACTTATTAATTTTTGCCAGAAACTATTCTGGAGACAATTTCCAGTCAGGGTTCTTCACACAGATGATAATGGTAGACATGTCATCTAAAATTCTTCTGATTTCCCTTAGTCTAACAAGTCATCTCTTCCCCTCACATATTTAGAAGGCCCCAATCACACAGGGCAAAGCAGTCTTTTTAAATGGACAAAACAAAATCTTCATCCTATATTTATTTCCATTAGGAAGAAAAAATATGCAAATCTCATCGTGCAGTGCAGCTGAGGGATACATAAGCAATTGATGAAAAGACATTCATTTGAAATACAATTTCTCTGCAGTTGCTGGATCCCCCTCCCCACCCTTTTTTCAACTGTCTGGACTAGACGGGGGAGAGGTTACTGAGCTATGAATGTATTTCTCATATTGGATAGGAAGCAGGAGTGGAGCTAATGTACTGTGTATTCAAATGAGACTCTTTAAAGCAAAGTAGAATTGAACTCAGATGCAAATCACAGTGGCAGGAGCACTTTCTGCTGCCCTTTGTCCTTTCTGTCTGTGTCCTTAAGCACATAGTCAAGGACTCCCAGCAGAGATGTTTAGCCTTCTGAGAAAGTAAACAATCTGGGCCTCCCTCCCTTAATATAGACACATTCATGGTGTGCCCTGCCTGCTGAAAATGTGCGGGCAAGATCGTTCTCATCTGAGATGGGGCTGTGGGGAGGAGGGGGAGGTGGCTCCTGAAGGATTGACCAGAAACAGAAAAGGAAAGAAGGCAAGTTCTGTGATGGGGAACAGAGAAGTACTGAAAATAAAGAAAGGTGGTAAGAAGAGAAAAGGACCTGAGACTCCTTAGAGAGAAAGGAAAGGGGAACAAATAGGAAGGAAGAACACTTTAGATATGAATAAAATGTTGCATGATATGTGTAACTGTGCATAATTAGTTTCTCTGCAACTTACAAGCACTCTGAGAGAATGCTCTGATACAAATCAAACAAAATATAGAAAATTTACTCCAACCTCCCAACCCCTAAAAGGTGATCTATTTTTAGTTCTTAAGGGGGAAACGCTATGTCTCCTATGCCCCCTCCATTCCTGAAAGCCTTCCTGCCTGGCAAGGCGTTTCCATCACACATGGTACTCCCATTTGACAAGGAAGGAAAGAGGCCATGGGCACTCACCAAGAGTCACCCACAGTCAATCAGAATGAAGTCAAATGGAAATTTCTCATTCCAAATGCTCCCTTAGCCCCTTGTCTTTCTGCCCCTTCCTCCTCTCATCTTCTGCCCCCTCCCTGCGATAAGTTAAAGATTCACTGGAAAAATGATGCATGGCATTAAGAAAATGCTATTCAGATCATTTGGCTGAAAACGGAGCCCTAAATAGCCTTTTAAGGAGAGGCGGGGGTTAGAGGAGTGGAGGCTGTCTCTGTGTACTGTATTAGTGACTGAACTAGTGCAAGAATAAAATAGCATGTGATTTCCTTTAAAAAATGCTGAATAAAATTTATCAGGCTTAGTTAAATATATGAGCTAATTATCTATTGCAAGTGAATTA
Organism: Homo sapiens; assembly: GCF_000001405.40. Lineage (NCBI taxonomy): Eukaryota > Metazoa > Chordata > Mammalia > Primates > Hominidae > Homo > Homo sapiens. The sequence goes on along the minus strand of NC_000002.12, from coordinate 204,369,426 downwards.
AAAATATGGAAAGTTTCACAAAGCATATTGACTTTTTGAAGAAATAATTTTACTTCTGCTAACTAAATGTCAGCTTAGCTTCACTTGTAGGATTCCATCAGATTCTTTTTAGTTTTCATGATTCTATTTATTATTCACAAGAAAGGAAAGGTTCCCATTTCACAACTCTGTAATGAAAAACATCCTGCTCTGGGTGGAAAAGAAAAGCAAAATTTTGGAAGAGTAGATTCCTTATGGCTTAAACTAGCATGTTAACTTTGTTGTAACACTGAATGTCATGTGTGTACAAATTAATTTGGGCTGATTAGGCAAATGTATAGAGTCAGTATACACTGAATATGCAAGTGACGCAGTTATGATGGAATTTTGTCCACCACAAATATGGTCCCAGTTTCTTATCCATGTGATGAGTTTTGGTCATGGTATCAGGCCTACCACAAAAAGGGGGACTGTTATTGTTAATAGCATGTGGCTTTGCACACCTGAAGTTGGTCATAGCTTCCTTATTTTCCATTGCTGGTGGCTGCTGACAATTATTCCCCAGTGTGGGCAGAACTTCATTTCACTGAAAAAGACTTCATTTTCCGTAACTTGTAATGAGTTGGAGGGGTTGGGGCTGTATTTTTAACCCCTGTAGAGGAAATTATCCACCCTCCTGGATGCCAAGTAGCATCTATATCACTTCAATTATTTTATCAAATGGAAAACCAGGATAGCAAAATGCCCAACACACTGCATCAGAGAGACCCCCCAGAAATCAAAAGAAAATGTGTTTCTGATGGGTAGAAGACAAGAGGGAAGGTAGTATGTTTTGGAAGACAGGCCTCTGATCACCAAAGGCAGCAGGTAGTGCCTTCAGAAGGCCATTTGGAACTAATTTACAGTGTCAGCAATGAGCAAGAATTATCCGCAGGCATCACTAGCCTGCTTAGCCAAAGATAAGTGGTACTTGTCAGGCAATACCATGCCTTTGTTTTGGGAACTCAAGAGTAAGGGTGATGAGAGCAGGGGAGATTTGAGCATGCAGCGTGTAGGGTAGGGGCAAAACAGGCTTCACTTGCCGCCTTGACCCAGATGAGGCTTCCTTCGGAGTCAGAAGATGTAGCAGGTTTCCGTGGGGCCTCTGTACACGGAAGGGAAACGGCACCAGGCTCAAGAACTTGGGTCTGAATGATACTGACATGTGCTCTGTCTCTCTCAACACAACATAGTTTTCCCCATTTTTCAATTAATTGCCTCTTCCCAGAATCTTTCATGGGTAAATGAAGGATACAGCAAGGTATTTTGTAGGGCTCCTGGGAGGTCAGGAGTCAGGCATAGAAATAGTGTTGAAGAAATAATTAATTAGCTGATATGCTCTCAGAAAACTCTGTTTGGGAAAAAGTCCAGAAGAATAAGCTGAAATAAAATAGGAAAAGAGGAAGGAAAGAACAGATGAGGGAATGGAGTGAAGATTTACGAAAGGAAGAAAAAGTAAAATTGCTTTTATTTGTCCTTTCAAAAGCATTTTAAAGAGAACTTTCCTGCAACCTAATCCACAATATTCCTGTTCTGTCAGTGTTAGCAAGTTGTTCTTTCCCCCCAGTGAATAAACAGCAAACTGTTTCTTCAGGAGTAAATTGTATTTACTGCATACACAAATAACCATAGTGCTCGCACATCTTTAGTGTTGCTTTCATTCACAGTCGGCTTGTGTGGAGGAACTTGGAATACACAAATGATCAAATCTCAGCAGAATTTCCTCTATCATCTACGCCAAAAATTCAATCTGCTGTCCCAACAGCCTTTCAAGATGTCAAAAATGTCCTTGACCCTTCATAAACAATGAACGCTGAAGGCTAAAAAACTAATTATTTATCTGACTTCCTAAGACTTTTTCTTTTATTTTGGGGGGCTTCATATATTTGGCTGCACTCTTGAAGAACAAAGGATGTGTATATTTATGGTTGACCTTTCCATCGTTCCTCCAAATTGTCTATATTCTTTGTAGGTGGCCATGTGGCCAGGAAATGGGATGAGGTTTACAGGAGTTAGGTAGTGCAGTCTGCTGCTTAATTTTAACTCATAAACAGTGACATAGCAGTTATGGAGTTATCTGGTGGCATCTCCACTGTGTGATTTCTGGCCCATGCAGAAGATGATGTTTTTAGCAAAACCATTCTTGACAAAACCTGAGAAATAGGAAAATGATCACTCAAGGATGGACTATATATGTGCATTCATATTTTGACTGATTAAATGAAAACAATTAAGAATGGTTTAAGGGTCAAGAGGTTTTCACATCTGGAAGAAACAGAAATCCAGGGTTGAGATCAAGGAACAACTTAAATCTGAGCGATTCCCAAAAAATAAAGAAAATATTTAGAGATGACATAATTATTAAGCTACAGTGTTGGATCCTAGATTTTGGTTCAAGTAACAGTAGTATTTGCAATGATAACATAGCATTTACTATGCCTCAGATGCTATTTAAAATATTTTATGTGTATTAATTACCTAATTCTCACAATGGCCCTGTAAGGGAGGTAATAGAGTTATTCCCATCTTACAGATGAGGCAACTGTGGCTTGGAGAGTTTAAGCAAGTTGGCTTCTATAGCAAGCGAGTGGTGGAGACAGACTTGAACTCAGGCAGGCTGATTCCAGAGCCTATGATCTTGGCTGCTACATGAACCTACTCAGATATAGGAATGTGTTTTCCTGTCTTTATTAAAGGGAATTTTTCCATATCTACAATTAGCTTCAGTGCTTATCGCTTCATGAATTGAGAAGCTGGTTCTGACACATTCACTGCCAAGTTTCAAATATTCAATGACAGGAACATGTTATCAAATAAAACATTAAAAGATGATTTTTTTAATCTTCAGTGGAACTTCTTATTCCCTGGGTACCAACTCCCAAGTCCTTTGTTATGCTAAGCAGGCTTATTGTGATTGCAAACTTGTACATTTCAACCTGCACTAGAGAGAAAATACAGTCTGTAATTCACACTCAGTACCAGGTTCTTTCTCAGAGCAGTATCACAACTGCAGTGAATTATTTGTTATTTATTCAGTGTGGATCTCCCTTGCTGAGATCATCACTGAATTTCCGGTGTACATCAGAAAATGCTCAAGACACAGTAAATGCTCAAGAAATATTTGTTGAGCAAATGAATGAATGAATAAGGCCCAGCAACATCTTCCTAGTTCATCAGAGCCAATTTTTCCCTCTAGAAATTATTACCCCATGGAAATGGGGGCAACATATGGAATGTTTACCCTTTACTCTTACTTGGCAATTCATCAAGGAATTTTTCTGTTCAGTAGCAGATTCACATGCTTGCTTTGTTTAAGAGGGATTTCAGTGTGTTACACAGGGGATTTTTTTCCTAAGGATGTGATTATTCCCGGCTTGATCCTGCTGCTGTGATATGGCCATGGCTGGCACAGAGCTCACGTGGCATGGGATTAGGCTGTCTTCATTGTGTGAAGTGACTTGGACATGTTGCTGTGGTTATTAGAGTGGGGTATTGTGGATCACTTTACAAAGGCAACAGCTGCAGCCATTACTCCAACAGTTGTGTCATAATTTGGTGTGTGGAACACCTCTGTACGGCGCATGCAACAAAAACATTTATTCTTCTCATCTGTCAATATATTTGTGCTTCTCATCTCTCTCCTCCTTTTTTCTCTTTTTGCTTCTTTTCACAAGTGGCAGAATGCATCCCAATTCCCAAACAATTGGCCTCTCTGCAGAAATATTCTTCAGGCAGCTTCTTTCTTATAGCACATTTTTGAGTTATTGTATATATTTTTTTCTTAATAAGAAACAGGCATTTTTAAATGCAGCGACAGTTTCAAAGTACATAATGATATTCAATTAACCAAATATGGGCTACACCTCAGTGATGTGGGTTAGTACAAACACTCTGTTTGACTCTTGGGAAAACCAAGACTTTCATGGGATTATCTGGTCTAAAACACACTGAATCCTTAAAACAGGCCAGAGGAGGGCACTTTTCATAATGTGCTCATTCCACCTCTGCCCCCAAATGATACAAGATCTAAGATGGTGTGAGATAATCCCCCAATTAGGTTCTGGAGGAAACTGGGCTGAAATGGCTTATCTGAAGTCACCCAGTTAATCAACACTAGAGCAGGATTAAGCTCAGGGTTGCTGGATCACAGCCATGTGCATATTATACTTCTTTCAAGCCATTAGTCTATGAGCGAACTTGACAATCATTGGTGTGACCAGGGTTGAAACATCAGGCTTAGGTGCCCAGAGTCAAGCATGACATGAATACATGGTGAAGGCACCACTGGTACATGGCAGCAAGTTTTCCTGACAACTCCATTTCTTCCCGAGAAGTGTGACACTCTGGCCCTCGGCGCTGTGTGCCTCCCTTTACTTACAGAGCTAGGAAGTGTGGGCTTTCTTTGAACCTGGACAGTAGGCTTTTCCTAATATGAGCTTCTCCAGCTGTCAGAGTGTGGGCAGCTGCAGGGAGGACCAGCACCCAGCTAAGCTGAAGAATCTGATGAATACCTGCGGGAGGAGGCGGTGTGGGTCAGGGAGGTCAGCTGTGGCAGTGAGGAGGTGAGGGAGGAGAAGACAAAGAAAATGATATTTATTGTGTTTCTACCATGTGCTGCACATGATGAGAGGTTTTCTTATTCTCATTTTATTGATGAGACAATGGGGCTTTGGGAAGATGCATGACATGCTCACTTTCTGGTGAAAGCACAAGGCTTAGAGTCTTAGTTTGTCTGATCCCACAACTCTTGATCGGGGCATCGCTGACGGCTGTACCAGTTGTGCCCTGGTGCACAGAAGCCAGGCCGAGGGAGTAAATGGGAGATGAAATCCAGCCGGGACTCACCACACTATTTATTTGGAGACAAAGGCAGCTTTCTTTAGCAGTAGCCCCTTTGTGACTCTTTCACTTCATCCCAGTATGTCCATGGACCAAGTAGCCAAAGAGTGGGGTGTCTACTCTGTATCCAAGAGCTTACAGTCGACAAGGTGACAAAGATTGCCCCAGGTATGAGGATGCCTTGATACTACAGGGAGAGTTTTACTTTGCTGCCTCTATTATCGCATGTCGGTTTCCTGTTGGTTGTGGATGGCCCAGGACTGTTGTTGATCACAGCTGGAGAAGACCCAAGCTGTTCGGGTGATTCTTGGTTCCGATGGAAACAAGTCCACACATGCCTGAACTTCCGGAGAATTTATTTGTTCAGTTTTCTTCATCCTTTGCTTTTAGCTCAGAAGTGTTAGGAAGAATCTAGGGCTAACAGAGTCGGCAGCGAGGCTCGACTCCTCTTCCTACATACTGAGGACTCCAACAAAATTGGTAGAAGCAGCAAAGCAAGACCATCCAGACTGCTAGTTCTGAGGTGACGAGGAGCGGTATAAGATATTTAAAAAAAAAAAAAAATGGAGGCTTCATCTCAGGGTGATCAGGTCAAATCATTTTTAATAAATGAGAATAATTTGTATCCAAGGTTTAAACTAGACTATAAAGCTAATTTAAGAATACAACAATTCCAGCCAGATTTGGTTAAACCATAGGGCAATTTATTATCTCATGCAAAAGGAAGTTCAGAAGTAGAGAAGGCTTCAGGGTTTATTGATTCCACAGCTCAGAGATATTTTTAGACCTAGGTTCTTTTTGGCTTTCGCTTTGCTGTCAGTGGTATCAGCTTTATCCTAAAGCTGGTTCCCCACATGGTCACATGGTGGCTGCCAGCAGCAACTGGTACAGCATACTTTTGTGTTTATTTCTAGTTGCATAGGGACAGACTGACTTTTTATTTCCAGAAACCCCAAACAAGCTTCTTCTTGCATCTCATTGGCTTAAATTGACTTAATTCAGCTCTGAACCAATCCCTGGCAAGATGTTTGGCATAAACTAATTTTCTGGCGTAGAGTAAATGTAGGGAAGTTTTCCAGGTCTCTCCAAATTGTCACTACAACCTGAAATCTCCACCTAGTCTATCTGTCAAGGTTCAATCAGAGAGGAAAAACTGCTGTGAGTGACATAGAATAAAGGATTTATTATAGTGATTTGATTTTTTTCAATAGAAGGCACTGGTGAAGCCCTTGTGCAGGCTGCTGCCTCTACATCTAGTGTTGAGCCTGAAGTCACTACAGTCAACTAGACTAGCAGTTGGGAAAGAAAGCTGGTACCCTTTGACACAGGACTCAGAAACTAAAGGAGTAGATCTGGAGAAGCTGTTGGTCTGAGTGCCACCTATGCCAACAATGTGAGCCAGTAAACCAGCGACACTGTGCATGGGCTGCCACAGTGCCTGGGGCTCTGTACCAAACTTCAAAGCATACTCAAACAGCTGAGGCTTCACTCTAACTCCCAAATCTCATGCAAAATGCCTCTCATGGTCAATGCCAATCTGGAACCATACAAGGGAGGAAATTCTGGAGAGAATTAGCTCCAGTTTAACTAAGTTGCTAATGCACAACACAACCACAATAAGAATAATCCAGGGCAATGATTCCCAACCAGCGGTGATTTTACCTCCCAGAGAACATTTGGCAATGTCTTGAGACATTTTTTTGGTTGCTACGACTAGGAGGCAGCTACTGGCATCTGGTAGGCAGAAGCCAGGGATACTGCTGAACATCCTACAATGTATGGGACAGCCTGTCACAACAAAGAATTATCTGGTCCAAAATGTCAGCAGTGCCAAGGTTGAAAAACCCTAAGCTGGAGTGACTGCCAACTGGAAACAAGCCTTATTCAAACTTTGTCTCCATTTCAAGCTCATAGAGCAGGGAGAAACTACTGCTTAGGTTTATTTAGTAGTGAGAACTAGTAGCATATGTCTACATTTGAGGATATAGCACAAGCCCAGGACATACGGCATCTGTACACGTAACTAATAGAGGGCCCTTGCTTAAAATCTATCTATCTATCTATCAATCTTATCTTATCTATCTATCTATCTATCTATCTATCTATCTATCATCTATCTATCGAGTGTGTGTGTGTACATATTGCAAAATACCTTTTATCCCAAATTTGTTTGCAAGTCCATAAATAATGTAGATAATCCCTTGTGTTTGTTGACCTACTCTCCCAACCCACATCGTGACTTGTATCCAGGTTGATACCTGTTGTTTCTTGCCTGCTTTTGCCAAGACAGAGAGGCTCAACCAGCCCTTTACATCCAAACATGCTGATATATACACAAGATCTATTTGTAGCTAAAAATTTTACTTTGCACCAGCAGATGGAATCTTAAGCCTCTTGAGACATGATTTACAGGTACAACATGGATGCTTTTCTAGGAGGACTTTTATCATGTTGAAAAAGGAATTGGAATGCCAGCATTGATATTTCCAATTAAATTGTCAGCAAAATTCTTCCTGGTGATTTAATGGCAACATTTGAGGCAGATGTCACTTGACTGATGAGATAGAAGTTGTTGGAGAAAAATCTAAGCCACGAAGGGTTGTGTGTCCCTTCAAAGCTTCCATTTTCTATTAGATTGTTGGCACTTCCAGAGAATTCCATGGCATGGATTCTGTGACAGCCCAGGAAGCAGTAGGAAATAGAAAAAATGGAAAGAGACACTGATTGATGGCAAATTGCTTACGGTTCTAATGCTGAAACTAACTGATACCTTCATAATGTAGCAGGAAAGTCTCAGCTCAATGATTGCCAATCCTATGTAACTAATAGGAGAACCATACTCCATGAAATCCATTCCCTATTATTAGAATTTAGGATTTTGCTTTAAAAATTATAAATAATCTCCACTGAATATGCTGGTTACACAAAGCTGTGCATTGCTGTGCACTTGAATATGTATTTCTCTAAGATAAATTTCCATAAATGGTGTCACTTGGTAAAAAGGCACCATAGTTTAAGACTGGAACAAATATTTCAGTATGTATATGCTTACTCCTGGAGGAAGGTTGTGTGTGAATTGCCGTCATGGGTTTTGTTGGATATAAGTATACCTTTGCAGAAGCGAATGTGGCTGCTAGCAGTAAATATTAAACAAAACCTCAGTTCTGCAATCTGGCACTCAATTGTTCATTTCTTCAACAGAGTAGGAAAAAACATGGTTTTGATAGCATAGCAAACACATTGAGCTATTGAAGTACTACCACAGACATATTTAATTTCTGTGAAAAAATAATTGGGTCTGCAGCAATAATTATAGCTATCAAATTGTTTCTTCTGAAAAAGAAAGGAAAGGGGATTTAAACCATTAACTATCAGAGTCATAGCTCTTTTGATCCTCAGGAAAGAAGCATGAAATTTGCTCTTGAATTGGGGGTGGGCAGGGAGGAAGAAAGGAAAGGGGAAGTCCTTGTGGTGCCATCATCTCCAACACACAAAGGGTTGGCAGGATCTCAAGCTCCATCCATCTGTCAGCTCTTAGCTCTTGGCCTCAGTCGAGGGCTAAGGGGGCAAAGGTAGAGGCAATTGCTGAGAGAAGAGAGGTTTACATTTTTGTGCCTTCTACATTGCAAGGACAAAAGCCACGTGGCCTCTCATTACAAAGCTGGTTGATGTAGTTTCACTTGTTCTCTTACTTAATCATCCCAACTTCCCTAGGAAGTTTGTACTATTATATCCATTTTACAGATGAGGAAATGAGGATCAAAGAGATGAAAGGTTGAAGTGGTTTGCAGTTGCCATATAAGGTATAACAGAGAAGGAAAGGGAGTTTGAACTTTGATACTGTAACTCCAAGGGTGTCATTTTCTGGTAACTCACTGCTGTCTCTCTCTATTATTTTTTTCTTCTATTCATTAATGACTCCTATGTACCAAGTACTTTCACATAAATATTCTTATATATTTAATTCTCAGAAAAATCCTATGAAGTAGGTGTTACCATTTACATTAGTTTAGTAGGGCTACCATTTAAAAGTACCAAAAACTGAGTAGCTTAAACAACAGAAATTTATTTCTAAACAGAAACCTCACAGTCTGGAGACTCCAAGGTGTACAGGTCCAAGATCAAGGCATTGGCATGTCGTGCTCCCTCTGCAGGTGCAAGGAAAAGGTCTGTTCCTTCCAGATTTCTCTCCTCCTACCTTCTGGTCCTGCCTTCTGAGAGTTGCTTGACCTGTGGCAGTGTAACCCCACACTTCACATGGCGTTCTCCCTGCATGCGTGTCTGTCTTCAAATTTCGCTTTCTATAAGGACACCAGTCAGTTTGGGTTAGGGACCTACCCTACTCCAAAATGAAGAGTGTGAGTTAGATGAGTATGACTTCATCCTGACTTAAGTAATTGTATCTACAATGACCTTATTTCCAAATAAGATCACAATCTGAGGTCCTGGGGGTTAGGACTTCAGCATATAATTTTTAGGAAGGAAAATAATTCAACCATCTCAATTTTTCATAAAGCAAAACTGATTGATCTAAGGTTGCTGATCAAATAAATGTCAAGGCCAGGATCTGGAGTCAGCTTTTCTGACCAGGAGTCCACAATATTTTGCTCTTATACTTCCCCTCCCCCTAAATAAATATGGATGAGATCTGAACCAATCTGACTGAGGCATAAGCAAATGCCATGCAAATTGTACATTTGAAATGCAAATAAAATGCGATTCCAAAGATTATTTAATCCTAGGCCAGCCTATTTGGTGGACTTAAAAGGACATCAAAAGTCATCAGAGAACTCGATTTGGAGAATATAGGGCTTTTTTTACTAGGCAGGGGAAAAGATAATTGGAAGCTGGGAAGAGAATAAGTGGGGTCTATAGCCAATTGGAAGAGAATAAGCTGGCTCTTTAGCCAATTGATAGGTGCTGAAGAAGAGAAAATTGAGGAAGGTGCTAAGTGAGATGCAGAGAATGCATGCGTGAGGCCTGAGTATCCCCAGATTCACAATTCCCCTGTGAAATTCATGATGCATCTAGGATAGGGGGAAAGAAAAGCTGAATAATCCCAAGAGAGGCACCAATAGTGTGAGCTGGTTACTAGAGGTGATCCATGCCCTGGTCTGCCTGGGACTGAGAGGTTTCCCAGAAAGGGATTTTCAGTGCTAAAACTGACACAGCCTCAGGCAAAAAGACATGGTTGTCACCTACTAGTGAGTGAACTTTTGAAGTTTGATTAATTAGTAAGGAGATGGGGGTCTCCTGGTTTAAGCCTCACTCTAGTGTGTTAATAATTTGCCACAGGGATGCTTCAAACAAGAATGCTGTTAAGATACCACAGCTAATCAGTAGCTAGTTTTTACCCCCTAGAAACAGACCCTGCAGTTTTGTTACATTGCTTTTCCCTAGCTGAGCTGGAGGTGTTAGGAGATGGGGGAGCTCTTTAAACAGAAAAATCACAGACAGGCTTTGGGCCTTTGTTGGTAACTGAGAAATATACGCAAGGCTAAACACTCTGCATTGAAGGAACTTTCCATTTCACTCCCTTCTCTCTAGTCTCCACTCAGGTCCCTCGGGTAAACAGGTAATGAGAAGATAATTTTTCAGACATTTCTGATCAGAAACATCAATGAAGGCCCTTGGTAAAAATACAGGTTCAGACACTAATTTATTCAGAATCTCCAGGGAAGAGCCTCAGAAGTGTTTTTTTTTTTTTTTTTTTTTTTTTTTTGGAGATGGAGTCCCGCTCTTGTTGAAGTGCAATGGCACAATCTCAGCTCACTGCAACTTCTGCCTCCAGGGTTCAAGCAATCCTCTGCCTCAGCCTCCCGAGTAGCTGGGATTATAGGTGCCTGCCACCATGCCTAGCTAATTTTTGTATTTTTAGTAGAGACAGGGTTTCACCATCTTGGCCAGGCTGGTCTTGAACTCCTGATCTTGTGATCCACCCGCCTCGGCCTCCCAAAGTGCTGGGAGAAGTGGTATTTTTTTAAAGCAAATTCCCCAGGTGACTGTTGGAAGTGGTGAAGCCCTGGACACAGAGGACAGAAACCCTGTTGGTAGGAGACTATGCATCCTTCCTGGGAAAGCCTCCACGTCCATGTGTTCATATCAGGATACACACAGGAGACAGGAGCTGGAAGATACCCCCTTTCTGCATCACCTCCCCTGTGTCCATTTCCAGGGTGTGTGTGAGTGTATATATATATAAAATGTATATTATATATTATATATATTTTATATTATAGATAATGTATATTATATATTATGTATATTTTATATTATAGACAATGTATATTATATTATATATTTTTATATTATAGATAATGTATATTATATATTATATATTTATATATATTTATATTATATATATATATATTATATAGATATATATATATTTTTTTTTTTTTTCGAGACAGAGCCTCGCTCTGTCGCCCAGGCTGGAGTGCAGTGGTGCGATCTTGGTTCACTGCAAGATCGCAGCTCACTGCAAGCTCCACCTCCCGGGTTCACACCATTCTCCTGCCTCAGCCTCCCAAGTAGCTGGGACTACAGGCGCCTGCCACCACATCCGGCGAATTTTTTTTGTATTTTTAGTAGACAGGGTTTCACCGTGTTAGCCAGGATAGTCTCAATCTCCTGACCTCGTGATCCACCCGCCTCAGCCTCCCAAAGTGCTGGGATTACAGGCGTGAGTCACCGCGCCCAGCCTCCAGGGTACATTTTTTTGGTCTCAAAACAAGCACCAAGGAGAAGGGGTGAATAGGAGTTTTGTTTGTTTTCTTTTTTGTAATTTAGCTATGAGGGGGGTCTTTAACTCTCCATAGATCAGCTAGCAATGTTTTTGGCAACCAAAGAGAGCTTAGGAAGAAAATGGGGTGGTTTGATCTGGGGGTGCTAACAGGGCCTCAGCTCACAAGCCGGTTAGAGAGGCTTTATCTCTCTGTGTTGTGTTCACGTCTGGGAGGAAGAAAGGGAGGGTTCCAGATTGTTAACCAGCGGCAGCTGGCAGCTTTATTGTTTTTTAATTAAATAACCCTCAGCCACAGGAGCACACACCAATCCCCCACCTCCTCCTCCTCACGAAACCTCATTAAGCAAAAGGACTACAATTAAGCCCGGAATCCACGGTTGACACTCTCACCATCCGTCTGTTGCTTCTGCACAGGCTGTGGGCAAGACAAGCGGCTCTCTCCTCGTTTCATGGGCAGGGGGTGATAACAGGGAGAGGCCATCTTTATTTGTCACTTAATGGGCAACCTGGCCCTTCCTTCAGGGCAACCAGATGCATCTTTTGTCCTTAACCCACTTCCACGTGGATGGCTGCCCATCAAATAAAGCAAGACATCTGCCCGGAAGGGCCAATTTACCTCAAACAGGTGAGGCCTTTGATTCGGAGAGCAAGGGAATTTTACTGATGTTCGTTTGCCATGCATTTGGGCCCAATATGTCGGAAGTATTTTCACATGATTGAAGGTAGATAGCCGTCAGCACGTTTAACTGATTCTGCCTCCTTGTTTCTTTCTAGGGACACGTGGCTGCAGGTGAGGCTGGTTTCTGCTTTGCCCCTTGTTCTGTTCTGCCTTCCTTACTTGGGCTGCCTCATCCTGGACTTTACCCCTTGCCTGTGTTCTTTCCTTCATCTTCTTGGTCTGCCATTCTCCTATTTCTGAACTCTCTTGCTTTCATTTTTTTTCCTCTTTGGACCTCCCCTGTGGTCATCTTGCTCCCAATCTCTATTTCAATAACTGCAGAGCCTATAAGTATAGGAGTGGTGGCTCCCCTCATTGATATTAGGAAACCAGTTTCTTAAGATAGGAAGAGACTCCTTTAAAAATTCTCCTTTACAGGGCGAGGCATGGGGGAGGTAATGAACACAGAAAGGCAGAGCTGTTTTCTATTATATAAAGCCAAATTCCTCTCCCCACTCTCAGCTTGGGCAAAGCTCTGGTAATACTGTTTCCAGCAAAGCCCCCAAACCTGGTGAAAATGAATTTATCATTTACATCATTTCTCTTTGTAGCTCTGACAATTCATATTACCCCAGAACCTGACATCTCCACTTTCCTCCAATTGATAAATAATCTCTTTTTGATTTCTGTAACTGAGAAACATCATAAGCCCACATACAAAGGAAGATTCATTGGTCTTTTATTTCACATGTGAGCTCCTTGAAAAATTGCGTCTGCGTTGCCATTTGGGCATTAATTCCTGACACACCACTTATCATATTTTGATTGTTTCCAAGAGAACATCATATTTTAACTGTTTGGGAATGATTTAACTGATCAAATACACGGCATCTGGTTGTTATGGTAACTAAAGTTCTAAAAATAATATAAAGAAAAGACCACCTTTAATTGAAATCACAAGAAGTCGTTATGGTAACTGGAATTTTTTCAAGTAACTAGGTTAAACTACATTTCATTTTATCTAGCACTGCACAAACAAATTCTGATTAAAATATCAGGTTTAATTTAATCAGTTAATTAATGTCACTAAATGTCATTTATCTTATAACTCTCATTTACATTCACTGCTGAATTATCCAACTTGCTAATTTATAACCATTCTGCCTTAAATTTAACATTCTAGAACCTGGGGCAAAGTGTGTAGTGACAGTGTGAAGCTAGGCTTGGATGTCGACCTAAGTTCTGACTGTGCCTTTTGTCAGCCTTCTGAGCCTCTATTTACTTATCTGTAAAGTGGGAATGATATTACCAGCTCTGCTTTTGCCACATAGTTGTATGGATCAAATAAAATTATGTACCTAAACATGTTTTGGTATCCTAAAACCTACTGTAAAGTAACACATTATTATTATACCATTGTAGAGACAGAAAAATCCCACCTCTGTTATCTTAGGTTCCCAGCTGGGTTTAAGAAGTAAATTGACATAACATAGATTAATAGGAGAAAAGCATAATACAAATTATACGTGCATAGGAGTCCTCAGAAGGAAATGAAGAGCCGAAGAAGTAGTTAGAGTCAGTTACTTATATAGTGAATTGGGAAAAGAAGCAGCTAAACTATGTAGGAAAGCTTAAAAGAAGCGTTATTCTAACAAGGTCTGTACAGTATTCTCTTGGTTTTGATTTCTCCTCCTGTGGAGAATGTTGTATCTTTCTAGTATGGGGAGGGCATTTTTCACACAAGAATTTCATCTTACACATGAAGGTCAAAGTGACCTTTTTATACCTGCATTTTTCAAGTGCCTTTAACTTAAATAGTCAATATGCCAGAATAACACAATTTAACCCCTTCGCCACATTCTTTTGTCCACACATTTCTTGTTTGTTGAATTTTAAAAAGAAGCCATACGAAAATAAGCTACAAATGTTTACGCTTACAACACTGACCACAGAATTGTGAATCTAGTGACTAAATTCATCAAGAAATTAAAATCTAAGAAATGAAATTATTCTTATCTCATATATTAAAATTCTTCAAGAAAAATTGGAGGTGTCTTGAAGATAAGAATGGTAGTCAACTCTTCTTTGATAATCTCCCTTTAGTATCTTGCACATGGAAAGTGCTTGAATGTGTCTTTAATGAATTTACATTAACATACAATGTTTTAGTAGTGTGTTGCACATGCATGAGGAACTGTGCTGAGATAATAAACTCTTACAACATTCAAAATATTCCTGTCTTGAAAAGGGATGCAGACATGTAAATAAATAACTCTCAATCAAACTTCACATTTTTCATGATAGAAGAAGAAGGCATTGGCCCTACAGGAAGGTGGTGGTGTGAGTGGATTTAAGAAGAGCTGATGAGAAGGTAAACTCTGAAGAGTGTGCACTAGGATTGGGAGGGTTTGGGGATAACAAGTATATAGCACACCCTTGCCATAAGTAACTCCATCTTAGAAAAAGACTCCATCTTACATTTCACAGGGCACTTTGCCAACAGGGATAAGATGTTTTGCCCGATTTATAAAGACTGCATCCAACCAGATAAGGATATAAGCAAGCACACCCTTCCACTACCAGTTCTCACCAGAGGACTCTGTGGCCATAAACAGAGCAGGGCTTCAGGAGTTCGATATGGCTGTCTTAGCTGACACCATCTTCCTATTACTCATGGTGAACCCAGTATCTCCTGCTGAAGGCTCTGCCCACATCAAAGACTCTTCCTTGCAAGACTGAAGGACCTCTTGGCTCAGACCAGGAGATGTTTTTGTTTTTGTCACTCCTCCTGGACTAGTTTGTTAACCCCTTTTTCCTATCCCCTTTCTCTTGATGTTAAATGTTACTTTGTTTGTTGTGGAATGTTTAATCTATAGCATTTATATATTGATTAAGTATACTATTATGTATACTGAATTATGAAGTGACTTGAGCCTGTGTGTCCAAGGCTCTGACCGCTGAGTGAACAGAAAGTACTAAGGAGAACTGCCTCCTTGGGAACCATGTAGTCCATGGCTTTTGTGATTAAATAGCATCAGTGGAAGTCTGCCATTGTAGAAAGACACAGACACAAACACGTGTGGACCTCATTATCTCTGACCTTGCACCACTCACAAGATTGAAATTCCATGAAATTCCATTCCGTGGGAGCAGCGTGCATAGAGGCTCACAGAAAGCTATATTTGGTGATATCCATGAGAGACAGCCCTGGGCCACTTCTGCCAACTAGCACTAGAAAAGCTGGAGTTTAGCATTATGGACCTAAAAAAAAAGGCATTGGTTCCAAGAGGAAAACTGCAAAATTGAATTTAACAAATATTTAAACATCTACAAAATGTAACATTGGGCCAACTTCATTAATTGTCATGTTTACTACTCCTAAATATTTCATTGCACTTAAAACAATTTGAAGATTAAATTTTTCTCACTTTGCAAGAATTTCCAACTATGCGAAGTAATTGCCAAGAAATCATAGCCAATCTCAAATTAAATTAGTTATCTGTAGCCAAATTATTTCAAAAGCAAAATTACATTTTTTCTATCCAAAAAATAGATGCACATTAATACATTTGCTTTGGTGTAGGGTGGAACCTCCAGAAGTAACATTTCCAAGAGCCTATATAGTTTTTAATAGTACAGGAAAGTGTGTGTGTGTGTGTGTGTGTGTGTGTGTGTGTGTGTGTGTGTTAAAAAGTAAGCCTGGGACTTAAGAGGAAATGACATAGCAAAACAATGATAAAGACTTGGGTATGTACATCAGAACAATGACAGTGCAAGTTGAATGAGAAGAAACAAAACTGTATTATAGAAAGATTGGTGAACTGAGAGGAAGACCTGAGTTCTATTCCTGGCTCCATTTTCAAATAAGCGGCTGAATAAATTGCTTGATTCCCTGAAGTTGAGTTTCACGTACTTCAATGCAGTAGGCAGCTATAATCAGCGCCAGCATTTCTCAAATGATCTTGCAATTTCCTCACTCTCTGAAAGCTGGAAGCAAAGCTGAGATTAGCTGGTAGCTTTCTCTGGTTTGCTTTCCCCCAGCCTTTCCAATAGTTTTATAACTACCCAATCTCTTGCCTTAAGCCCCTTTCTACTTGAAATGCCTGGCTCTGATTTCTGTTTTTCTGACCTAGCCCTCATTGATACACTATTATTGCTTTTATAGTTCTCATTATTCCAAGAAGTATTCCCCATTAGTCTTAGGAACAGGATTTTGTCTTATACACCATATATCCCTTAAACCAAGTACGGTGACTTGTGAAGAGATGGCAATACACCTTTGTGCTACTTCCTCCTTCATTGTCTAGGGCAGGATTCAATTGAAAATCAATCTGGCTGAGCCAGAAAGGCGTTTTCATTCTCAGTACAGGGTTCCAATCAGCTACTATCAGTCACTAGGAGATGACATTAAATATGAAATCCATTTGTCATTCCTGACCCAGCAGAAAAAAAAAGTTTGTTGAAAGAATAAATTAATGCATGAATGTAAAACAACCATTAATTTAGCTCTTTGCTCTTTTAAACACAGAACACTCATCTCTTAGCTTACTGCTGATAGCTATGGTTGCTGTTTAGAAGTAAGAAAAAGTAAAAAACAAAGGCATAGAGAATTATGCAGAAAGTTACTTTCTTGTTTTTCTTCAAATACAGGAAAGTAGAGCAGAATTAATGAGATGAGAAATATGAAAGTAGAGTGGTATTTATAATAATGATGTGATTTTATAATATCTTACAAAAGGTATCTCCAGTCCAACCTACATTTACATCCCTCCGTTAGTTCATGTCCCAAATATATAAGTGCACTACACAATGAAGAAAAGACTTTCCCTTTCCTTTTCTTAAAAACTAGAAATAGGATGTCAATACGTGATACTTTAGTTGATGGCTTATAAATGAGGCCTATTAATGTAATGGCTTTTAAAATTTTTGTTTTTAATCATAGAATCTTTAAATCAGAAAAGTTCTCAAGGGGTCTGAGGCTCTAGCCCTCTGCCTTAACCTAAACGTTCTCAGACTAATGATCATCATTTCTTCCCCTCAGTGACTTGCTTCAAAGTAGTTAATTTCACTTTTATCTTTTAAAACCCCCCAACTTTGGTCACTGTTTTTCAGTAATTAACAAGTACGTTTTTAATTGGCTTAGTCATGTTCCCTCTCTCAACTGGATTTTTCTTTTCACTGGTTTTTAAAGGATAGCTACCCAGTCTTGAGTTGAACTTTCCTCGTCAAGCCATCATTTCACCTACACTGTTTTTATAGTTAGGCCTCAAATATCTGGGCAAAGATAGTTTATTTTTATGCCATTTAAAAAATTACTTCTGTTAAAAAAAAAGAGTTCGAATCTTTGATGCTGTATATTCCAGGTAACAGTAACATCACAGGCTTATGTATTAATATTACCTACTTGTACATTAATACTCGTAGAATGATTATGTTGTTAAAAGTCACTATTATGTGATTTTCATTTTTGGCCATTATTGTAATTACTGGTATTAGAATTTCCCTCCCAAAGAAAATAACTAGAAAGCAAGACACTTTTCCAGCTGTTTTTAGACAATAGGCAATACAGTACTATGATCCACAGTAGAAGGCCAAAAACAAGTGGAGCCCTAGACTCACACTGACTTTTTTTTTTTTTTTTTAGATGGAGTCACTCTGTCGCCCAGGCTGGAGTGCAGTGGCATGATCTCAGCTCACTAAAACCTCCACCTCCCGGGTGCTAGCAATTCTCCTGCCTCAGCCTCCCCAGTAGCTGGGATTACAGGGGCACAACACCATGCCCAGCTAATTTTTTAATGTTTAGTAGAAACGGGGTTTCACCACAGTGGCCAGGCTGGTCTCGAACTCCTGGCCTCAGATGATCAGCGTGCCACGGCCTCCTAAAGTGCTGGGATTATAGGGGTGAGCCACTGCACCTCACACTGGCTTTCTATCTGAGGGCATTTTCTGGCATTAAAAAGGTATTTCTAGTCCAACCTACATGTATATTCCTCCATTAGTACATGTCCCAAACATATAAATGTACTACACAATGGGTAGGGCATTTATATTTTTTAAATGGCAGAAAAATTTAAATGTTAAATGCTATAATAAAAATTAACTATCTTTGCCTAGATATTTGAGGCCTAACTCTAAATATGTTTGTTGAAAAAATTAATTAATGCATGAATGTAAAACAATCATCAATTTAACTCTTTGTTCTTTTAAACACAGAACACACATCCCTTAGCTTTCTGCTTTCCTTTCTGAGGGAGGGGAAACCCAAAAGGAATACAGTGGTCTTACTAAGTTTAAAACATGGAGATTGGAATTTGGGCAGGATGAGGTAGCTGGGATTTGTCTTGTAAGAAAAGGTACTGGAGAAGAGAAAGATATGAAGACAAACAACTCCAATAATGAATTCCAACTCCACTATTGTCTTATTCTCTAAGCCTCTTTGTTCTATGTTTTCAGTGATTGTTCTAAGACCTACAATATGTATCCTTGATTTATTCTTGATATAGGGCAAAGCAGTATATACAAAGTATAATATATCATGACCAAAAAGGGCCATTCTCAGGAAGCAAGGTTGGTTTAACATTTGAAAATCTATTAATGCAATTCTCCATTAACATAATAAGGGGGGAACACATAAGAATCTCTCAACAGAAGCAGAAAAAAAACCAATTTTGACAAAATTTAGTACGTCTTCTTGATAAACTCTCTCAGCGAATTGGGAATAGAAGATAACTTTTTCAATATGGAAAAGGGCATCTATTTAAAAAAAGGAGCAAATATCACGCCTAGTGATAAAAAAGTTTTTCCCTTATATGAAGAGGAAGGCAGGATTGTCTATCACCACTTATATTTAAGATTGTACCGCAAGAGCTAGCCAATACAATACAATAAGAGGAGAAAACTAAATAAAAGCCATACAGAATTGAAAAGCAGTCTGATATATACAGATTTGAAAAAGACTTTTTGATTTGCAGACCATGTATGTAGAAAATTCTAAAGTAGATTAAAAAAAGAAACTAGAATGAATAAGTCAAATTTATCAAGGTAATAGTATACAGTATTAAAAATCAAACATTTTTATATACTATCAATAAACAACTGAAAAAATAATTTAAAATGTACCATTAAACATATCAAAGGACATGAAATACTTAGACATAAATTTAACAAGTTATATGCAAAATCTGTACACTGAAAACCAAACACTGCTAAGAGAAATTAAAGAAGACATAAACAGATGAGGAAGTATATCAAAGATCAAATAAGAATTTTCCTCTAAATTGATCTTTACATCTAATGCAACCCCTATAAAAACCCCAGCAGGGTTTTATGTAGAATTGACAAGCTAATTCTAAAATTTATATTGCAAAACAAAGATCTAGAATACCCAAGACAATTTTGCAAAAGAAGAGCACATTTGGATGACTTATACTCTCTGATTTCAAGGCTTATTATAAAGCTAAAGTAATCAAGACATGGTAATATTTTTGTAAGAATTAACATATAAATAATTAAAACAGAATGAAGAGTACAGATGTAGACCCACACATGATTTCCAACAAATATCCCAAGTAATTCAATGAAAAAAGTAGTCATTTTAACCAATAATTTAATATTGGAAACAGGATGTCGATAAAGGAAACAAATTTTGACCCCTTCCTTGCTTGTACTTTGACCCTTTAGAGTTAATCTGAATGATCACATTTTTAAGAATAAAAGCAAAAAATTATACCATTAGAAAAAATATAGGCAAAAAAATTGTGACCTTAGAATCAGCAAAGATTCCTTAGACACAAAAAGCACTAACTATAAAAGAAAAATATTAATAAATTGGTCTTAATATTAACATTTTTTCTCTTTATAAGAAATCACTCTCAAAACAGAAGGGTAAGCCACAGACTGGTTGCTGATATTCATAATACATATATCTAACAAAGGATTTGTAACCACAATATATAAAGAACACATACAATTCAATCATTAGAAGACAATGCAGTAAAAACTGGGCAAAAGATTTGAACCTATATTCTATAAAAGAAGACATGTGAATGGAAAATAAGCACATAAAAAATATCTATTTCATTAATCATCAGGGAAATGTGAATTAAAAGTATAATGTGATGCTCATTAAAGCAACTAAAATGGAAAAGACTGACATACTAAGTGTTAACAACAAGAATGTTGATATGATTTGGCTGTATCCCCACCCAAAACTCATCTTAAATTGTAGCTGCCATAATCCCCATGTGTCATGGGAGGGACCTGGTGGGAGGTAATTGAATCGCGGGGGCAGGTTTTTCCCATGCTGACCATGATTGTGAGGTCTCCCCAGCCATGTGGAACTGTGAGTCAATTAAACTTCTTTCCTTTATAAATTACCCAGTCTCAGGCATGTCTTTATTAGCAGCATGAGAACAAACTAATACAGATGTGGAGCAACTGAACTCATAAAATCCTGGTGAGAATGTAGAATGATGTGCAGTCACTTTGGAAAACATCTTGGCAGTTTCTATACATTTACCACACAACCCAGAAATTCTACTTCTAAGATTTGACCTGAGAAGAATTGTTTTAAATATCCATACAAAGACTTGTAAACATGTGTTCATAGCAGCTTTAAAAAAATAATTTTCAAAAAAATTATGAGTGTGAGACACAAATCTTGGCAAGTGATGGAAATGCTTTGTCTTGATTGTACTGGGTTACTAAATGTGCATATTTATTTGTTAAAATGCATCAAACAGTACACCTAACATGTGTTGCATGTATGTACATTTTGTTGTATGTTAAATTAGAGCTCACTAAAGTTGAAATACCTAAAAAATAAAATATCCTTATCCTGTTACTCTCTCAAACTCACTCCTTTTCTGTTTTGATTTGTGTATGAAGTCAATTATTTTATATATAGCTAATATATCTGTGCTATGAAAAATCTTATATACATTATACATAGATATACATTAATAGAGACATATCTCTCTGGGAGAACTTTAAATCATTATTTACATTACTGCTATATTGTATTTTTCTGAAAGGAAAATTCTGTATTGATCTTACCATATACCATTGAATACCCTTTACCAAAATTAATAAGGTTAATTTAGGACACGTCTGACCAGTCAGTGAAAAAAGTCTTTTCCTTTCCTTAAAGTCATGTGTCCTCGGCAGCCATTTTTAAACTCACATGACACCACCCTCCTAACCATCACTAATCAGTCTGACTTAGGATTGTTTCAATTCATTATGGTCAACAGGACAGGATCGCAGAATAGAACCACGACCACTAAGGAGTCCTACCCCTATAAGTTGGGGAAGTTCCCTTAAAGGAGATATGTGACTTCTTTGACTTTTGATATATGACTTTTCTAGAATTGTACATGTATCTGGGAAGAAACACCCACAATTTCTGCTGTTTTACCCTTTGAAACACCCACAATTTCTGCTGTTTTACCCTTTGATTGCTCAGAGCACACATAATTTTGTCAACACACACAATCCTAAAGAGACTCCTCTAGGCAGTCATAAAAACTTTCCAACAAGAAGTAACCCAAGGTCACACCAAGAGCAATATGTAGGTACAGGATGTCAATGGACCACTCCCTTCACAGACCATGATCTCCCTCAGATTCGCATTTCTTCTGTACTTTTGTTGTGATTCCTTCTTTACTCTTTTCTTCAACCAGTGAATGAATCAAATAATTATACCAACATACTTGATATACAGTAGTATGAAGAAAAGGAAGAAAAAAGATACAAAGAACAATGATAGTTCCTAATCCAAAGGGAAAAGAGAAAAGGGAAAATGATGGATGAAATTATTAAGCCTTTGAACACTCCAGCAGCAAGGGCAGAGAAACAGAAGCTATAGTTCTTAATGCTATTGGTGCAACTTATGACCTTCCTTCTTCATTATCTACTCCATCATCGTCTTACCTTTACTCAAAACCTTATCTTGCCTAGTTTCTTTGCTTGGTATAGTTCTGAGCCCTGAGAGAGCCTATTTGTAGGTTATACCAGTTTTCCATTAACTTTTATCCTTGGCCGTAATGATGTAAGACACCCCCAAAATTCCTTGAATTCTATCCACATTGTACAATAGAAATACTTTCTTTCTTGAGAGTCAGCACCAACAATTTTAACTAACAGTGTATATCCCACAGTCAAAGTAGGTTTTTAATTACGAAAGTACTATTGTGTTCACTGTAGAAAAAAATCCAGTGTAGAAATGTGTAAAAAGAAATCCTTACAAATGTCAATAAAAAGCAAATAGAATGCAGCAAAATTTATTTTCTTATTCCTTCCCTTTCTTCCTCCCAGAATTAGCCACTATTAACTGCTTAATGTGATTTCTTGAAGATTCTTTTTAATACATATACATGTATGTATTTTGTGCCCCTTGATGTATGATGCCATGTCAAAGGCTCAGGGCTGGTTGCTATTGCTGCCTTTGGTATATATTTACAAGTACTAAAATGGCCAAAGAGTAAACAGTAGGAAGTAAATATGCACAAGCAAGGCACTTGGTTAATTTGGTTAATCAACGCTATCATAAGTAGCCTGACCTTGGCCACTCAGCATGCTGTAAGCTCCCAGCAGGGAAGAAGGAGTGAGCTAGCAATAGGGGAAATTAACTGATCATCATGTCCCATTGAGTCTGATTGATGTTGTTGTCTACATCTGAGGGGTCTGATTGGAGGGAATGGGGTGAGGAGGAGTTGCAGGTGCTTTAGGACAGCAGCAGTTTTTGGTTTTAGTTTATGTAGATTCAGCAAGGAGGATACAAGGAATGTCAAAAACATTAAACAGATGTGGAGGAAGGGTTTCAGTCTATTTGGCCCAGATTCAGAGTCTGGCACTTGGCACAGGCTCTCAGTTGGTTCATTCTTATTGGTGGCTAGGTGACCCTGAAGACAGCAGGTACAAAATAACATCAGTGTAATGGAATCTATACATTTTTCACTACAGAGATTTAGATTTTAGTTCTCATTAAAGATTATAAAATAAATTTTTTATTTTACAAAAGGTTTCTGAATACATCTAAATTCACAGAGAAGTTTTGAATATGAGAGTTCCCATATACCTCTCACCCACTCACCCCTACTGGCATCTTACCTTAGTATGGTATATTTGTGATGATTAATATTGATATGTTATTAACTCAAGCCCATACTTTATTTATTCAGATTTCTTCAGTTTTTACCTAGTGTTCTTTTATGGTTCTAGGACCCCAAGCAGGATACTACATTAAAGTTTGTCATCGTGTCTCCCTAGGCTCCTGGTGGCTATGACAGTTTCTCAGACTTCCCTTGTTTTTGTTGACCTTGACAATTTAAAGGAGCACTGATCAGCTATTTTGTAAATGTCCCTCACATAGAATTATCTCATGTTTTCCTCATGATCACATTGGGGTTTGGGTTTTAGGGAGGAAGACCACAGAGATAAGGTGCCATTCTCATCGCATCATATCAAGGACACATTCTATCAGCATAACTTATCACTGCTGATGTTAGCCTTAATGACCTTGCTAAGACTGTGTTTGTCAGGTTCTTCCACTGCAAAATTCCTCTCTTCTCCACCCCATCCATAATGTACACTTTGTGGGAAAGTCACTATGCACCACCCACCCTTATGAAATGGGATTTATTCTCACCTGCTTGAAGGCAGAATATGTACAGAAATTATTTGGAATGCTGTTTTGGGAGATTTGTCTCTTTTCTTGTTGATTATAAACAATGCTACTTTATTTATTTTGTTCCTCTGAAATTGTTCTGGCTGTGGCCACTGAAAGTTCTTTCAATCAGCCCTTCAGTTTCTCTGACATACCACTGTTATTGTGGCGGTTTTTGTTTTTTGTTTTGTTTTGTTTTGTTTGTTTGTTTTACTTCTCTAGTTTCTGGCACTACAAGATACTCCAGACCCATCTTGTATATTTCCTTCCTCAGGCTTACAATAGTCATTTCTCCTAGGAGTCCTGGTTCCTTTTATTGAAGAATGGAGTTATAAACTAAATCTGGGTTAGGTATGCTTGTCGCTACTGGGATGTCTTTCTTTCTAGTCCCTCTCAACTAACAGAGCAAGGAAATAGATGTGTACATACTAACTCATACATATACAAGTATCTATAAATATTTGTCTCTTTGTCTCTCATGTCAGCATGAGTTCATACTGACGTCTCCAACTCTAATCGATTTCCACATGGCTCATTCTAGCCTTCTCCCCTTGCTCATCTGGAAACCACCACGCCTGCAGTGAGAAATCCAGCTCCCACTATCTGCCAGCCATTTACTGTTATTATTCAATACTAATATACATGTATGTTGTTATGTTGTTCCACACTTCTATGTGGAACAACTTTATCAATTAGAGTATAGTGGTTTTGTGCACTTTCATTTGCCTTACAGACCCCACTCATTTCCAGAGTTACTTGGGTCAATATCTTTCTCCCTATCCTCTTCCATGGGGTTGTTTGACACATTGGTAATGCTGTTACATGCTTTTGAGATGCAGTTAGATTCTTTTGTCATTCCATCCTAGGATGCCCCATCTGCCTAATGATTTGTGTTGTTGTTAAATGCATATACATTAAGGTTCACTCTTTGTTATAAAGTTCTATGGGTATTGAACAAATGTATCATGCCATGGAACCACCCTTACAGTATTGTTACCTACTGGCAGTGAATCTGTATGGGTCTGCAGCAAACTCAATTCTTGCCTCCTCAGAAAAAAGAATTCAAGGGGACATAAGGCAGAGAGAGAGACAAGGGCACATTTTAGAGCAGGAGTGAAAGTTTATTAAAAAGCTTTAGAACAGGAATGAAAGGAAGTAAAGTACACTTGGAAGAGGGCCAAGCAGGTGACTTGCGAGATCAAATGCCCTGTTTAAACTTTGACTTGGGGTTTGATACGTTGGCATGCCTCTGGGGTCTTGCATCTCTTACTTCCCTGATTCTTCCCTTGGGGTGGGCTGTCCACATGCACAGTGGTCTGCTAGTGCTTGGGAGGGGAGCCTGTGCAGTGTGTTTACTGGACTTGTACACATGCTCACTTGAGGCATTCTTCCCTTACTAGCTGAATCTTCCTAGAAGGTCATATACCAGTTAAACTCTGCCATTCTGCCTCTTAATGTGCACACTTGAGCCCACTCACCCAGCTCCTGAGATCTTATTAAGAAGCTGCCGATCACCAGTTTCAGGTTTCCTCTACTGGGAGACTGCCTTGCCCTGGCGCCAGCTATGACCAATTATTATTTTAGAGAGACAGTTAATAACCACCTGACCATCACCTGACAGTCACCTGACACTCCTGGTTGGGGGTGGGGAGGAGGAGCCCTCTCCTGCACTGCTGTTGCCTGACTAGCTACCTACTGTAACAGTATCATTCAGAATAGTTTTGCCATCCTAAAAAATCTCCTGGGCTTTACCTATCCAGCCCTTCCCCACTGGCTCCCTGCAACACTGGCAACCACTGATCTGCTTACCATATCTATAGTTTTACCTTTTCCAACATGTCATGTAAATTGAATCGTATAATACATAGCCTTTTTCAGGTTGGCTTCTTTCATTTAGAACTTGCATTTAAAATTCATCCATATTTTGCGTGACTTGCTAGCTCATTCCTTTTCATTACTCAATAATATTTAGTTGTATGGGTGTTCCACAGTTTGTTTATCAACGGACCTATTGAAGGACATCTTGGTTATTCTAGTTTTTGGCAATTATGAATAAAGCTGTCATAAACATTTGCATGCAGGTTTTTATGTGGACATATGTTTTCAAATCAGTTGGTAAATATCTGGGAGCACAATTGCTGTTTAGTATGGTAATAATCTATTTAGCTTTGTAAGAAACAACCAAACTATCTTCCCAAAGTGGCTGTAAATTTTGCATTTCCACCAGCAATGGATGAGAGTTCTTGTTGCTCTGCATCCTCACCAGTAGTTGGAATTGTTAGTTTGTTTGGATTCTAGTCATTTAGCCATAGGTATGTACTGGTGTTGCTTTCTTGTTTTAATTTGCATTTCCCTAATGATAAATGATGTTGAACATCTTTTTTATATGCTTATTGGCCATCTGTATATCTTCTGTAGTGGAGTATCTGTTTCAGATCTTTCGCCCATTTGTTAAGTGGGTTGTTTGCTTTCTTAATGTTGAGTTTTAAGAGGTTTTCGTGTATTTTAGATACAAGTCCTTTATCAGACATATGTTTTACAAAATATTTTTCTCCCAGTCTGTAGCTTTTTTTTGTTTCATTCTGTTCACATTGCTTTCACAGAGCAGAATTTTAACATTTTCACAAAATCCAAAATGAAGAAGAAAGGAGAAGAATATCACTGTAGCTCTAGAGGTAGAACTGGAATCCAAGATTTTTTCTTCAGAAGAAGGAACATAAGAGGCATGGGCAGATTTTATTATATACTGAAATCACCATCACCCTCAGCATCAACCTAAACTTTCCTCTTAAAATGACATTCTTCTCATAGTCACATCTGTCGTAGGGCATTTGTGATATGTACTATTCTCATCATTGTTAATTTCTAATTTTTAAAAAAATTGCAGTGTTAATTCTCTTCTTGATTCAATAAATGAGAGCAGGAACTATATACTTTTGCCTTTTTGTAATTGTATTGATGCATGATCTTTTTATTTTTTAGTAGGTGTTTTATTAGTATTGAAAATAAAGGTGTATTTTATGATTATGTGTATAAACTGATTTATATTTTTTATTGGCCTGTCAAAAAGAGAAAGAGGTATGTTAAAATGTCCCATTGATATTGTACTTCTGTCCATTTCTCCTAATTTATAGCAGATTTCACTTTTTGTATTTTGATATAATGTTATCTGATGAATAAAAATTCATGACAGTTTTATATTCATTGTGAAATATCCTTTCTGACAGGATATCTTTATCTCATTTAATATTTCTACTTTAATTTCTATATTTGTTGTTAGTAATGGAATTCTTTCTTATTGTCTTTGCCTGATATGTTTGCCCACGTTTTAATTTTTTAATGTATTTTTTATTTAGTAATTTCATAGTAGGTGGGTGTTTGGAAAATGTCACGTAGGTGGATTTCCCTTCTCTTATACAATCTAAAGATACTCTCTTTTAATGAAGGGGATTCCCCCAATTGCATTTATATTCATGAACATATTTGATCATTATTTCACCACCTTTTCTAAAATTTCTCCTTATGTTTCCTTCCTCCCTCCCTCCCCCTCCCTCCCTTCCTTCCTTTTTTCCTTCCTTCCTTTTTAATGCCTTTTATTATATGACTATATGATTTTTACTTTTACCTTCTCCAATATTTTTGAAGGAATCTATCATTATTTTAAATCTTTTTTTTTTTTTTTTTTTTTGTGAGACAGAGTCTCACTCTGTCGCCCAGGCTGAAGTGCAGTGATACCATCTCGGCTCACTGCAAGCTCCGCCTCCTGGGTTCACGCCATTCTCCGGCCTCAGCCTCCCGAGTAGCTGGGGTGGCCGCCCGCCACCACGCCCGGCTAATGTTTTGTAGTTTTAGTAGAGACGGGGGTTTCACCGTGTTAGCCAGGATGGTCTCGATCTCCTGACCTCGTGATCCACCCGCCTCGGCCTCCCAAAGTGCTGGGATTGCAGGCGTGAGCCACTGCGCCTGGTCTATTTTAAATCTATTAATTGTTACTTTAGTTTAGAAATCTTCTCCAACCCAGAGATGGCCAGTGTGTAATGTCATTCTCTCCTTTTCCAGTGAAGACCGTATAAATGAATCAGAGCAGTTTCCCATTGAGCCTGATATGACCCCAGCAAAGCCCTAGGGCAGTCATTGCCAATTAAGAAGGGTTGGAACACAAGCTGAAATCTACTTCCCATTCTTACTTTTTTCTATTTATTGAGTTAAGCCAGTTGATCCCAAATGTTGCTGCACATTGGAAGTGGCAGAGGAGCTTTCGGGCACCCCATACCAATTAAACGAAACCATCGGAGGGTGAAAGCCAGGCATCAGTGGTTCATAAAGATCCCCAGCTGATTCCAATGCACAACATTTGACAACTATTGAGTTTAAGAACAATTTTAGATTGTTCTTAAACTCAGTATTTTAAGACTTACCCTGCCACCTCTCTGTCATCACTCATGTAATCAAAACGAAAGTGAACTTTTTTGCTCTCCCTCTCCCTTTTCTTCTTTCCCTTCTATCTTCCCACCCGCTCTTCTTTTTTCCTTCCAACCATTATATATCTTCTAATTTAAAAATGAGTTTTGAAATTGGCATCCACTTTTATAATAACATTTACAAAAATTAATTTGGATATCTCTCAATTCTAAATGGTTGAATGTTTGCAGCCAGATGGTTTATACAATTATCTTCATATTTCGAAACTTTGAAAATTTTGTTTTTTCTCTCAGGCATTTCAATTACAGCTTCAAATAATTTTTTCTAAGAAGTTCACATGAATGATACATTGCATATTTGTGAGTAATTTCTTCTGTTGCCTTCACACACAAAATTTGGCTACGTACAAAATTCTTACATGATAATTGTTTCTTTTTTTTTTTTTTTTTTTTTTTTTGACGGAGTTTCACTCTGTCGCCCAGGCTGGAGTGCAATAGCACAATCTTGGCTCACTGCAACCTCTGCCCCCCCCGGGTTCAAGTGATTCTCCTGCCTCAGCCTCCCGAGTAGCTGGGATTCTAGGCATGTGCCACCACGCCCGGCTAATTTTGTATTTTTAGTAGAGACGGGGTTTCTCCATGTTGGTCAGGCTGCTCTTGAGCTCCCGACCTCAGGTGATCCACCTGCCTTGGCCTCCCAAAGTGCTGGGATTACAGGCGTGAGCCACCATGCCCGGCCATTGTTTATTTTTAAAATTCTATAGACATTAGTCCACTGTCTTCTGGTATGTCAAGTTGCAGAAAAGGTATTTGAGGTCAGTCTTATTTGCATTCCTTTCAATCTATTCATTTATTTTGCCAAGAGGCTCATAAATCCCCTTCATTCTTTTAAGTTTTCAAGTTTGGCCAGGATGTACTTTCATTTGGGTCTTTCAAAATTCATTTTGCTTCGAGGTAGTGGGTGCTTTCAATCAGTAAGTACAGATCTTTTTTTTCAGCTCAGAAATGTTTTTCTCGTCTTCGCTTTGGTTTCTCTTCTATTTATACTGATCTAAGAACACCAGTGATCTGTGTTTGCTCTCCATCACATATCTTCCATATCTATCCTCTGTTTGCCATTTAAATCTCTTTGATTTTGCTTCTGCAATCCAGGAACACTTTTCAAGTTTAACTTTCATATGACTAATTCGAAGTTTCACAGCATCATTCAGATTTTTTCTAACACTCATGTAAATTACATTTTTCCATTGCATTTTATACCCAAGGCTTTTTTATGTTTTTGTTTGTTTCTTTGTTCCATTTTTAGGGCACCCTGTTCTTGTTTCATGTATACAAATCTTTTATATTTTGAAAGATACTAATTACAGTTTACTTTGTAATGTTTTCTTTTCCCTGCACATTGCCTTTTTCATCCAGGTTCCTTTTTTCTCTTGTTTTCTCCTCCCCCGCTCCCCACCATACTACCTGCTTTTCTTGGATTTATGGAAAACCTTGATTGTTTGCTTATGTTAAAGAGCAGAGGGCTAAACAGCTGCCTGAAACTCTGAGTGCCTAGATGCAGACTGTCCTCTGTGAATCACTGAAGAGTGCTTACCATTCCCATTGTCAATACAGTGATCGCTTAGTATAAGCAGGGATTGGTCCAAAACTCCTGTGGAACCAAAATCCACAGATGCTCAAGTCCTCTGTATAAAATGGAGTGTAGTATTTGCATATAACCTGTGCACACCCTCCTGTTTAACTCATCTTTACATTACTTATAATACCTAATACAATGTAAATGCTATGCAAATATTTGTTATATTTTATTGGGTTTTTTTATGTGCACCATTTTTTTTCCTGAATATTTGCAATCTGCAGTTCGTTGAATCTGTGGATGAGGAACCACAAAAAAGGAGAGCCAACTATATGTTGGGGGCTTTCAGCACCATGGGCTGATCATGTCCCCTAGAGAAGACTCATCCATCTCTTTCATGAGAAATAAAGTTCCATTCTGGGAGCCAATGGAAGAAGAAACTAGTGCTCAGCAGTCAGTATGCAAACAGATACTTAATCTTCCTATTTTTGGTACAAAACCTGAGAGTTCTCCATTGTTGTCTTTAAGCTGAGAGTTTCTATTTTACCCTGTCTATAATATAAACCTCCAGGCTTCTGCTGGGGATAAGAGATGGCATCCAGTGGCAATCTAAGGGAGAGGGAAGGCACAGAGATCTAGTTTCTTCCTAATTTTCTCAATCCTCCTAATCTTTTGTCCTGCACTCTTTCATCCTGGCTTCTAGAAGGACTAGTGCTGCTAATTTCTGAGTCTCTGGAGGGGGACTGCAGTGTAAATTGGGTTAGTTCTCAGCTTTCCCTACCTACAGTTGAGGATTCCGCTTTCTCAGATCTGTTAAGTCTGTTTCCATATGTCTGTCTGTTTTATGGCATCAAAATTTTGCCACTTTTTCTTTTCTTCCGTTTTCTGTACCTATGTGGGCTGCTATATGAAAACAAGACCAAACAAAATCTCTCTATTATAGTGTTATAAGGGTTTGCCGAGGGAGCAAAATTAGATGTGTTTGTTCAAAGCTCCATCTTTACCTGGAAGTCCCATTTAGATCTTTTTAGATCTTTGGGGCTCCTTGTTAATTTCACTAATCTAAATTATAATTTCACCTTTAATCTGAGCTATCTTTCTCCTTAAGCTCCTAATTTCTAGTGGCCTGTCTTTTGGCATTCTTTCAAGGATTCCCAATGGTTTCTTGATAATATCTTCTTAATCGTGTCATAGATCATTTTCAGAGATGAACTCCTTTGAGCCAAATATTCCCATTTCTTTATGCTATAATGTTTTCACCAGCCTCATTTGTGTTTCTAGTATCTTTACCGATGCTAGAACATGGATAAATATATCCAGACTTCATGTTTATCAAGACAGGGTGAGTGAATTACTCTCTTTGCCTAGCTGTTTGATGGTTGAACTCCCTTCTCAGATCTTGAGCTGGAGGGAAGGTTGACACAAATATCTTCTAGTCTAATTTTCTGTCCCTATCAGAGTTTTTAGGGTGTCACTGCTCTATCAGGGTGTCATTTCCTCCATCACCTACTGCCTGGTTATTTGGTATTCAAGTCGGCTTACTGCTTGAAAAACAAGAGATTGTGCTGCTGCAATGATTGTTATCTGCCTATTTCTTCCCATAGACTTTACCTATGAGGATTTTAAGATCTTCCTCTCCCAGCTTATCTATGCTGCTGCCTCTTCTCCCTCCTCCTGTCCAGTCTATCTCACAAATGCAGTTGTTTACAGGGGTTTTCATTCTCAACATGGATGTAGAAGGATAAGATGGGAAGGAGGGCCAAGGCCAACAGGACTCTGCTTATTTCATAGAATAACATCATATAGTAAAGGTGGAAAAAATACTTAGCTTTTCTAATTGGGCCATAAAAACATCTTTCTTTTTAAAAAATCATCTCTATGAAACCTGAGTAGATGTTTCTCATCCAGATCTATTTCCTTATAATGCACATCAAATTTTTTTTCAATTCTGGCATGAGTTTTCTTGCCCATCTTAGTTTTGGAGCAGAAATCTGAGCTTTTAGTTTTTCTGTGGCTTCATGAAACACTTGCCCTACTTCCCAACTCAGCATATAGGCTTAGTTCAGAAGCTCGTCCCCTCCTGGTCACAAGATGATGACACCTTTCAGGGTATGTCTTCTTATAACCATATCCGAAGGTAGGAAAGGCAGCTTCTCCCTCAGTGTGTCTTTTTATCAGAGGGGAAAATCTTAACCAGGAGCTTCCCAGCATCCTTCTTTTGGGGTTCCATTGGCCATGATTAAGCCATATGTCCAGGGGAGTCTGCAAGAGCCATTATCTAGCATTTTCAGTGTGTGTGCACATGATGGTGGAGGGGGTTATTTGCAGTAAGGGTGAAGGTGACAAGGAATGGCTGTTACATAAGCAACAAACAGTCCTTGCTACCAGCCTATGAAAATCATTGCATTCTACATAAGTATGTTGTAGTTGCTGACTAGAACAAATCAAAGTCATCTTTATGTGAGAAAGATTTGTGTCATTTCCATACCTGGTATAGCCCTCCTCCTTCGTGAGCAAGATCAACATAGACATTGTCAATCACATAAAAAATTCATTTTGTTTCCAGTTTTATTCAGGCTTCTGAGAAGCTCTGAGACAAATTTATGATCCATCACTGGTAAGTAAGCATTATTTCTCATGGTCTACATTTTCTAAACTTCCAGCTTCATTGAACTTCCCCACCCTTAATTTTCCCTAAACTCTTCTCATGTAATCTTATTTTATTTCATTTTGACCCACTGTATATATTTTCAAGAGTATTCTTACATCTTAAGTCCTTTTGGAACAAGGCCAAGTCTAAATAATAATTTATTAACTACTGATGTTTTTATAACCTGGTATTAAATTATACTCGAGAATTGGGACTGTGTTTTGCTGATCTTTATGTATCCTATGTTTCCTTGTCTATAGTAGCACCCAATAAATGTTCATGGAATTGAATTGATTCATCCCCAGGGCTACTCGAGTCCACCAATCCTCTAAATGTGGTCTTCCTTTAATTTTCTAGGGGATTTTAGGATTACAGGCATCAACCAGTTGATCTTGTATGCACAGACAGATAACTGGAAAACAGTCCTTTCCATGCATGTGGTTCAACGTGTGAATTCTTGGACTGGCCTGAGATTGTTATATCAAACAAATGCTTACAAGTATTGATCTGATTTGACAGAATAGCAGCTCAGCCAAACCAGCACACAGCTGCCAGAGTCACACTGGGCCACAACAGCTGGAGACAGACATAGGAAACTAGAAATTATTCAGTTGCAGCCCCTCCAAACCATGTTTGACATGCTATTTATCTTCTCCCACTGAAACTCTCTCTTTCCAAATAAATGAGGGTGGGTGATAGCTTAGGGGTTGTTTACCTTCTACTGAACAAACAAGTCTGAATTAGGAATTAGAATCAGTGAGTCTAAAATGATGAACACGCTTACCCTAGCATTACTTAGAAAATGGGAAAAATAAATTAGATTACTACTTGGAAGGACTCATTGGTTTGGAGAGCAGCAGGGACTTAATTGCAGGTCTAAGGCAGCATAGCCTCCATTTTTCTTCAACACAATCTACAGCTTTCCTCAGAGCAATAGGCAGAGAGTGGATTCCTTAGAGAGTACTGTGATTTGTAGCAAGCCAGCAGAGACAGAGAGCAGGATAGGACCTGCAATTTGCCCTCTAATGACATGGTGATGTCACATTTTCATGGGCCCTGGGATTACTACCTAGCACCTTGTTTCAAACATTTGCTGTCTTGGAGGGCTCCAGGGCACATCTTTCTGTTCCATGGGATGTGTCAGAAGCAGCACAGTCACAGAACTGATGAAGTGAATGAAAGTGTTTTTGTTTCTCAGGCAGAGTTAACAGGATGCTTTACTCCATCAACAGCTGTCCTTGATACGGTATCTTTTTGTAGAATAACACATAACGACATAATGCAGTTTGCTTGAAATTCTAATTAAAATGAGGTACTTGTCTCCTGCTTCAGCCAAATGAAATTATGGAACAAGACTTACAAGCAGCAAGGACTCATTTCAACAGTGCAACTAGCCTGCAAAATCAGTCCCCAAGCAACAAACAAAGTCAGCTTTCAGAATTATGGGACTTAGAGGGTCTACTGCATCCACTAAAAGCATTTGTGTGTGTGTGTGTGTGTGTGTGTGTGCATGATTGTGCACACAGAGCAGAAAGCTAAGTCCTCTAAATAACATTCACATAACAGTCTTAGAACACATGTTAATATTGATGTGCAATATAATACAGTAGACGCTTCCTATGATGCCAGCCTCCTGTGACAGGGCTGAGGCTGACCTTTTAGGTAAAACCACCTTATAATTAGGTCCGTTTGTTACTTGAGATGACTGCTCTGGCTGAGGCCCAAGGTCCCCTGGTTGCACATTGCCTCATCCATACAATAATGATGTATTAATAAGGAATGGCATTCTTTGCTGCCACATAGTCCTCTGTGGGACTTCATTTGTTTAAAACCAAACTGTAAGAAACCAAAAGGCAGAAAGAAAGAGTGCAGGAATCCATGTCAGCTCATACCAGAAGAGTTTGTTGTAGACATGGCACAAATATCTTGCAATATAGTTTACCAAAAATAATATGCACTGATATATTCATATATAAATATATGTTAAAATATATTATATTATATTTATATTTATTTATATATTTATATTAAATATATAATATATATTATATATAAATTTGTATATATTTATATATTATATATAATACATTATATTTTGTATATTTAATGTCAGTAGGTATTATATTTAATATCAGAGCACCTTCTAAATGCCAAACACTGTATAGTTTACCCATTGCTTCTCAAAGAATTCCCTGACATACCATTATCATCCCCACTTAACATACGCAGGAGCACATTTCAAAGGGTTAGGTAACCTGCTCAAGGTCATGCAGGTAATAAGTGGCAGGTTCAGGGTTTGAATTCAGGCAGCCTATTCTGGATCCTAAGCTCTTAAATACAAATTCCAGTAGCCAGCATATATATAACGCTTACTTTGTATGGGGCACTAGGTGCTTTGTATTTGTGAAACTCATTAATTTCCACATTGATTTTATTAGGTAGATACTGTAATTAACCTTATTTTTATTGGTGCAATTAATGAAGTATACAGAGGTCATGTTACATTCTCAAGGTCATGGACTCGCAAAATGGCAAGGAGGAGTGGGCCAGGGACTATGTTTTAGCTACGATGCTATTCTCCTCTCCATACCATGCCATCCTCTGCCCGAAGGTCTGCTTGGGCAGCGTTTTGTTGGTTTTGAATTTCAGTGCTGTTTTTGTATCTTTCTTATTAAAACCATGAAAAGCCTTTTTTTTTTTTTAAATAAAAGGGGCTACTCACAAGTATCCCTTTGTATTTGTCTCTGCTTCTCCTTTGGGGATGTCAGCTGGCAGCTGAGAAAACAAATTTTAATTCTTTCATTGAGATAGGCTTAGGGCAATGGGGATATTACTGGACATAGAGATTTGGAAACCATTTCTTCTTTATAAGTCCCAGGTGGTTTGTTAGGAGTAAATGAGCGTCCTGCCTTAGCTATTACTCAGGCTAATAGGACAAATAATTCCATCCAAATCTGAGTGATTGAGTACATGAACAGTTTTGTTACAACAGCTGAAAACTAGGAAATCAAATGAGGTAAATTAATTTTAAAATAAAAGTGTTCCCTTAGAAGGGTCCCCCAGATGTGCAGAGCAACTGGTGCCAGCAACCACCCCATAATACAAAGCCAAAAGGCTCAGGAAGAGCCAGTGGTAGAGATAGCCCTGGCCACAGAGGCCATGGGAGGTGGGTCAGGGAAAGACAGGTTTCATCATTAAGCCAGAGGACTAAGTGATAAATTAGATTGGACATCTACATCAGTGTGTGCTTAGGGAATGCCAGTTCATTTTAATATTAACCTGTAAAAATATAATTAGCAAAATATAACTCCTTGCACAAACCTCTACGTTATACAAAATAGACAGAAATAAATGAGAAATATTGTCCGCACCAAGTTTACTTCTGAGACTGAACGCAGATGTAGATCAAAGGTTGAAGGAGCACATATAATCAGTGGCTTTTCATATATAACATGTATTTTTAGAGATGGGGTCTTGCTATGTTGCCTAGGCTAGTTTCAAACTCCTGGGCTCAAGTGATCTTCCTATCTTAGCCTCCCAAGTAGCTGGGACTATAGGCTTGTGCTGCCATGTCTGGCTGATCTTTTTAATAAAAAGATAAAAACACAGATAAAATACAAAACCAACAAAATGTGGCATATATAGATAGATAGATAGATAGATAGATAGATAGATTCATCTGAATATTTTTCTTCTCAGGAAATCTCTTTCTGCAAACTGCTGGTTACTGTATTCCTTCTCTCAAGTTATGGAATTCAAGTTATGTCTGGATTCATTAATACCTATGGCTTATTGGGCACCCACTATGTGCCAAGTGCTTTTTAGGCGTTATTATACTTATCCTCCCAACAACTCCCAGGAATCCGTTATATTATCCTCATTTTATGGGCAGGAAATGGAAGCTGAGTAAGGTTCAGTAACTTGCCCAGGGAGCTAAGTGTTTGAACTGCCCGGGATATAAACTCAGGGTTGTTTGATTCCAAAGTACTGAGCTTACTAT
This sequence comes from Homo sapiens, assembly GCF_000001405.40. Lineage (NCBI taxonomy): Eukaryota > Metazoa > Chordata > Mammalia > Primates > Hominidae > Homo > Homo sapiens. The sequence continues at coordinate 204,332,854 of NC_000002.12, read as the reverse complement.
CTCTAGCAGAACATATTTGAAAGGATGCCCTGACTATGAAACTGCAAAACCACTGGCAATACAGCAATATCACTGTAATATCACTGGGTAACCCTTTTGGAAGAGAAGTGGCTGTAGTTACTAAAATTGAGAAAGGAATTCTATATTAGAAATGCATGTTAAGGCTGGATGCAGTGGCTCACACCTGTAATCGCAGCACTTTGGGAGGCCGAGGTGGGCGGACCACCTGAGCTCAGGAGTTGGACACCAGCCATCCCAACATCCCAACCTCGCTTGTACTAAAAATACAAAATTTAGCCGGGCGTGGTGGCACAGATCTGTAGTCCCAAATACTAGGGAGGCTGAGGCGGGAGAATTGCTTGAACTAATAAGGTGGAAGTTGCACTGAGCCGAGATCGTGCCACTGCACTCTAGCCTTGGCGACAGAGCAAGACTCTGTCTCAAAAAAAGAAAAAAAAGAAATGCATCCTAAAGACATGCTTGCACATGGACTCCAAAATGTTCTGACATTTTCCTATTTCTGTGTAAAATAGGAAAAATGTAAAAAATCATATTAATAGTCAGCAGAAGAATATGCAAATAAACTATGATTCATCCTTAATATGGAACATTGGGCATCTGTGAAAGAGAACGGGAGAGTGCTGTATCTACTGATGGGGAAAAAACCTTCAGGTCATATTTAGTGGTCAAATTGAATTGCAGAACAATATGCATGATATGATCCCATTTACATTTTTAAAAGATATATACATATGTACGTGAATATTATAAAAGCATAGGATAAAAACTGGAAGGAAGCATATAATTTCCTGGGATGGATGTGAGAGTTTAGAAAGGATGGAGATGGAGAAAGGGCAAGGGAATGAAGGACCATTTTCAAATTTTGCTTTATAAGTTTATATGAGTTTGATGTTTTTAGAGTGATAAAGGACTCATTATTTACATAATAAAAAAGAAAAGTGAACATTTTAGCGACTATAGTCAAATGGCAAAAGTGTGTTTGTGTTTCCATAAACTTTGTTTTTTTTTGTTTTGTTTTGTTTTTGTTGTTGTTTTTTGAGGTGGAGTCTCGCTCTGTTGCCAGGCTGGAGTGCAGTGGTGCCATCTCAGCTCACTGCAACCTCCGCCACCCGGGTTCAAGTGATGCTCCTGCCTCAGCCTCCTGAGTGGCTGGGACTAAAGGCACATGCCGCCACGCCCAGCTAATTTTTGTATTTTTAGTAGAGACGGGGTTTCACCATGTTGGCCAGGATGGTCTCAATCTCTTGACCTCGTGATCTGCCTGCCTCGGCCCCCTAAAGTGCTGGGATTATAGGTGTGAGCCACCGCACCTGGCCGTGTTACCATAAACTTTTCAGATACGTTAGTGTACAAGATATTTCCTCTTTAAGGAGTTTGTTAAATTTTTTTCAGCCTCTTCCCCTGAAACCTTTAGCCAGTTTCTGCAATTTAAGCATATTTCAACAATGAATACTTAATAGAGTCATGCACTGCATAATGACATTTCAGTCAATGATGGATCGCATACAGGATGTTGGTCCCATAAGATTACAATCCACATTTTTACTGTACTTTTCTATGTTTAGGTACACAAATACCATGTGTTACAACTGCCTACAGTATTCAGTAAAATAATATGCTGTGTAAGTTGAGGCTATACCATATCGCTTAAGTGTGTAATAGTCTACAGCATCCACATTTGGGTAAGTACACTCTATGATGTTCGAAGAACAATGAAATCACCTAATAATGCATTTCTCAGAATGCATCCCTGTTGTTCAGCAATGCATGACTGTATTAATAATTATTTCAGATAAGAGTCTTAGTTCTGTTCTGTGATATGTTACAAAGAAGGAACAACCACACCAACAAACAACAAAAATCAGCAATTTTAGGTCCTCTGTTCAAAAATTCCACAAAATAAATGTGTCATTTGGAAACATCATATTGATAATTCTAGTGGCTCCTGGCCCAGGCAATAGCAAGTGGGGAACTCATTGTCCTATATTTTGAGGCTTCAGCAGGACAGTAATGAAAATTCACTAGAGAGTCTAATAAGCGTATCCATCTGATCTCCAAGGAGCCTCAAGCTTAAGAGGAGGAAGAAGACAGGACGGCTCTTCTAAAAAGTAACCACAAAAAAAAAAAAAACGCAATTACTTTTGCACCAGCCTAATAGAAGAAATGCCATATCCTTACATACGCCTCCCTGGGCATCCAAAGAATTCATATTCATGGGCATTCAGTATATTCAAAAAGATTTACCTGATGCTAAATCTTTGCCTGCAAGCCAGGGCAAATGTACCATGGGCTAGTTCCCAGCACTTCAGTAATTCTTGAAGGCTGGTGTTAGAGGTATAATCTGTGTAAGACTGGAAGGTCACAGAACACAAAGAAAGTTGTACCCCTTTGCACTCACCAAAAAGGGGAAAATGTGACTTTCTCTAGCTATATAAATAGCTGATATCAGGTCTGTCTGTAGTATTACCCAAGTGATGACCCATATTGACTAAAAAATAGCTGTGAAATTATCAGGCAGCTTGGGCCACAGTCTCATTATTTTGATAGTCCAAGCGTGGCCTTTAACAACATATTGTCATTGTCACATTTGTCTCAGGAACATCAGATGATGATGGCTATTAGTTTGCATTTTTGAAGATATGTCTAAGACATCTGACAAGGTTTACGTACAAATTAAAATAACAACAAGAATTCAGGCTAGTGGCTTGCCCTGCAATTGTCCAGGGCAATATTATAACCCATGATAACATTTTGCTCCCTGTTAGTTCCTATAGCAATGAAGAAAAATATCTGTAATGATAGTTCCTTTTGCTTTTAAAATGTGAAATGTGTAAACAAACAAATAGAATGTGCCATTTCAGACATACTTCTGCAACATGTAAAGATGCCGCTTTGGTTTTACCTCAGGGATAAAGACTTGTATATGAAAATACCTCACTCTTAACAATTCTAACACATCATGCTTATTACCCCCTAAATTCGGCTTTTGTTTTGTTTGCTGATTGCATTTCCTTCTAATCTGCAATTATCAATTTACCCATCCTGTTTTACTCTATCCTATTATCCATGTGTCATCTATTTAAGATTATTATCTCATGGAAAGCCACTGTCAGCAATATTTTTACATTGCATGCGAGAGACAGAGAGTTTGACGAAGAAAGAATGAGAGGACAGAGAAAATAGAATGGGCAATGGTAACCGAGGCTGTGAGAGGTGATATTATAGACATGACCTCACTTTCCTCCTGCCAGTCCAGTGGAGGTGGCCCCAGCATAAAGAAGCAAAGGTCTAGGAAGACATGTGGCAGACAGCAGAGCCAGTGGCGACTAGGGAGCGCCACCAACTAGCATACAAGGCAGGATTTCTCAGTTACCCCCTTGAATGTAGTTGCCGCCCTCTGCCAGTGAAACCAGGGCCCCGTCTCTCTTATCTAGTTTGTGCAGTGCTCAATGGCATGCCATGCACCAGAGGTTTGTTAAAATATATATGATGATGGTAAATACAGATTAAAATAAAGTGCTGAGAAGCCAAGCCTATTAACTCACCTTGAGGTCCTTGCCCTGGTGGAGAAGCCATGCAGAACAAATGGCCCTGTAACGCTCCAAGCCAAAAGCCCCCAGTGGGAAGACTTTGCGATCAGCATGTGCGGAGGAATTAACTGCACACTCCCTTTAATGTTCATCAGAATTGAACGCTGCTAATTTACAGCACTTCAGCACTTCGGGGCCCCTTAGAGTCTTTCCAATTATGCTAGTGAGGAGGTGACTGGCTTGTGATCCCCATGGTGAGACTGTGGAAGCAGAACTTAGCAGCAGAGGCCCGGGGTTCCAATGCACCCGTCCTAATGAAGCACATTGTTTGCTCCATTCTTACTGTCCACGACCCCCAGGCTTCCTGGGCATTTTCTTCACCCTGCTTTCCCGTACCCATTCTGGAATGGAGAAGCGGGGCAGTCACACAACTAACGCTGGGAGCAGAGTGTGTGTAGCCTTATATTTCTAGTTAAAAAGCAATAAATCCGAAGTCAGGTAATGAATTCCATTTTGAGTAATCTCATTATGGACATCTATTCAAAGAGTCCATATAGCACAGGCAGAATGACTGGAAAACCTAGTATAATGTGCTGGCTTTTTTCCCTGTGCCAAATTAACAGTGAAGGCCTTTTAAAGGATGCTTCATTTAGGCTCTCTTATTATCAGAAATATTATACAAGCTGGAGCTGAGGCCTGACTGCAGTTGCACTGCCGCGATAACTCCCAGTGTTGGATCAATGGCTGGCAAGATTCCACCGTCAAAGGAGCTCCAAGCAGCGAGGCAAGAGGCCCCAGTGCACTGTTCTCTCCTGGAGCCTCGAAGAAGGAAAGAATAGGAGAAGAAGGTCCTGGAAGTGTAAGTGGCAAGGGGATTTTCTCTGGGACTTCTTTCTAGGATCGTCGTGCAGGATCCATTTTTAAGGTGTATTGTACAGGATCTGTTTTATTCAATCCATCTTACATTCAGTTAGCCACTGGTTCTTCCTGGGGCGCTCATCAGTTATACCACCACTTTATAACTTTCAGCTGCTTCCCATTGTTGTCTTTAAAAAGTTTAGACTTCTCACCTGAAAATCACCAGGCTTCCCAAACTTAAATGTACACACCCATCACCTGGGGATCTTGTTAAACTGCAGTTCTGATTCAACAGTCCTGAGGGGCGGCCTGGGATTCCATGCATGTAGTAAGCTTCCAGTGGCCTATACTTGGAGGAGCAAGGCTCTAGAACATTGGTTCTCAAACTTGAACTTGCATTAGAATCGCTGGAGGGTTTGTTAGAAGAGAGGTTCTTGGCCCCGCCCCCAGAGTTTCCGATTCGGTAGGTCCAGGGTGGGACCTGAGAATTTGCATTTCCAGATGTTCCCAGGTGATGCTGAGGCTGCTGACCCAGGCAGCACAATTTGAGAATCATTGCTTAGAGTAATGGTTCTCAAATCTGGCTGCACATACGTATTATCTAAATAAAAATGAGGAGATTTAAAAACATATGGATTCTCACCTCTGACTCAGATTCATGAAATCAGAATTTCTGGGGATGAGGCCCCAGCATCGAAATCTTTTTTTCACTCCTTAAGTGATTTTTTTCAATATGGATTGAGAATCATTGCTCTAAAGCATGGTTTTCAGCACAACTTCCGTACGGTGTCTAGATAGGAAAATAAGACTATGCCCTTAGCCCCAAATTTGCTTTGTACTTCTGTATTTCAGAACTTTGGATTAAACTGGTTTTTCCTCCCTGAAATATCCTTCCTTATGCACTGTCAAAACCCCATCTGTCTTTCATGGTTTATCTCAAATCCCATCTCTTTCATGAGGCCTTTCTCCAGGTCTGCAGCCAGATGAGAGCTCTGTTCCTTGAGCTTTCTAATTCAATTCACAATTGAAATGCTTGTCCAGGCACGGTGGCTCATGCCTGTAATGCCAACACTTTGGGAGGCCGAGGCGGGAGGATCATGAGGTCAGGAGATTGAGACCAACCTGACTAACACAGTGAAACCCCGTCTCTACTAAAAATACAAAAAAATTAGCCTGGTGTGGTGGTGGGTGCCTGTAGTCCCAGTTACTCAGGGGGCTGAGGCAGGAGAATGGCATGAACCTGGGAGACAGAGCTTGCAGTGAGTCGAGATGGCGCCACTGCACTCCAGCCTGGGTGACAGAGCAAGACTCCATCTCAAAAAAAAAAAAAAGAAAGAAAAAGAAATGCTCACCTCCCTCATTTTGTCCCTCCTTCCTGTTCCCAGAATTATCCTGGGCAGCCTCTTTTGTAAAACCTACGCCCGTACTAGGGTTATTTATGTGTCTGTTGACCTTGCCCCACCAGCTTGCAAACGACTCACAGGCAGGAACTGTACCTCATTCATCCTGCTTGTCCTTCCTGAAGTGCATTGTCCTATCCTAGAAGAAAGTCCCTCACTTAGTACCTATTGAGTTGCTCTGTGCCTCTGTGGCCCTGGACATACACTTTCTTTCATAATATACACCACTTGTGTAGTTGCCCTAACCTTCTCTAGCAGATATAATCTGCTTGAGTGGAGGGACTACGCCATGCACATCTTTATATCCTCACATCCCTCTACCCTCAATACACACTCCTTTTTAGGTTCTTGCTACTCAAAATGTGGTCCACGGACCAACTGCATTGGCATCACCTGCAGCTTGTTAGAAACAGTCTCTCAGGCCCCACCCAGATCTACTGAATCAGAATCTGCATTTTAACAAGGTCTCAAAGTGATATGTGAACTCATTAAAGTTAGAGAGGAACTGGGCACCATGGCTCAGGCCTGTTATCCCAGTGCTTTGGGAGGCTGAGTTGGGAGGATCACTTGCGACCAGGAGTTCAAGGCCAGCCTGGGCATAGTAAGACCCCGTCTCTACAACAAATTTGCCGGGCATGGTGGTACATGCCTATAGTCCCAGCTATTAATACTTGGGAAGCTGAGGTGGGAGAATCACTTGAGCCCAGAAGGTCCAGGCTGCAGTGAGCCAAGATTGCACCACTTCCCTCCAGCCTGGGTGACACAGCAAGACCTTTCTCAAAAGTAAAATTAAATTAAATTAAAAAGTTAGAGAGGCACTTCTTTGGGAGGTGACATAGTAAAATATTTAAGAGAATGTGTCCTCGACTCAGACTATTAAGCTTGGGCAAGTTGTGTAAACTCTCTATGCCACAGTTTTCCCATCTGTAAAGTGAGAATATTAACAGTCCTCACCTCATGGTGATGTGGAAACGTTAACTAAAGTAATATGTAAGTAAAACACTCAGAACATTATAAGCACTCAATAATACATTATCAACTATTATTACTCAATTAAAACTGGTTAACTTTAATTGAATTTGAACTGCCACCTAGAATAGACAAGAAAATGAAACACAATTCTGTATGGATGTCAGAAACATGAAATATAAAATGTAATAAATAAAAATATTAAAAACCCCTTAGCAAATGTTAAGGAGCGTGTCAAATGATTCCTGTGTTGAACCTTAAGCATTTAGGTGGCTGGAGCCTTGAAAGTTACCATCCCCCAATTTTCTGCTGTGTCACTAGGTTTTTTTCTATTGAGCAATTCTTTCAGGTCGCCTCCACTCTGCTCTGCCTAAAGGACAACTTCATATAGTGCATTCGTGTCTTAGACTCCCCGATCTCCTGTAGCCTTTGCAATTACCTCGGGCCATGAAATGCGCTCCTTGCTTGGTTGAAACATATGCACACACTGCCCCCTAGGGGATATCCTCTGTCATGACCCTCCAAAACAAAAAAAAATCTCTTGGGGTGTAATTGGCTTCAAGGAAAAGGGCTGAAACCTTGACTGTAACATCCTATACCGCTTTGTAAATACTATTGGTCCACTCTAAAGTTAGGTAATAATAACATGCACTACTGTTGAGCCTTACTAGAATTTGTGAAATAGAACATGATATATGTGACCTGGATTTGTTTCCCTCAAATGTTAGGAAAAGGCATTAACACAGTGAGAGTCTAGAATGATAATCTACATTTGAAATGAATCCCTGTGTTTGTTGATAGAAAAAAATGACACATTCCTATCCCATACAGTAGATCCACAACTTAAGGTATTGAAGGAATGGCAGGGTAATGTTAGCAACATTATGATGAAATTCATTCAACAGATAATTATTGAGAGGCTACTATGTCCCCAGCACTTGTGGTTTTCACTGAACAAGAAAGGCAATCCTTGTTTTCATGGAGCTGACACTCTACGTAATATGGTAGTCACCCACTCTTGTCTCCCTGCTGTCCCCCTCAGCTTCCGGTGAGTTTTCCTTGGCTCTAGGGGGTGCTGACTTGCCTTGGGGTGGAAGACAAGAACAGCCAGTGTACCCTGGTCACCCCGAAAGCATCTCATAGACAGAACTCCGTTACAACCTCATACAACCTGATGGGTTGTTTTTCTGTCTTTTTTGTTTTCTCGTTGTTTATGGTAGGGTTTTGTTGTCTGTTTGTTTTATTTTGGTGGGTCTTTGCTCATTCCTGGCATCTTTCCAGGCCTTTTGGAGCCATACCAACTGAGTAAGAGAGTAGTATCTCGCAAACCAACCCCCAACCCATTGTTGTCGTCTGTCTTAAATCCTGCTTCATTCCGTACGTCTCCTGTGTCTTCTGCCAGGGCTTCCCTAGGTACAACTTCAAATTGAACATATCGTGGCTGCTCAAAATGAGAAAGAAACATTCAACAATATACAAGCTGCAATGTTGTCATACAAATGACCAAGAAAACATTTAATTTGGAGGAAAAAAGAGCTTAAGAATGGGTGTGTGTGTGTGTGTGTGAGAGAGAGAGAGAGAGAGAGAGAAGGTACTACAATACATCACAGCATGTGATCCTTATCTTGGCTCCGGAGTGGAGGAGAGAGAAGGACTATGAAGACCCTTAGAGCAAAAAAGTTTTGCCCACCATGCTGCTTGAGGCACACAGAAGAACCAAGCTAACTTCTAATTAAGTAAGGTCTCCAAAGTTACTAATGGATTCAGTTCAATGGCTCCATTTGAACCCACAAACTTACAATGTATTTCTTTCCTCATAAACTCTGTCACTATCATCATTCTGTACCTACCTTCTGGTCTCCTAAGCTGCCTCCTGATATTCATAATTCCCTCCTCATGGTCACCTTGAAGACATAATGGCCAAGCCTCCTCTGCTTTTGGTGTGCCTTGGAGATAGCTGGAGTCCCCTTGCCTACAAAGTTGCTGGGGGCAAGACTTGCAGTGACCACTGTGTGTCCCCCCATCCTTGAACCCATCCCTTGGGCTCCTCCTGAGATCGTGCTCAAGCTGATGGGGAGCTCTGAGAAGAAACCATCCCACCAGAGTGGCCTCACATGTGCACACATCCTGGATGTTTCTGTATGTCAGTTTCCTTCTCCTTCCTCCAGAGCTCTTTGGATGTTGGAGTGAGGACTAACAATGAAAGACTGTCTTGCCCCACCCAGTCCTATTTTCAATTCATTTCCTGAGCTTACATGCCATTTCCACCAACCAGCCACTCAGCATCCACAAATGGCTACCTCTGTGTCCTACTCTGGGTTGGGCCTTGTCTGTCCTGTTTTCTGTAGAATCTCCAGCACTAGAAGAACACCGAGCACAAGGCAAGACACTCAATAAAGAAAACAGGTAGGTACCTCTATGGAGCACTGACTGTGTATAAACTGTTCATTTCTTATTTAACTGATCCTCATAACAAACCCCAGTCTACGTCTGAGAAACAAACTTGAGTCTTACAGAGCCTAATAACGTGCTAAAATGTCACACAGCTGTATGTAACAAGAACAGAATTTAACCCCAGAGACCCTAACTTCAAAGCTTTTATCCACTATGCTGTGCTACTTCCTCTCGGAGGAAGGGTTGCTATTTGAGACTTTCTTGCCTCCTTGTTTGGGGAGCAAAGCTAATAAGTCAGTTCAGTCATTAGAGAAACCTCCAGCAATATAGGAGTTAAGAGCTGAATCTAGCCGGGCGTGGTGGCTTACGCCTATAATCCCAGCACTTTGGGAGGCCGAGGCAGGCGGATCACGAGTTCAGGAGATCGAGACCATCCTGGCTAACACAGTGAAAACCTGTCTCTACTAAAAAATACAAAAAAGAAAAATCAGCCAGGTGTGGTGGCAGGCACCTGTAGTCCCAGCTATTTGGGAGGCTGAGGCAGGAGAATGGTGTGAACCCAGGAGGTGGAGCTTGCAGTGAGCTGAGATTGCGCCACTGCACTCCAGCCTGGGGACTCAAAAAAAAAACCACAACTGAATCTAGAATTATGTCTTATTTCTCCCATCCTTCTCCTTTGGACTAAAGATTAGGTATTTCTTCCCAACTCTCCTCTAGATCAGTTGAGAACAACCAAGACCACCACCGCCAAAGCAAATGCCAATTTTCAGCTGGGGTCTCTTAGCTCAAGACAGAATAGAAAGCTCTGCAGCAGGCTGAGTGCCCCAGGAACCATCAGTAGGAACAGTGCCACTACTGAATACCCCAAGTGCTTGTCAATGGCTTCCTAACAAATGGCTTCATTTAGACTCTCCTACAGGTCAGCCGCTGCATGTCCACCCGAGACTGCTAAAGGTCACACTCCTGCACTCTCTTTCCTTTTCTGGAAAATGACCTTGAAACCGTAATGAGCCTGGAGGAAGCCAACCAGACAGGAAATAAACCCGCTTGGGTGCGTGTGCTTGTGGAAGAGTTTTGGAAGACCTTCCATCCCCTGGGAAAACACTTGTTTGATACAGTCATGGCCAGCTATTATTCGTGATCTCATTGGTGGGAAGGCTGGTGGGGATTGATTTCAAAATGAACTTTAAGCTAAGAGGGCAGCTAGGAGGTGGCTCTGAGAGGCTCTGTTGACAGGGGCCAGTGGTGATGTCAGAGGAGCTCGGGTCAGGAATTCTGGGGCAAGGGCAGAGTTGATGAACCTTATTTTTAGATGGTGTTGATATTTTTAGTGAAAGTCCAACAGCCTCTCCATTTTTGGTTGGGGGGATAGAGGGAGAAGGGATGACTTCCTGGAGTTAGTCATTTCCTCTGCTGGTGAAGAGATTTGGCGGTGCTCCTATGTCATAGGAAGTGCCTGGAGATGGTAAACACTGCTGACATAATGGGAACTTACACCATGGGTGTGTCAGAGCACACATATTCCTTCCTGGACCCTGGGCCAGGTGAGTGGGGGATGCTTCCTGTTTTTGGCTCTAGGAGGATTTTCAACTTCTGGGAGCTGCTCTGGAGAATAAATCACAAGAACTGCTGGGCTAAGCAGCTGAGGCCACAGACATCAGAAAGTGATTCGGTGGCAAGAATTGTGGAATGTGCCCTGGCAGTTCCCAGAACTGCCGAGTCATCTTATCCTCTCTGAGGTGTATATGGGGCCAAGTGGGTTTGGTTCCAATACCATAAAGCGATCCTCATCTGAAATTTGCTCGCTTGCCAGAGATGCCCTTAGTGCCTGGATCTCATCCATGACTAAATTCATTCAGCAGAGCCTCCTGATTGCGCCTCTGAAATCTCCTATGAGTCTGGTTCCTGCACTGTACCTCTCCAGATGTCCGTCACCTCTTGTATGGATTAGTAGATCACCCGCTCTCCCTGACAATGATCTCTTCCATGTGGGCCCTCCTCCACACTGCTGGTAGTAGGCGCGGTCTTGGAAAACACATAGCAACCTTGTCACCGTTCCCCTTCTCCCTTGTCCATAGTAGATATTGCTAATCGCTCACGGCACTTTAACTACTAAGCCCAGACATAGGTGACCACCCAGTCTTTCTTAACATTATCCTTCAGCTCTCATGACTAATCACTTGGAAATGGCATTTGACATAAAGTCAATTTGCTATCTTGGTGCTCGTGTTATCTTCCTAAAAACGAAATCCAATTGTGGCTTTTCTCTGATGTGAGACTTCCTGTCTTCCTAGTGCCTTCAAAATGAATGCCAACTGCTTGGCAGGTGCCTAGGAACTAAAGCATCTCACCTCTCCTTCCTGTGCGGCCTCATCTTCTCACCTCTCCTTTCCCAACTTCCACTTTTTCCCTATGCATGCCTTGGGGAATGTCACACTCTTTCCCAGATACACTTTGCTTTTCTGTGACTCCTGGGTTTGTATGGGGTGTTCTTGCTTTCTGGATTTTCCTCTTTCCTTTTTCCTAGCCATAAACTCTCATTTTTTCAAACTCTCCATATTTCTCTTCTGCTGTATTTCCAAGATCTCACTAGGCAAAGTCAGGCACCTTTTCTGTGTTCTCTTGGGCTTCTGTTTTTGCCTCTGTTAAAGCATTGTTATTGTAATATGTTCTCATGCTGTATATATGTTACAATATATTGTGGTTATTACATGAATTATATGCATTATAATTATGGTCATGCATTTGCTTACTTATTCAACACATTTATTGACTGCCTTCTATGTGTTGTGTTACTAATAGGTAAATTAATACGTGGAATAAATGTTTAATGAACATGTTTTTGACTAAACAAATAAATGATATTTCCTTGCTCATCGAAGATGCCATTAGCCCTTGTATTTCTAAAGTAGCTTCTTCAAAACCACAGGAGTCTGTGAGTGAAAGTCTTTCCTCAATTATTATAAAAACCTGTGAAAATAAACAGGTTTAAAACTTATTTTTACCAACATCAACCAAGATAAATAATTTTACATGAGTGCATATATGATTACATGACTTTTAGTCATATCTTTTCCCCTTTTTTGGCTTGCCTTTCCCTTCCCTCTCCATCCTATACACCTGCACCCATAGGGTGACCAACAATCACTGTTTACTTGAGACTGTCTCAATTTTAGCCGTAAAACCGCTACATCCTAGAAAACCTTTCAGTTCCAGGCAAACCAGGATGGTTGCTCACCCACCCCTCCACACCTCTATGTTTCTTTTTCAAGTAATCAATTTTTAAAAATCTACTGTATGATCTTCCATATCATTCTCTGTATTAATATAACACAGATTTGTAATTACCAGTGTTTTATAAAAGTAATCAATTATATTACATTACATTACATTACATCATTACATGACATTACATACACTTTTCCGCAACCTGACTTGTTCACTAACAAAACCTTGTGACCATCCCTCCAGGTTAACTGGCATAACTACTTCATTCTTTTTAATGGTTGCATAATTCTCCGTGGTGTAAATATTCCATAATATTTTGGCTGTTCACTTATTAATGAATTTTTGTTTCCAGTTTTTTTTTGCCTCATCGAACAATGATGACACACACACACACACACACACGCATACTTAAATAGCTTCATGTGTTGGTTCTTTCATTTCTATGAGCTAAATTTTCAAGAGTGGAATTGCTGAATTGAATAGTAAATGTTGTTTCAATTTTTATAATTATTGCTCAATTGCTTTTCTAAACAGCTGTAAGACACCATATTTCTGCCATTATATGTGTGAGTACCCTTTCTATCACATCCCCACCAGCTCACCGTCACTGGATGTGATAATTCTTACTAATTTGTCTATCTGATGGCTATAAAATGGCATCTCATTGTTACTTTAATTTGCATTTCCCTGACTATAAATGAATTTGAGCATTTAAAAGAAGGTGCTTGGCCATTTAGATTTACTTTTCAGTGATTTGTCCATTTGTGTCTTTTACCTGCTTTTCTACTGGATTGACTTACTCTTGACAATTTTAAAAGCTTTTTTGTATGTTACAGGTGCCAGTTGTTTTAAATCTGATATAAACCTTTTTCTCTAGCTCTGATATTTGACTGTGATTTTATTTATTGGATCTTTTGCCATAGGAATACTCTTAATATTTACATATTCAAATGTGTCTATCCTTTTTTATCTAGCCTTTGAATTTCTAGTCTTAGGAAGTTCTTCTTAACTCCTAGATTATATCTGTAGTTCTATATTTTTGTGAATTATTTTTTGTTTTACCTTTTCATTTAGGTACACAATTTTTATCTTGTGTAATTTGAGTGGTTTCCAGCTGATTCTTTTCTGGTCTCTGATCTCATTGATCCAAGTAGTGTTGGACCTCCCATATTAGCTGAATGATAGGTCATTGTTGGATGTTCTTCCAGGTATCCAGAGACCCAGGTGAGTCTGCCTAAGCCATCTCCCTCTTCTTACCCATACCCACACACCTTTCATTGAGTCTCAATATTCATCAAACTCTCCACAGTACAAATAACTCTACTCAAGGTTGTTAAATCACCTTTGGGCCAATATGACAGCAATATTTTAGAAACATAAATTGTAGTGTAATATTTATATTTTGAATTTTGGCCTCTTAACTTCTATTCCTCCTCTCTTTTTACAAAACAGTATTCTGATTTTCCTTTGGGAAATAGCTCCTTTATCCACTTTCAGTCATGTGCTTCTAGGTAGAGTTTCTCCATCCCCAGATGCAGGGGTGGAGCAGTGATCACATTCCTAATCCATTCAGCACACTGCCTTATTCCAGCCATTATGATGGCTCGGGAAGTTCACCAGTCAGAGCCAAGAAGACACAAGAAGACATTTTGCCGGGGCTTCTGAGAAAAGGAAGTTAATTTACCTTCTCTCTTTCCTATTGGTTACAAACAGATTTGAATACAGTAGTGGGATATGCTGGCAGATACCCTGGTATCAACCAGCCTAATAACAGAGCCAAAGAAGGAGAGTCAAGGAACGAGAGGTGAGAAATTGGGTCCTGATCCCTTGTATGAATGCTGCATCAAGCTGTGTCTCAAGTAGAATCTTCCACTGTTCAATTACGAACCAGCCAATTTTCCTTGTTATTTGAGATCAGTTTTCTCACCTCTTGCAACTAAATATCTTAATTTATATAAGACTTTTCTTCTCAGCTATAGTGACTTAATGAGGCCTCTGAAGGAATTCACTATATAATTTCCCCAATTATCATGCATGGGGCAGGTATCTCAGCTTGAACATAAACCACAGCCATCACAGGGACTGAGATATGTCCAGTCACCTTGTGAAGTGGTGTAGTAGGCCTGCCATGTGTGTGTTCACACAGGGGCTGAGTTGTGTCTGGAAGAAAAGCCCAGCCCCTCAAGGAAGGAAGGCAGGTTTATGTGCTTGGCCTGGTTGGGGGTGGGGTGATTCTGGGAATTGCACAGGGTTGTCCCTAGTTCCCTGAGTTGGAGTCTTCAGAGCGTGAGGACCATTTGTGAACATGTAAAGAATTCCTCACTGCAAATTTTCTAAGAGCCGACAGTATGTTTTGGTACTTTCTGTAGCCTACAGCACAGTTATAGAGACCAGTCCTGACGTCTCCAAGGTTTGAGAACACTAGAGCAGGTCCAACCATCTCCAAGGTTTGAGAACACTAGAGCAGGTGAAGGATGAAGGAGAAATAGCAGCAGTGGAGGCAGGATCTTGTGGGAAGACACTATCTGTCAGGATTTGGGAAGCTGAGTTGATAAGTGGGGCCTGGCTGGTGCAGCAGCACTCAACACCACTGGCAGTGGAGCCGGCGCAGGGCCCGCCAGACCCACGGCCTGCTGGCAGAGGGAAAGCAGGAGTGGAGAAGAGGAAGAAGCAGTGGAAGCCATATGATTACTCACTGGACCTGGGCACGTAGGAGATACCTCCTGGAGACTCAGAGAAACTGGATGATAAGGGGTGAGAGGAGTGAATTTGCAGAGAGCTCCACTTCTGTGTTGGGTTCTGCATCATTTCTGCAATATGGGAAAAAGATCTTGAAAAGTAAGTTATTGTCATAAATGACGCATAATGACAGGTTAAACTCCCTGCCCTGGTGACTCTGCTAGGCTGCTGGTGGCACCATGCTTGTTTCTCTCCTGGCTTGTGTCCCCAGACATGTTCTCCTTCTAAAATCCTACCCTCCTGGGAAAAAAGTCTCCTCTGATGTCTGCTAGGCAGAGCCCAATACACCCTCCTCTGTGTTCCCATAGCATCCTTTATATATGCCTTCTTAATACTTTTCAGGCTTTCTATAATTTGCTTACATACATGTCTCTTCCCCTACACTCTGAACAACTTGTGCTATTTTATTTTTCCTAAACCAAGCACAATGGGCACACAGTATGTGCTCAATAAATGTTTGTAGAACTACCAACTAGATTTTTTTAAAACTATTTTCTAAGCATGTCTTTGAGTGAGAAAATATTTGGATCCAGAGTCTGCTTGAACTGCTGCTCCATTTTATTTGTAAGAGTTTTGTGTGTTCAGTATTGAACTTTTCTTGTTATTTCTGCTTTACTGGGAAATCACAGCTTCTCTTATTATTTTTCTAGACAAGAGGGGATGTGGCTAGAAATTGAGGGCATCTGACTAGTTTTTTTGAATTAGTGACCTTAATCTCCAATGCCAGAATTAATCTTTCTTTTGTGAGGATCATTTAGCTGAGAAAGAGTTAATACCTACACTACTTCACGAACAAATTGCCTCATTCAGGAAGGGAAAAAAAAGAATTCTCCCAGGAAATTGGATGTCAGTGGATTATTCCCCCTCAGATCCATGGATTAGTGTGTGGGGGGAGGGCATCCAAGTGGAAAAAATGTAATATCAATGTATTTAAGGGCAGTGGCTGTTCTTTCTCACCACCTCAATTACGGGTCTCTATCATAGGCATCATATGATGCGTGTCTCACTACCTACTTCACTTAAGCCTATTATGGAACTTTTTTTGATTATTAAATATTTGAGAGCTCTTTAGAATTAGGATACACTTGCATCAGTGTTGCCTGAATCAGCGCTCTCATTTTTCTCTTCACCCAGACACCGGCAATTCAAGAATTCTTTAAGATGAGGAGGACCTTAAAATATTATTCCTTACTTTACAGCCTTATCATAAAAAGTAACTTTTATTCAGTGAAGATGTGTAGGCTTGTAAACTATATAAACATGTATTTTTTTCTTTTGTAAAGATTCACAATTTATGATGCTCATTGAAAGAGATAAATACTAGGCTTTGTAAGCCAAGAGTGAAGTTACAGAATATATTAAAAAAAAAAAACCTCTTTGCGGTATGAGTGCTCATTTTCCTTGATCATTTAAATAGCCCTGGATGCCTTGTAGAGAACCCTAAATGCATTCTTCATTACTAATGACATTTTCATGAAAGCGGATATTTCTTATTTAACAGTCCATCTATCTCTCCTGCATACTCTTTACCTTCCGCCACAAAAGGCTGTGGACAAGTTTAAGTTTTCACAAGGTGACTAATAGAATAATAGGCCTGATGAATATTCCAGGACCTTAGATTTTTCTCTTAAGATTGTCGATCCAAAAGTCCTAAGAACATTGGCCAGAGGAAATGTCTGCCTGTAAGGAAATAGATGGGGAATCATTAACAACCCCAGGAGGAGCCACAGCTATTGGTCTTTGAGCTCCTGAACACGTCAGTCAGAGTAAATGACTTGGTGTCATCTGAGATGTTTGAACGCCACCATCAAGGCAGCAGGTGTGATCCTGTGATGCCAGGGCTGGTCTTGAGAGTGTTGTGAGAACACACATACACAAAAAAAGTGGGGTTTCCCATTGGGAGGGGAGAAGGGGAGGTTCAGATGAACAAAGAGCAGGGTTTGGGCTAACACTGTGCTCTTGGATGATGCCTAGGTCTAGGCAGAAGATGTGTATAGCCTGTTTTCTAAATAAAATGATTTTTTCCAGGCATGCCTTTAATGTGCCAGCTGTTCATGTGTACACGTATGAGTGGTTTCTCAGGTGCAGTGGCCACTGAATCCAGGAGGTTTCCTGGCAAAACGCTTCAGTGGCCATTGGATGTTGGCAACCGGGATGCCTGCCAGCCCCAAACTAGCGGTCGTCCCAGTTTCTCGCACGGCACACTGCCCTTTGGAGGAATGGCACGTTACCAACTCCTTGGCATCTGAAAGGGATCAGACATAAATCTCACCAGCACACAGAGATGAAAGTGAAAATAAAGTGTGAGGAATCAAAAGGAAGTTGCAGAATGCATGGCAGATGTTGTTAGATTTGTCTAGCAAAGCCCACGTGCCAAGCATGATTGATGACATTCTTGGGAGAGGTTAATAGCTCTGGACGGTGCGGCTTGGACGTTTTGAAAGTAAGCACAGAACAAATGCGAGGGTTGCAGCAGGAATGGCCAAATGAAGCAAGTGGAATTTTCAAAACAAATAGCATGTCATCTGCTTATGTAACATCGATGGTTGAGGCAAATGAAAGGCAAAAGGTAGCCAGTGGTCCCTGTGATAGTTAGAGAGAGAAGAGTCCTTTGCATACTGACTCCCTTGAAGGTGACAGGTTTTGAGTGACAAGCAGGTTACTGTGAATTCTGCGGGAGGCAATGACATGCCTAGTTTACACTGTGAATATTTTGGCCTTAATTTATGCTGTGAGCAATGGGTGAGCCCAGGTCCATTACGTGCCTACTGAAGATGATTTATGTGGGTTTCATGTAGTTGGACTTTAATTATTCACATGATTATCAATAAAAAATAAGGGCCGAACAGTCTTGAATGTGAACAGGTTGGCAGGGCAAACAGCTGATTGTAACGACTGCCTTATTCTCCACATCAGGTATGAGAACAAATTCATAAGCAGGATTTACACTTTTCCTCCCTTTTTCACAAACATACAAACTGCCAACCTGTTAATCAACTCCCTGATGGCAGACAAATGTCTCTGGGAAACATGTGCCAAATATCAATTGTTATTGGCTGAAACTCAATAGGACAAAATGGATTGATGCTGCCATTCTATTCTGTGCAATGCAATTGCTGATCAATAGTGAGTAATTGGACATCATTCTGTGAAGGCGCGAATGCTGAAACAGGAATATCGCCATGAGTTATGGTGCATATTAATCACTGTCTAATTGTTTCATCAATGCAACTTCCTTCCAACAACCTGCTATGGTAGTTAACTATATTGGGGGGACCCTCCCATTTTTCCCTACAGGTATTTGTTTGAAGGCTAAAACTGCATGACTCAAGAAATCATGGTTCAGTGGCCCCCTGCACATTTGATGTGGTGTGAGCTTCACTATGGCAAGAAATACCCCATAGCATGTAGAGTGGGCTAAAAAACGTTCCATAAAAACACTCCTCTCCCCTTAGGAAAAAAGACAAAATGGGAATGAACTAAGTAACAGGAATTCACCTGGAATGTGACTTCACCCCCGAAGCAGCATTTGTTATCACTCTTGTTTTCCTTCTCTCACCTGCGAAATTTCCAGAGGACCAGCAGGAAGAGAGAAAAAAAAAAAAAAAATATATATATATATATATATATATATATATATATATATATATATATGCCTTCAAGAGTCAGGCCCTAGAAAAAGTTGAACTATTCTGAAAATAAAAATGAAAATGCTCAGTGGTATTCCCTTTTGAGATTTTGTTGTTTGCTGCAAACGCAGGTTCCAACTGTGAGGCAGTTGGGTGAATCTGGGGGTCCTCTGCCTCTCTTGGACTGCTTTTGCTGCCGGGATTGCTGGTATGTTGAACTCCAGAGGTTTATGTAGAGATCACTGCAGAATAAAGGCCATCCTGTTATTCTTTCCTCTGCCTTTTCGGGAGCAGGCTTTCCCTGAGTTTGAAGCTTTCATGGTAATTCCTATCTTGATTCTCTAGCTATTCACTCACTCCTTCCATCAAGAAATTCTTTTCTCCTTCTTTTCTTTGCCTAGTATTTTTGGGATAAATCCACTTTTACATTAGCAAGAGGGAAAGCCTGACTATAGCCACAACTGGATTTTTTCTGGAGTAGAATCCCAATGCAGTTTCTCTAGTAAAACAACACCAATACCTTGGAAATGACCAACTCCAGGACTCCAGGAAGTTGTCTCACCATGGGAGGCAGTTTTGAAAAAAGAAAATGACAGGGAAACTTGGAGGGTGGCGGGAACACACACAGTGGCAGGACAATGGCTTCCCCTCTGTGTGAAACCCAGGCCCCTTGGGAACTGGCTCTGGAGTAGTGATGTGGTTTCTTAATCAACACTTTTCCAAACAGACACTCACCAAATTAAAGAGACCTTGCAGGAAGAGAGAGGAGGAGGCTGAGTTTCCTACAGCATGTTGTAAGGACTCATTCCTCAGAACTTGTGTCAGGGTCTCTTTGCAACTTTCCCTGACTGCTTTTTGAAGCCATATGAATCCCCTCCAACTCCTTTTCTTATGAAAATTATCTGAGAAGGGTTGGAACAGGATCATAGCTTGTTCACCTGGATCCCACTGCGCCAAATGCTCGATTGGGAGCTCTGATGTGTGCCCAAGTTTGAAATTCTAGTTGGAAGTCCTTGGGTTTGTCAGACGATCAGGAAATATTCCAAGGCCAGATTTCAAAGTAAAATCCTCTCCACTTCATTCTTGACAGTGTGTTAGAGATACGGAGAGCGTAGCTGTACTTTGTCAGGCCTGACTCTTAGCTCCTACAGAAATGAAATAAACAGAGAAATATTGAGGGGTTTATGTAAAAAAAATACCTCCCCATAATGATGTTTTCCACTTATATAATTGTTTGCACTGTTGAAAGTATTTTCATGTTTTCTTTGATATTCATAGCAACTGAGGTCAGTAATACAGGTAGTTTGGGCTCCAATTTATGGGTGAGGAAACTGAGGTGGAGGTCTTTATCTTCTCAAGAACAAATAGCTTAAAAAGATGGAATTATAATTGAGATTTGTTTTGCCGTTAATCCTGGTGTTTCCTCCTTTTTTAATGCTTCTTCATACAGTTGTGTGTAAGTCTAATTTAAATGTCTTGAAATTTTTTTTTAAATACCTTCTTAGTTCTTAAAACCAAAAGATACTCAGAATGAGATTATCTGGTTGTATCTCCTCCACCCCCTCCCCCAAGTGTTAGGTAGGACCTTTAAATCATTCGAGACAGCTAAGAACATCTATTTTTAAATACCCCAAGAGAAGGAGATTCTTCAACCCCTATGGGTAACTTTTCCTGATGTTTAACATTTCTCAAAGCTAGGAAATTCTTTCTTGTGTTCTAAATCCCTAATGCTGCAGCTTGAATCGGCTTCCTCCCAGTTGGTCTTTGCGGAGATGCTGAACAGCTGGCTGCGTTCCTCGACGTGAGAGCTTTTCAAAGAGTAGGGAAAGACTGTTAAGTCATTCCTCCGCCTTCTCTTCCACAGGTTCAGTAATCCCCACTCCTTTCACTATTTCTCATAGGTCTCATTTTCCAGGCCTTTAATCGTCTCTCTGCCTTCTCCCACATAACTCAAAGTTTCTGTTGAGATATTGGGCTGGAGAGAAGAGGCCCTTTGTTCTTGGGGTGGGGGATTCTGGTAAAGGGAGGAAAGCACCAAACCTCATTAGGCCAGCACTCACTCCCCCTCCGAGTGCTGATGATGTCCTCGCACTGGCACTCAGAAATCTGACATTCTCAAGGAATTGGACGGGTAATTAATTAGTAAATTAAATGCCAAAATGCCTCCTGAATAACAACAGGGTATTTGGCAAAAGCCTTCTCGAATATCTTTATTCCTATTCAGTGTACCCACTTCTTTAGCCTGCGAAAGTCTCTAAAACTATTTCAAGAGCTCTTTGAAAATGACTCGCTGGAGAATCTTTTGGGTTGGAAGATTCCAGAACACCATTAGTTAGTTAACATTTCCCATGTTCCTGACATCTTTACTATAATACAAAATGAGTCCACTAAGTCACGGGCTTTATATAGCTCCATGATTTTTCTCCTGCATTTTATATTTGGCCATTGACTTAGTATGTAATTATTATAAAAAATCACACAGTGAATAGGACTAAGACATCAAGAAGCTTTAAATAAAAGAACAAAAACTATGGGATACCTTTGAACTTGAGACCATTTCATGTTCTTGCTGAATGCCTTGAGAAATAGCTACAGGTGTTCCTTGAACAAGGTCAGAGTGTCACACGGAGGATGTGGTGATAGAAATGAATCCATTCAAGGTAGCTCCTAAGCATGCTGGGCATCTGTTACACATCTAGTGTTGGCTGGGTGAGCAGCAGGTCTAGGGGTCTTTAATTCAGTGACTGTCAACAGCCACATAACAACCATGATAGGGCTCAAGTTGGCACCTTTATGACAACTTTAGTCAATAAGCTAAAGCCTGAAGACCATTGGCACAGTGTTTGGTGGAGGATTGAAGAAAAGTAAATGCACTGTAGAAGGTCTAAAGATTCCTGGTCAGAATGATCCCAGCTGGCCTCATTAGTTGGTGGTAATTTACATCAACATGCCCTCCCAAAGACTTTTTATTTATTTGTTTAGCCAAATAGGGTTACTGAGAGCCATTTGAAAAGAGGAAATAACATGTGCTACATAAAATTGTATTGTTTATTGTGAAAAGTGATTGATAAGGAAGATAAGATGGAGGTTTTAAAAATATCAATTCACAAGACCCGTTCACAGGGTCACCCCAGTGACCTTTCTCTAAGCAGGAAACAACTAACCCACTTTGTTTATCTTCTTCATTAGGACCAAATGACCCTCTTCAAACAGTGTCATGTCTTTTCTACTGGTTCTTTGGTGCTTTCCAGGGGAGTTCAACAAGAAGTAAAACCCTGAGGTTGCTATTAACTGGAAATTTTATTCCCCACTCCTGCTTAAGACTAACTAAGCGGAACCAGATTGTGAGAACTGGGCCTCGGCCGGGGGTGGTGGCTTACGCCTGTAATCCCAGCACTTTGGGAGGCCGAGGCGGGTGGATCATGAGGTCAGGAGATCGAGACCATCCTGGCTAACACAGTGAAACCCCGTCTCTACTAAAAATACAAAAAATTAGCCGGGAGCGGTGGCGGGCTCCTGTAGTCCCAGCTACTTGAGAGGCTGAGGCAGGAGAATGGCGTGAACCCAGGAGGCGGAGCTTGCAGTGAGCCGAGATCGCGCCACTGCACTCCAGCCTGGGCGACAGAGCCAGACGCTGTCTCAAAAAAAAAAAAAAAAAAAGAGAACTGGGCCTCATGAATTCTTCCAGACTTCAACCCTTTTATATGGCTACAGGGCCCTGGTACTTAACAGAGAGCAAGGCAGTTTCCAATTCAGCATTGAGGATGATCTGAACATGGACAAGGCTCACCTGCCACACAGCATCCAAGTGAGGCCAAAAGCCTGGCAGAGTCGCAGAAGTACAATCACAAGAGGGGATTGTCTGCCCTGTGCGGTCCATTGCAAAGGTCTTTGATGTTGGCTGGACATTAGATCACCTGGGAATTTACAAAAATAATGCATCCCTGGACAATGTCTCCTGAAAATGATCAAGATTTCCTTGAAGCCAAGGTTGAGACTGACTAATGAGACAATCAGTGTCAAGGGGATTCTTTAAGGTGGCTCCAAAATTTAGGATTTGGAGGCAGAGAGAGCCCTTAAGTACTGAGAGAGCTCAAGAAATAACTAGGCTCTTTCTCTACTTGTCCTTTGTTCTTCTCATTATATGCCATCTCCCTCCCTCCATCCTTTTGCCCTCCTTTGCCCTCTCTCCCTCTCTCCTTTCCCCCTCTTCTTCCTTCCTTCTTTCCTTCCTTCCCTCCTAACTTCCTTCTTTCCTTCCTTCCTCTTTTTCTTCCTTTCCTCCCAGGACATGAAGGAAGTTTGGGCAGTTTTGGTGGGGTAAGTCTATGTGGCAAGCAGTACCATCTCCAGGCCACAAAGTTTAAATGAATCTGCTTCAGGGTCTAGGTGGCTGGATAAACAGGTGCTCAGGTGACAGTACCAGGCTTCAATACCCAGCCCAATGTCACTGTTCCTAGGATGCTTTCCCCATCTCCCCCACTTAGAATTAATCTCCCCTTCCTCCAGCCTCCTATCTATAACACATGGGCTTTGCTTTTATTCTAGAAGTTCTGTTCGCTTCTGATTCTCTGTACGTGTCCATATGGTGAGGTGAATTGAGGCTTCTAACCTCCATTTCTTCCCCTCTCCTCCCTATCTGATTTGGGACAAGATGCTAAGTCAGGCAGGGAATAAATCTGGTAATTAGTGAAAAGTGACTAGAAAGAATCCAAATGTATCAGGTAGATTATATGTGTAGTCCTCAAAAGAAAGATAATTATCATGGCAGAACTATTTAATGTTACAAATCTATAAGTTAAAATATAATCAGCTCCAAGACACAGGCAAATGTCTCAATCACGTTGGTATTCCCAGGGCTCAAGGTATTGACTAGCACAAAGTAAAAATCATGACTTTAGTGAGGGTTAAGAGGTCAAGTCGAGGATCTGGCTGCTCACGTTTGAATCATGGTTTAACTACCCTAACTACCATAGTGAAGCCAAGGTAATGCCCAAGTTACTTAACTTTTCTAAGCCTCATCTTCCTCTCTATTAAAGGATCTAGAAAGAATTCCATAGAGTTTGTTTGTGAAAATAAAATGAGGCTCTCCATGTAAAGGTTCTTAGCACACTGCCTAGCACAAGTAAAGGCTCACTGTTTGCTATTATTATTAAAATATCTGTACAAATGAGCATGTGTCAGCCTTAGCCATGCCTTCTTTCCTTTGCACACCTCATCCAGCTCTCCCAGCCAGTATGAATGGAAATGGCATTATCTTCTGAGCATCAATTGCCTTCCTGTTCCTGTCCCTTGTCTTTGGGAGGTGCCTTTACCTCAAACAGCTTCTTTGGCCCTGAACCACTTCTGCTTACAGCCATTGCTTACGATTTCACCATTTAAGGGTGTATTCATTTTTTACCTGGATTCACCTGAATAAACATTCTGCAGCATGGAGAAGGGAGTGCATGCAGTGGCCTGCTCTGGACCGCACATGCCCTTGGCATAACCATGGCTGTCAGATTGGCTTAGAAGTCCTGACATACGACGCCACATCTTCCATTATCTCTCCCTTCCTTTAGCATCGAATTTATTCTCACTACACTGTAGTAATTAGATAAATATCTGCTGGATACTCCCAGACATCTGTGGGCAGTTTTGATGATTTAGAAGGGATGGTACTAAGCCATCTGATTGGGGACAATGCAGTCCTAAGTCAGCTGACTGGGGGAAAGTTGGTCCTAAACCATATATCCCTCCAGAAATTACCTTTAAATTATGCATATCTTTTCTCACTTCTTGGGAGAAACCCAGTGTGGTCTTTCCCTTCTAAAGGCAAGAAACAGATAAGAACATATGAGGTTTTGTTTCTTCTTTTCTGTATCTGTGATCAAAGCAAGAACAATATCCCTGAAGTTCAGGGCTCAAGGGTTCTGGACTTTAGAATCAAATCTCTCTTTATAATTTTCTTCTTCAGGCATTTCCAGGGGAAAATCATTTATTCTTGGTACAAGTGAAAAACGTGTTTGGGTTTGACCTGCTTAATTCTCCCTAAGTTAAACTACATGTGAATAAAGAGGCTTTTAAGGCAGATCCATGATACATTAAGAAACCAGAGCTCATTAAAGAAAAAGAAGTCCATGACAAGATTCCCTCCTGCCACCCTTTTGTAAAAACCCCATTTTAAAGATAATAAAAAAGTGATTTTTCAGTGTAATTTCACCCCTACTTGGGTGTAAAGGGCACAGAACCTTTTGAATAGCAAAAATTTTAAAATCCAGTGTCTTAAACTCAAATGCAATCTCTTTCATTTCCTTTCTGGCGTAACAGTGCTTCTGAAATCTATTTTACTGGCGTGAAGAAAGGGGTAGAGAAGACAGTAAAAATCCTGTGTGTTATCACTAGAACACCATAGGAATTCATTTGCTTCCTTCGAATTTACATACAACTTCCACTTAGTGATATTCCCTCTTTCTTTCTTCATGGTAGTTTTTATTTAATTCTATCGCCTTGCTGTTAGTATATACAAGGCTATACCCAGAAATTCCCAATCTTTTTTTTTTAACTTTAGACTTTAGATTTATTTAGGACTGTTTGCATGTGTTTCTAGAATATTTACTCTAAAAAATGACAAGACAGCTCCCCCTCAGTGAGACCCTGGCCTAAATATATATGCTTTATTTATATAGTGAAAGAATAACATTAAACACGGAAGCTCTCAATGTATGGCACTGAATGATGATCTACACAGGGCATCCTTCAAAGGTTGCAATTAAGGACCCACCTAGCTTTTCAGCAATACAAGCCCGATTGAGATCTTCTGGCCCATTCATGTTTATGCCTTAAAATTCCTTTTAGATTGCATCTTTGGAGCTTGCATAGCTCAGTTTACTTTTCATAGGTTCTAGTTGGGTGCCCACACACACAAAAAAAATTTTAAAAACCCCACAAAAACCCATCAACTCTTCTTTTCTGGATTCCTTAGTTTCAAAGTGTGCATCATACAAAGCATAGCAGCAATCGTTTTCAGGAAGCATTCCCACAAAATGTTTGAAAGGACCAGTTGTGGTTACGCCAACATCTCCACCAAGATCTCTGTGCCTTCTTCTACCATGAAGCACTTTTTGCCTGCACTGAAACAAAAAAAAATAAAAATAAAAATGACAGCCTTCTTCCTTTTCTTGATTTCTTCTGGTGTGGAGCATTTCCAAACTTTCATGTCATAAAAAATGCAACATCATCACTAACTTGCACTCCTGAGGCCATCTTCTCTGCAGTAGTTGCAGGGTCGCAGGACGAGAGAGCCAGTGGGCACTGAGCATCCTCCTCAGGGCTGTGGACCAAATCTTACCACGAAAGAATTTTCTGAGCCCTCCATGGTCACTGACCTCTCATCCATGCCTGCCTGTTAAGTAGCTTCCCTATCCCAGGAATTTAGCCCCACCTAAAACCAACAGTATGTTTTAGAGTTAAGAATAAATGCAGCCAGGCGCAGTGGCTCGCACCTGTAATCCCAGCAGTTTGGGAGGCTGGGGCGGGTGGATCACCTGAGGTCAGGAGTTTGAGACCAGCCTAGCCAACATAGTGAAACCCCATCTCTATTAAAAATGGGAGAATTAGCCGGGCATGGTGGCAGGTGCCTCTAACCCCAGCTACTGGGGAGGCTGAGGCAGAAGAATTGCTTGAACCTGGGAGAAGGAGGCTGCGGTGAGCCATAATCATGCCACTGCACTCCAGCCTGGGCAACAGAGCAAGACTCTGTTTAAAAAAAAATAAAAATAAAAATAAATGCACACATATATTCTTTAACATCTCTGATCTTAAGACTATACTCTAATCAGAACTTATGGAAAGAGCATGGAATTTGGATTTAGAGATATGGAGGTTTGAATTTGTGACTTTATACAAACGGCTTCACCTTTCTGAGCCTCAGTGTCCCCATCTGTAAAATGGAGATGATGATACGGATGTACTGGTCAGGATTCTGGATTCCTTCTCTCTTCCTCCCTCTTCTGTCCTGTCATGCATGACTGTGAGGAGACTGCTGTCCTTCCAGGCATCTTGATCTTTCACACAGACAAAAAGGAAGATGGTAGGTAGCAGGTAAAGGGCACAAGCCAACTGAATCTGTCATTTCTTGTCTGAAAGCAATAGCTTTCCAGAGAGCCTTCCCCAGGGAATTCACACTTACTACTCATTGGCCTGAGTTGAAGCACAGGGTCTCCCGAAGCTCTGAGGAAGCCCAAGAAATCAAATTTGTTTAGTTGGGATATTGTCCATCTGAACAAAAGCAGGCTGCTATGCATTTGGGAGGATAAACGGGAAAACGGATCCTGGAGGCCATGGCAGTGTTTACATCGGTCTACTTCACAGCATCATTGTGAGCATTACATGAGACATTTATGTAGAATGCTTAATGCATCCAAGGAGCTTGTTAACAGGTCGCTTCACAACACGACTTTGATGGGACCACATCCCTCACGTGGCCATGAGTGTGGATGTTCAGGAAGAAAACCAAATCCACACTGAAGGATTCCACAGGGGACTATGACACCTTCTGTCAACACTCTTGACCTGAATTCCCAGGCCTGAGGAGACTCATGTTCAGGGTGGTTAAGCCTCTGTCCCTGAAGCCACTCCCACAGGTGAGGAAACAGTGGGTCTGCCAAGACCTCGGCTGGTTTCAGAGCCCTGCACCATCCTCTGGGCTTGCCTAATTCTGAATATAATAATATGTTGATAAAATACCTTGTCAAGCTCCACAGCGTTCCCTGCCACACGATCTTTTTACACTTCTGCTTCATAATTAAAATTGAAAGAACACAAGCCCACTGGACCTGTCATTAGCATGTGGAGTGGCTGCCACGGAAGGGACGTCATGTTTGATTTCTAGGTCTGGCCCCACATGCTGGCAGGAGCCCGGGGCCTTTGTTCACCATGGCGATTCAACCTCCTCCAATTTCTTATCAAGCAAATGTGTGTGCATGAGGTGCCGTTTTTTTGCTCTTGCTGGCGAGTTGTAGGATAGAAGCCCTGTGATGGAAGAGCGGGGAGCGGGAAGAGACTTGCAAGAAGAGAATAACCTGAGAAAGACACAAAACTAGGATCTCACACACTGGTAAGAAAAATGGAGCCCTTCAGGCATTCACATGCTATTCACACAGAGTAGGACATATTCACAGTATCTTACGGCTTACATTTCTGAAATACCCCAAGAGCTGGGAAACAGCAGAAAAATACATATGTATACATATGGTGGGGGTGGGGGGTCTCTATTTCTGGCGTGAATCTTGTATCATTGGGACATAAATCAACCTTCTAGGATTAGAACCTATAACTCAAGCATGAAGCTACCAACCCCATGCACCAAATTTGGCTAGATACTGCCCGCCCCTAGGAAGAAAGAGAAAGCTGAAGTCTCCTGCATTCAACCACAGCTTCCTGTCCTTCCAAGACCCTGAAGAGAGTCAAAATCTAGTTAGTCTTTTCAAATGACAGCGAAACCCTGCCACAGCTGATGGAAACCAAGCCATGTCCTCTGTAGGCCCCGCTCTGTTGCAGCCTGTGCAGGAGGAAGGGTGGGCCGATGGGACAATTCATAGAGAAAACTTCAAGTGGAAAATCTTTTATACCCTCCAACACAGTATCTGGCTGAAAGCCAGTTATTCAGGTGCCAGAAACAGCTCTGTGGGTAGCAGCGAAGAGTGCAATCTAGAGGCAGGGAAGGCATCAGAGATGGTTTACACGACACATTAGTCTAGGCTATTCTTGTATCAAGTGACAGAAGCTGTATTCAAACTGACCTCAAGGAAGTTAAATAAGTAAATAAATAAATAACTAATTTTAAAAGGGATTTGTTACCCCTGTAACTGGAAGCTACAAAGGAAGATTCAACCGCTTTAGGCAGCTGGGTCCGTGGGCCAAACAAAATGGATTTGTTTTTCTCTCTATCTCGTGACTCTGCTAACCTCTACCTAGCCTTATTGTCATCTGAGCTGTCTCCACAAGACAGACACTGTAACTTGAATTTACGTTTTCTCTGGCTTAGCAGCTGCACAGAAAGAAAGTGTATGTTACTCATTGTTTTTCAGAAATGCTAGGTAACAACCACAAAATCTCAATAGTGTAGGAAGAATTTATTTAATCAATTTGAAGGTTGACTGTAGGGAGGCTTTACTTCATTCTAAGGCAGCCAGAGTAGCTTTGTTCCATTTGTGTTCATTCTTGGGCCAACGATGAAGGAATAAAGCTCCCCTGAGGAAGCTTTTCTCAAGTCAAAAGCAGAGGTACAAATCCCAAAGCACAAGCAAATTTCAAGCCCTTGCTCACATTATGTTTACTAATATCCCATTGACCAAATAAGCCATGTAGCCCAGTCCAAAGCCAAGGGGCAAGGAGATATGTCTTACATTTTAATTGGAAGAACTGCAAAGTTACAGGCCAAAGAGTGTAGATAGAAGGAAGAGTAAAGAGCTGGGACTAATCAGTCATCCACAGAAGACATCTCTTTTCCGGAATCCAGCTATCAATCTCAGCTTACATGCAAATGGGCCGCCTTGGTTGAGTAACATGCCCATCCTTGAACCAATCTCTAGGATGCAAGTGGGGAACTGAATTGCCCGCCTGAGTGATCCAGTGCATTCTATGGAAGTGCTGTTAATGATGGACAACAGGGCATTAGAATTGATAGCTCCTGGGGACGACATGGAGTGCAGGAAGAGCTCTCCAGAGGAACAAGAAAAAGGGACATGAAAAAGCAGACTTAGTGGATAGGAGCCATAGCTGCCACTGTTCACTGTAAGAATAACTGTCTGAACAATCACATGCAAATTGGTCACTACTCCTTGACTCCTCTGGAAGTGTCTCTGAAATGCGGGGAGGTAGGGAGGGAATAGAGCAGGCAGGCGAGGTATATGCTTATGATTCCTTGTCATGAGCTCTGCTAGTGCCATGTTCAGGGTGTCCACATGTATGTATTCACATTTATGCATACAAGCATATACATGCATACATGTATATTAGCATGATCCAACCTATTGTGCTAAAATCATGATTCTAAGTATGGAGTTAATATTTTCTGTGACTGTCACTATTACTATGGGTACATAACAAATTATCCCAAAATGTGGTGGCTTAAAACAATGGCAATGTTTTTTGTTTTGTTTTTGTTTTTTTTGCTAGCAAATCTGCAATTTGGGCCTGGTAGTTATAGTTCATCTCTGTTCCAAGAAGTGTCAGCTCAAAGGCCTCTGAAGTCTTACTTGGAGGAAGGCGGCAGATGTTAATAATAGAACAATAAATTCAGCTAATTTTTTCAGCCTTTCTGAGCCTTAGTTTCTTTATCCACAAAATGGGAATGCAAATACACATTATGGTGTGTATTTTTCACAGTTGTGAAAATTAAAAGAGATGATTTTGATAAAGATCCTAACCCAACAGAGTGTAGTAATCTTTTCTATCCTCCCACATATGCCTTCGAGGGTGTTCTTGAGTTATTTATGGTGGTTGGAGTTATGGCCACAATTTCTCCCCGAACATTAGGGCATAGAGTGTAACCCCTGCTATGAGTAAGTCCAGAACGGGAATCTGACCATTAGCAGACAGGACCCAGTGCCCTTTAGATCTATAGAGCTTTTAACTGAAGTCAGTAGGTTGTCACCTAATTGATAAGTGAAGGGACACATGAAATGCTGGGAACTAAGTTTATGTTAGTACTAACTTTAATACAAAAGTTAGCTTAAAATTGACAATGGTTCGATCCTTCCCAAAATAATGTGTAAAATAATGTGAAAACATAGACGTAAGAAAGAAGCAATTTATCCAAATAGTGTCATGATCTAAAAAGTTTTCTTACTTTTTAATCTTTCTGTTTGACACGTGTAAGTTCGTATGAAAATGCTGTCTATTGGGCCAAACATCATCTATTTGGGGGCTGTGCTACATCTCTCTGACGAGGAGCCTTTCTTTTGACACTTCTCAAATCATTTTTGAGAAAATTTTCTCAAAAAAATTCATTTTTTTCTCAGAAGATACAGTTTTCTTTCATGAGAGGTAAAATTTTATTGCCAATTCCTCCCAATCCACTTTCCACTTTTAACGAAGAATTATATTTTTCCAGGAATGGGTAACTAAATACAAATGTGCATTCTTCACTGATGCAGTTAACTAGGACTCTGGAAAGCCCACAATCCAGGAATCATCAACTCTTTTCCTGGGCCTCCATTCTTGCAAACTAAAGCTCCACAGTGATGGTTTCTACCTTATTCATTTGGGCCTAAAGAACTTTAATGGAAGATGGAGTTTGCCTGGGGTCATCTTAAGAATTTGGTTAAGAACCTGCAAATAGATTTTCCAGGCCACTCTGGGAAACTACACACAACAACAAACCTGGTCTCTTCAAGGTCCTTTAGTTTGGGATCTGCCTAACATAAGCTCAAACTCCAAGGGCTAATCAACACTCAAATTGAGGGTAAGAAATGTTGAGAGTAAATGAAAAGGAATTTGCTTTGTTAAATGTTTCTCTAGACAGTGCCCCTATTCTTTTCCTAGTAGGACAGCAAAGTCCCATTGGGAAGGCTGGCTAGCTGTGAAATGACATACATGCAGAAGAACTGTCTTCCAGATATCCCTCAACAACTAATTTGTCTCCTGAAGCATGAAATTTAATTACCCATATTGGACATACTTGCATAATCACATATTTTTATTGCACAAAATTGTTCAGTCTTTTAAAGTGTAGGGACAGAATCCTGGTTATAGAAATGTCTTTGACATCGGAGATTTGCACAAGTAAACATTTTGTGTGAATAACTATTTTCCAGTGTGGATTCTCATTTGCCGCCTTTTGATATTGTTGAGCATTGACTTGCACTCATATTTTGCTGTTATGTTGACAAAGGGGGACTGATAAGTTTTTATTAAACCCTTGTAATATTAAGCCCTGCTATCAAATTCATCCTAAGCTTCTGCTAATCCTCTTCTTTGTTGCCTATCATAGTACGTAAATCGTCCTCCACCTCTAAGCAAGCTCATACCCTTCTCCAGCACTTTTCAATCTCACTCCCACTTCTCTTGAAACAAGGTGACCAGAAGTGAACATGAGACTCCCCACAAGGACAGAGGCATACCACCTCTTCAAGGGAAGCCGATTAACTGTGAAATAACCAGCAATATTTTTAGCACTCTTCTCACTTTTATAAAAGAGAGTGAGATGTCACATTTACTTGGCTAATGGCTATTGCTCCTAGGAAAAGCTGAAATTAGCCTAAAAATGGCTGATCATGACTATCGGGGCAGAGATAGGAGAATTACCCCACTAGGAAGCCATGGTGTCCATTTGAAGTCTGGTTTCTAAGGCTCTTTGTAGAAGACTAGCTGGACATAAGAGGAGAGACATATACAGGAGTTCAAGCATGGTGCTAGGGGGTGGGTATGTAGAGAAAAAAGCAAATGGTCCAGGGAATGGGAAAATAGGGGGGACATAAATTTCTAATATTTATGCAGAACCTAATATATGCCAGGGAATATTTGTAAATGCTAGTCATGAGCTAGCTCATAATCCTTCCAACAGCCTGAAAAGGTGGGAACCATTATCATAATCATTTTAGAGAGGAGATAGAACCTTGGAGAGATTTTCTGAAGCTCTCTAAGCCAGTAGTCTTAATTGTAATACTTTTCACATCATTAGGCCTTTTGTTTTCAATGCATTTTCTTACCTAATCCCCAAAGCAATTCTATGAAGAAAGTACTCCTTTTAGAGATAGAAACCAAGTCCCAGAGAGGTTAAATAACTTCCTCAAGCTCACACAGCTTGCCAGTGGCAGAGATGAGGTCCAAATCCAGTTCTGTGTGATGCACCAAGGCATGGAACTCCAAGAGTGCCATGTGGTGGCTGCTGTCCCAGCTCTCCCCTCCCTCCATCAGAGCCAGCATGAATTTTGGGACACTGCCTTGCCCAAGGAAGTATGTGAAGTCCTGAGGTGTCACTAGATTTTCCATCTTTCTCAGTTTTATTTTATTTATTTATTTATTTATTTTTTTTTTTTTTGCTTTCTGTCTTTGGACTTCTTTAGAGCTTAACTGGTTCATGCCTTTGGCATTTTAGTCACCACCCTGCATTCTTGGGAAGCTCAAATTTGCTTGTTAGTTCTTAGGAGAAGCTGAGTTTGTAAGCAATCACTAAGTCCAGCAATGGTATGCTGCCAACAATCAATAAAAAACAGAAAAGCCAGAAGGCAACTAGAATGTAATCATCTGCGGGTGGTGTAGGGACACTCCCATGCCACTCTCACCCATTTCTTGAGATTTCTAACTGGTTACCCTTCACATGGAAGTCACTGCATCCCATAAGTGTAGTAAACGTTGACCCTCAGATGTTAGGAAGTAGAGCGGGAAGTCTCCTTTGATAAGTGCTTACCACGTAAGGACACTGATTTGTGCAACTGTATGTAAGTTACTCACCATGACTTCCAAAGCCAATAATGAATAATCAATATTATGTCACGTTGTCCACATCGAGTGTATCACTGAGCCAGCAATGGAACCCAGGCCTATGTAAGTCCTAAACCTGTTCATTTCTAGAAACATGCTCCTGAATAAAACCAATGGCACAATCCATTGGCTACTTTTTCTACTTGGTCTTTTGGGGGCAGTTATCTGTGTAAATAGCAACTAGAAATTTGCTATTTCCATACTACCTTGAGGATCTGCCATAATGGGAAATGAGACAAGAACAAAAGCCCCATCAGTTACTAACTATTTCTTTAGATTTCTGCTGTCATGGAGAACACAGTTATTGGGCTTTGTTTGCTGTGGCTGCAACTAAATTTCCCAAACCTGCTAAGTGAAGTCGGTGTATGACTGGCGCAGTGACCAGCAGAACAAAAAGCTACAAATTATCTCTATAGAACATTAATCGAAGGTCTCTGTGCTATAGAATCCTTTTCTCAATTAGAAAGCTGTCGAGGGAGTAATGTTCTCTCTAAAAATCATGATATACACAGCTCTATAAATCGATGAAAGACTTGTGACCATTAAACTTAATTGATACTGAATTTAGAGGAATACGTTTCAATCATGTTGCCATTTTATTTGAAAATTAGTTTCTGGCATTACCTCTTTCCTTCCCTCGACACGCAGGGACACGCAGCCCTCCAAAGTGAGCTAACCAGGAACCAGGGAGACTCAGCTCTGACTGCGAAGCCCTCAGCACCGGGCAAACACACAGAAGATGTTTCAAGGTGCTGTAAACAAGTAGACATAAAACAGGAAATAAAAACTGATTTCAAGTAAAATCAGCAACAACTTGGTTTTATATAGTACCCCATATGTTCCACAGGAATAATACCCCATGGCACTTTATAGGGAAAAAGTTAAAAAAAAAAAAAAAAGGCTACTCCAAGGACTACACTAGGAAAATAATTAACTTCTTGAATATGTTCTCAGGCTTGAGTAGGTGCAATTCTTTCCCTGAGATTACTGTTGGCAATAGTGCTGAGGAGCTGTTGTTTTCTGTAATTGGCTCTGGATGGAAGCCATGCTGAAAGCAAAGAGCAAAGACAGCTTTGGGTTAGAATGTTTGGAGTGTGTGAGAGCATGTATGTGTGAGTATGTGTATGTGTGAGCATATGTGTGCGTGTGTGTTCATATGTGAATTGCAGGAAACCCTCCTCAAATGTGATCAATTTATCTAATCTAGAACCATCATTGAAGCACTGTGACAAAGTAATAAAAGAAATCCAGAATTGATTCTATCTAAAGAGCCCAAATGCACTTACCCTGTCACTGTTTTCTAAATGCAGTCATGGAAGAAAAAAAAACTGAAGAAAGAAGCTTTTTTTTTGAGACAGAGTTTCACTCTCGTTGCCCAGGCTGGAGTGCAATGGCACAAACTTGGCTCACCGCAACCTCTGCCTCCCAGGTTCAAGTGATTCTCCTGCCTCAGCCTCCCAAGTAGCTGGGATTACAGGCATGCTCCACCACGCCCGGCTAATTTTGTATTTTTAGTAGAGACGGTGTTTCTCCATGTTGGTCAGCTCGGTCTCGAACTCCTAACCTCAGGTGATCCACCTGCCTAGGTCTCCCAAAGTGCTGGGATTACAGGCGTAAGCCACCGTGCCCGGCCCAAAAGAAGCTTCTTTTTTAAAAAGAAAACAAGAAACTGACAGGAAATATGTTTTTCACATAAACCTTCCAGAAATATATTATATGTGTAGTAATTTTTTCCCGAATAGGCACTACTTATCCATTTCCATGAAGATCTTTCTAGACAGATGGATTCTTTTCCTATCTGTTCTTTGCTATCAAGCAACTCTATCTTATCCGTATCAGCTGTTAATGGTGTAAAACTATGCTTTCTTCAAATCTATTTCCTTGAGAAATAAAACACAGAAGTATAAATAACTGACTTTCCCCCGTAAGTTTTATCTAAATTCCTTTATTCCTTTCTCTGAAACTCTGTGTACATCAAAGAATGTATTACATTTTCTGTCTAGGAACAAACTTATAATGAGGAATGTTTGCCATGAAAAACAATGCTTTTCTATTTACATAGACTGTCTGCACCCAAAACCATATCCAGACACATTAATTGTTTGCTAAATATCTGAAATATCCAGTTAAATATGCCACAATAAAGTAATTAATTTACTTATTCACTTCCTAAAAAACCTAATTATTAAATGTTTGACTGTGTAATGTATTATTTTCTTTTTAAAGTAGAGATCATAGAACATAATTTTTGATTGCATAATAATTCATTTTTTTTAAGTTAAACAGTGGGTAGGTAGAATTTTAGAGACATAGGAAGTTGTATATTAGAAGCATTATAATAATCTTCATTTCAGCAAGAAAGATCTATGCATATCCATTTTGTTTTTCAACCAACATGCAAGATCACTGCTAAAAAATATATAGATATAAAACAAGTTATAACCTTTACTATATTACTAAGAACTCACAATCTAGAATAGATTGAATACAAAAACAAATGACCATTTTTTTCCAATGTGGAATGTGGTATTTGACATAAGAAAGATGCAAAATGTTATGAGAGGTCAAAGAAGATCAAGGTCACATCTGTTTTCTGGGGTTTGGGGCAATCAGGAAAACAGGAAAGTCTGATTGGGGGGGAGTGGAGCTGGCATCTGGAGGAATTTGAAACCTCTCGTACCTGTCGCTACAGCAGATATTAAACATGGCTCCACTCCCAGCCAGATAATGTAGATGTGAATGATAGGTGGACTTCTTATAAACAAGAAAATTGATTCAAATTGAGGCACCTGGATGGGAAAAAGTGTGATCAGAGAATGTTGACTAGTTCAATCTGGCTGGAGAGTAGAAAATGTAGATGGAAGATAATTGAGAAAGACATTGAAGACGCCCAAATTGCTCTAATAAGGAGGTATTTCTTTCAGCACATGAGGTGGCGTGTGATTTTGTGCAGGTGAGTTTGGATTTTTTTATTTGTTTGTTTGCAAACAAAAACTTGATTCACTTAAGTTGTAAAGGCCCTTATTGGACGTTGACTTGGTCACTCAGAGAATCCACAAGAAGACTGAGAAACAGCCTTGGGCAGTGAGCAATGAAAGATGTTGAGAACACAGCTGATTGTGCTGCAGGAATTGTCTGATCAGAAACCCCTATGACGACCTCCCCAGTGGGCGCTGCTGGTTTCCTGACTCCATGGCCGCCACTGTTCCAGACACCGGTTATAGACCCACTTCCCCGACTACAGTGGATGTTAAACGGTTTCTTGCTTTCCGTGCTCCAGGAACAGAGTTCTGGATGGATCATCTGATCTGCTAAGCTTAGGTCATGAGCCCTCCCCTGGCTGCCAGGGCTCTTGGAGAACAATTATCTGGGCTTCTCTACTCCTGCAGTGGGTGCCCCCCAGTTAGAAAGGGAATTTAGATATTAGTTCGTCAAAAAAATCCAACCAATGCCTGTCATAGAGTCATAGAGGAAGCCATGCTTGTGCAGGGCCACTAAGAGTAAATAGAATTTCCAGCTGGGCGCAGTGGCTCATGCCTGTAATCCCAGCACTTTGGGAGGCTGAGGCGGGCAGATCATGAGGTCAAGAGATTGAGACCATCCTGGCCAACACAGTGAAACCCCGTCTCTACTAAAAATACACACACACACACACACAAATTAGCTGGGCGGGCATGGTGGTGTGTGCCTGCAGTCCCAGCTACTCAGGGAGGCTGAGGCAGGAGAATTGCTTGAACCCAGGTGGTGGAGGTTGCAGTAAGCCAAGATCATGCCATTGCACTCCAGCCTGGTGACAGAGCAAGACTCTGTCTCAAAAAAAACAAAAAGAATTTCCAAGAGAAGAGTGTCAAATGTTTATTTGATATAAAGGAAATGGGAAAATACCAAAGAAGAGAAATAAAAAAGGTCATTGGGCATTGTAGTTAGGAGGTCATCCATGCCCTGGAATGTTTCTAAATTTCATTTACATAAATACTCAAAACGTAATACACATTTATTGAAATACACAATGCGCAGCTGTAATTATTTGCTATACAAATTCACATTTTGAAAAACTGATGTTCCATTTAAGGAAGACTATTCACTCTTTCAGGTCAACATGAAGCCAAAAGTATCTAATGATTTTATGTGTGACTAGGTCTGAGTTTTAAATGGGAATTATATGTTGGATAATATATCCAGATCAGACCATAAGAGTTGATGCAAAACTCTACTCTGTGTTCAGGCTATTCTCCACATAAAATGCTCAGGAAGGAAAACTCTTGTTTTAAAATATCCCCAAAGCTGACTCCACAATCTCCTTTAGCATTCATTTAACCATTCTAGTAGAGTTAAGCATACTTTGTGGCTATAAATTTGAATCTTAAGAGAGACAAGCAAAACTTTGTTAATACTTCCTAATTTGAATAGAAAATAAAGCTGATGGCAAGGGAAAACTCACAATTATGTTCAGAAAATTTACAACATGAAACATCTCAGCAATTGCCAATATTTAAAGGTTATGTCCATCATGCTGGAAAGTGGCATAAAGTTTTCACCCTTTTCAAGTAATTGGGCATCATACTGATGGGGAAAATTGTGCATGTCAGTGATTCCTGCACTGATGTGGGAAAATTGACAGACACTGTTTAAAGGAAACCAAAGTTTTTGTACATCAACATGTCATGCTGGGAATAATTATACAACTGTTTTGTTACCTCAGCACTGTGCCATATATTATAATATCCACTGATTCTTCCAGAGTTCTTTTGTTTGTTTTGCAAAGTGCAGCCATTCTGAGAAATACATACTTGTAAAATGATTGATGTTAATACACTTTATAAATGAAGCCTAAAGCTCAGTAATACTGATAAATATTGTCCTTACTGCTGAGGGTACATTTAGAAATGGCTCCCACTCTAAATTCATTAGGTTTAGCATCATCAACATGAAACAACAGGTTAATAGGTCAAGAAAGGACCTCAGGAGGTCAACCAGTGTTTGCTGCAACCATGAGGTAAGCCTGCATTCAAGCCATTTATCCACATGAGAATCATCATCAATAAATCTTTTAGCATCCACAGTGTTTGTGTGTGTGTGTGTGCCTGTGTGTCTGAGTGTGTGTATGTGTATGCATAGGGGCAGCTTGTTCAAGATCTCTTTAATAATAACTGCTCAAGTAGCTTGTTATTATTTACAAAGCATTTCGTATTTGCAGAGGGATTTTCCGACACTTACTAATCCTCACAGCATTAGCGTAAGGTAGGGCAGTCCCAGTTCTTCCACACACAAAGGCACAACAATTAAGAGGCTTGAAGAGGCCTGCAAACTAGTGATTGAATAAGGATTAGTATCTACAGTTCTTGACCCTGAATTCTTTACAAATCTACTACTTAAAAAAAAAGTTGACCTTTCACTTTGGGTATTATCTTAGACTATTAGGTCCTTACAAATCTAGCAGGACCAGGGGACTGGGCAGGAGAGAATTAAAATTAGACTTCTCAAGTCTAAGGCATATATTTACCAAGAGACTTGACTCCCAGGAGATTCATATGTCGGAGTGGTTGCACCACTTTGCACCATTGCTGGGCTAGTTCCCTCATGGTCCTGGGGAAGGAAGCCTAGTAATGGAGTCAGAGGGCACTGAGCTCCTTCCCTTGAGGTGAGAGGAGAAAATATGTAAGCATATTTTGACAGACTGGAGTGGGGAAAATACAATATGTTCACAGTTAAAAAGAGAATATACTGTAATAAATAAAGATCTTTCTGAGTTTTGTCATCAACGTTAACTAATACTGCAGGTCAGTTGTGTTTATTGAGCCTACACAGGTGCATTGCAGGGCTGGGGATGTTAGCCCACATTGCAATAATTATGGCCAGGCAAACCAGTCAGAATGAGAACCGGATGCCTCTTATTCTTAAAACTTGCTTTACATGTCCCTTTGGAACTGACAAATTGCTCAGGTGAAAGTCATCCCCTGCCAGGTTTCTGCAATTTTCCCAGCTTCGTGCAACTTTTCATTTTCTTGTTTCTTGTCATGAACATAGAAAAAGAGCCACCTAATACCTTTGGGATGGCATTTGCAGTTTGGCTGCAAAGTGGAAGTGCTGGACAAGTCTGGAGAGGATTGTCTTTTACAACAGGATTTCAGAATTTTTTAGCTCCTTTGCAACTAGCTGACAAATGACGACATGGGGTGATTTCTACCACAAACGGGAAGCACTTTTGTTCCATTGGTGATAGCTAGGAAGCACTGTTTTAAAACTCCATGCCCACTGTGTATACCATGAGGTAGCTAGCAGAATCCTAAAGGTGTCATATCACAGGAGCAAGAAGTAAAAACATCGTCACGAATTCGAAACGTTGGGCTGAGAAGATAAATCAAGTAATCTCAATATGGGTAAGCAAAAGATCTCAGGGATGTGACAGGTAATTCATTGCTCTGTTTTGAAGCAGCCATTTTCCTCCTTTGTAAATGAACTCAGTATATTTGTAAGTAGGGGTGTCTGTGAGAAGAAAATAGTAATGTGGGTGGGTAGAGGCCCACACATCATCACATGGTGTGACACCTTGGTGGGAGGGATCCAGGCACTGGAGTCCCATAGCAAGACATGCTCAGCCAATCATTCATTTCCTTGGTAATCAGACCAAGGGGGAAACTGGCCCATCTAGCTCAAATGCCCATGACATTTATTTCTACAATAAAACAAATGCTAAAGTAAATGTTAAATTTTACTAACAAGAGTATCAAAGATTCTTGTTGGATATCAGTTAACCTTTTTTTGAAAGGGGTCTGAATTGTTAGAAATATGTTTGGTACAAGTAACAGAAAACCTAATGAAGAGTGGCTTAACCAAATAAGGGTCTGTTTTTCTCATGTAACCACAAGTCTGGTGGTGGTGGATGACCAAGGCAATTACTCCCCAACATCATCTAAACAGACTCTGTTCATCTTCAGCAAACGTCCATTTTGTCCTCATGTTTAGTGCTTGATAATCACAAGATGGCTGCTGTGCCTTTAACCAACATGTCTACATGTAAAGGACGGAAGATGGGCAGAGCGAGCACCTGCCACGCCCCTCCTTACCCAGAAGCAAATGCCTTCAAAGTCTCAAAGTCTCCCAGCAGACTTGTGCTTACCTCTCACTGAACCTACTGGACCATGTGGGCCACTACAAGCAAGTGGGACTGATTTTACTATTGACAGAAACCAAAATATTTCTCCCCAAAACATTGAGGATTGTTAAAGACACTGAAAACTCCAGTGAGCACTCTGCCTCAGGCTGTATTTGCCTAATGGCGGGATATAAATCCTTCTTTACTAGAGACAGCACTTGCTTATCAGCCCAGAGAAGGCACCAGCTGGCACCAGAGTAATCTGGGAGCAGATCTTACCATCTTTCCCATTTTCTTGCCTTTTAAAAGACTGGAAGCTGTCCCATTTGTCTTGTCCCTATGTAAGATTTATGGTTCTCTATTAAAATACAAGCAAGACCTCTAAGCCACTACCTTGAGAAACACTTTTGAACTGAGTCCTCTCCCTTGTGATGGGTACATCATGCGTTAATAAATTTCTGCTTGGGCCGGGCTCAGTGGCTCACACCTGTAATCCCAGCACTTTGGGAAGCCAAGAAGGAAGGATTGCTTAACCCCAGGAGTTCAAGACTAGCCTAGGCAACATAGGGAGAGCCTGGCTCTACAAAAAATTTAAAAATTAGCCAGGTATGGTGGCACATGCCTGTGGTCCCAGCTGCTTGGGAGGCTGAGGTGGGAGGTTCTCTTGAGTCCAGGAGGTCAAGACCACAATGAGCCATGATCACACCACTGCACTCCAGCCTAGATGATGGACTGAGACTCTCTCAAAAACAAGCAAACAAACACACACACACAAACTTCCACTTGTTTTTCTTTTATTAGTCTAACTTGTTTTCAGGAAAGTGTATCAATTAAGAACCTAAAAAGGAAAAGGAAAGAAATTTTGTTTTCTCCTCTATACTATCCACTGTAGTAGAGGCAGCCAAGGGAGGAGGTTGAGAATGGATTTGAGGTTAGTTAACTAGCTAACAGGCATCTTACCTAAGGAGGCTAAAAAAAAAAAGTTCAGAGATTTCTTCATGCATTCATTCAACCAATATTTCTGCACTCACCATTCGTATCAGTCATAAATAGCTTCTGATCACTGCATATTTTCTTTTTAAATGTCTGATTGCTTCACTCCATTTCTTTTGGATGTTCATCATGCTCTACCTGGCCAGTAAGAGCTGGGTTTAGAGGCTAGTTCCTAAATTCTCTTCTCACTCCGTATTTTCTTCCTAGATTACCCTATTCAGGCACAAGCCTTCAATTACCAGCTTAGCAGATAATTTACAAATATACATTTCCAGGCTATGTCCTATCTTTGGGCTTCAGACTTAGGAAACAAGCTGCTGATGTTTATCACTAGGATGTTTCAAAGGCAACTCAAATCTAACAGTTTTATATATGAACTCATGATCTTCCCTTCTCACCTCCCTCAAACCTTGTTTTCTGTTTGTTTGTTTGTTTGCTTGCTTGTTTGTTTGTTTTTTGTGATGGAGTCTTGCTCCGTTGCCCAGGATGAAATGCAGTGGCACAATCTTGGCTCACTGCAACCTCCGCCTCCCGGATGCAAGCGATTCTCCTGCCTCAGCCTCCTGTGTAGCTGGGATTACGGGCACCCACCACCATGCGTGGCTAATTTTTGTATTTTTAGTAGAGACGGGGTTTCATCAAGTTGGCCAGGCTGGTCTCCAACTCCTGACCTCAGGTGATCCACCTGCCTCAGCCTTCCAAAGTGCTGGGATTACAGGTGAGAGCCACTGCACCCAGCCACCTTGTCCTCTTTCAAAGTTGACTGTTTAGGTTGCATAAGGCCATCATACATCCAGTTAAGTCTTAATCTTATTTCCCCAATATCCAATATATTACCTCCTATGCACGAAGACATTTACTTTCCTCCATCTTCACAGCTACTCTCTGGTCTAAGCTACCTAGCTCAGAATAATACTGTAACCTCCCCACACCCACTCTGGTTCCCAGCAATACATTCTCTATCTATTTACTAGATGAGCCCAAAACTAATCACGTCTCTTATTCTCCCCAGTCACAATTTTTCAGGTTGTAAAACATAAGACCCTAATCTTTACACTGGCTTAGAAGATCCCATGTGACCTGGCCACAGCCTCTTCTCTGGGCACTTCTGGCATCACCATTTCCTTCCCTCTC
The DNA here is from genome assembly GCF_000001405.40 of Homo sapiens. Lineage (NCBI taxonomy): Eukaryota > Metazoa > Chordata > Mammalia > Primates > Hominidae > Homo > Homo sapiens. Next base: position 204,290,394 of record NC_000002.12, on the reverse strand, counting down.
TAAATTCCAGCCACACAGGCCTCCTTTCCACACCTTGTTCTTTCCCTGCTTCTTTCAGCCATAGGATACCACACATGCAGTTCTTTCTTTCTGGACTGTGATTATTCTCTGGTGTCTCACTAATTCTTTCCCATCCTTCAACTCTCAGCTCAAACATGACTGCTTCAGGCATGTCTTCCCAGACCCCACCAAGACTACACCAGACACAGCTATCATACCATCTCACGCCACCTTCCCTTTACAGGATATGCCCAAATTGTCACCTTAAGTTTATTTTTGTGATTATTTGGTTATCTTCACGAGTAGATTGTGAGTTTCATGAGTGCAGGGAATATGTTCTTCCAGTGTCTCCTGGATGCCTAACACAGTGTCTGGCACTTATTAGACAGCACCTAAAATGCTCTTGAAATAAGTGATAAAATGAGGAGGAGCAGTAGCTGGACAAAACATTCTTGTTTGGGAGAGTTTCCACTTGCCAATTCATTCCTTAAGTAAGCATTTTTTAAGCACCTATTATATATAAGGTCTATGTCTCGGCAATGAAAATAGAAAGATAAATGAGATAATGTCCCTGCCCTTGAGGGCTTTGTATTTTGGTTGGGGAGACAGACATATAAGCCCATGAATATGAATTAAAATAATGTATTTCCATCAATTGTGTCTCACCAGACACCGACCTGAGAGCAAAGTCCTTCTCCTGCCAATTGAAACAAGGATGTGCTGTCTTTGCTCCATGTCAACTCCTCATGAACTCTGTCTTCCCCTGACTTTCATCAGTATTATTTCAATTTTTAGATTACAATGGTTTTCTGTTAAGTTGGCAGCTTCCCGATGATATGTGTGGAGAAGCTGTGTTCTCACAAGCAAGTTAGGCTTGAACCCCATGGTAGGAAAAGTTGCTTCTGGGCAGTTTTCTTGTAGGCAGCTATCTGCAGAGGTGTGCATTCTTAAGGGTTTTTCTCATTGAGAATGGAACTTTCTGACAATGTCCCTGGATCATAGGGTTCATTTAACTTTGAATCTGAAATACTTCCTTTCATGCCCTCAAGTCACCACACTTTGAGGAAGGTAATTTCTGGGACAGTGGACAGAGCAAGAGTTGTCAGCAACTCAGACATGATGCAACATTTATCTGAAACTAAAGTGCATTCTGTAAATATTTGAAAAGTGCATTATCAAAAGTGAAAGCCAGTGGTTTTATTTTTGTTTGTCTGCTATGTTTCACAAGAGGAATTGGAAGAATTCTTTTGTAAAGATGGATAATTTCTTGCAGCAAATTCATCTCAGTTAGGTGTGCAAAGCTTTTTTGCGGGTTCTCTGCTAGGTGTGAAATCTCTATATCACACACAGACCTGAGTCCTCTAGGAAGGATGCTTATTTCACCAATCTGCTGCTATGCTTTGAAATCCCATACTGAGTGTGTTTGTTTTTCATAATTGTCATAAAAAATATCACAAATTTGGTCACTTAAAAAACACCAATATATGATCTCGTAGTTTCCACAGGACAGCTTCTCTGGTTTCTCTGCCCTTGGTCTCACAGGACCAAAATCAATGTCTTGGTTAACCTGGGCTCTTATCTGGAGGCTTTGGGGGAAAATTCACTTCCAAGTCCATTCAAGTTGTTGGCAGAATTAAGATACATACGACTATAAGACTTTGGTCCCTCTGTCCTTGCTGGCTGTTGGCCAGGAGGTTGTTCTAGAAGCTGCCTGCATTCCCTGTCTCATGGCCCCTTTCTTCATCCCCAAAGGCAGCAATGGAGTTGAGTCTTTGCACTCGGAATTTCTCTTATGTTCCTTTCTGCTACTTCCCTCAGTCTTCTTCTTAGGTCCTGTGATAACTATTTTTTGTTGTAATGCTTATGTATTTATTTTTATGTGTGACGCTACAAATGGTATAGTTTAAAAAGCTAAGGATGGATTTCCCTGAAAGTCACAGCAAAGGGAGTTCACTTGGAAAGGTATCCCAGGAAGCAGAAGTGATGGTCTTGGACATTAAAATAGGACTGCTTCCCTCAGCCTTCTTCTTCTGCTTAAGGGTGAACATGATTATACCAGGCCCATCCTGGTAGCTCCAGGATAATTGCCCTATCTTGAGGTCAGCTGATTAGTAACCTACTTCCATCTGCAAAGTCCCCTCACAGTTCCTAAATTAGTGTTTGATTATGTAACCCAGTCGTGGGAAACTTGGGGGACATCTTTAGATTTTCATCTACCACACTGAGGTCATGGGCCACAGTTTCAGCTACCTGAGAAAATCCTTCAACATAGTGTTGGAAGTTCTGGCCAGGGCAATCAGGCAGGAGAAGGAAATAAAGGGTATTCAATTAGGAAAAGAGGAAGTCAAATTGTCCCTGTTTGCAGATGACATGATTGTATATCTAGAAAACCCCATCGTCTCAGCCCAAAATCTCCTTAAGCTGATAAGCAACTTCAGCGAAGTCTCAGGATACAAAATCAATGTGCAAAAATGACAAGCATTCTTATACACCAATAACAGACAGACAGAGAGCCAAATCATGAGTGAACTCCCATTCACAATTACTTCAAAGAGAATAAAATACCTAGGAATCCAACTTACAAGGGATGTGAAAGACCTCTTCAAGGAGAACTACAAACCACTGCTCAATGAAATAAAAGAGGATACAAACAAATGGAAGAACATTCCATGCTCATGGGTAGGAAGAATCAATATCGTGAAAATGGCCATACTGCCCAAGGTAATTTATAGTTTCAATGCCATCCCCATCAAGCTACCAATGACTTTCTTCATAGAATTGGAAAAAATGACTTTAAAGTTCATATGGAACCAAAAAAGAGCCCGCATTGCCAAGTCAATCCTAAGCCAAAAGAACAAAGCTGGAGGCATCACGCTACCTGACTTCAAATTATACTACAAGGCTGCAGTAACCAAAACAGCATGGTACTACTGGTACCAAAACAGACATATAGACCAATGGAACAGAACAGAGCCCTCAGAAATAATGCCACATATCTACAACTATCTGACCTTTGACAAACCTGACAAAAACAAGAAATGGGGAAAGGATTCCCTATTTAATAAATGGTGCTGGGAAAACTGGCTAGCCATATGTAGAAAGCTGAAACTGGATCCCTTCCTTACACCAAAAACCAAAAGCGGTAACCAAATTATTGTAAAAGGCTAAACCACAATGTGCCCAGCTTATACAAAGCCAAACAGAACAAAATGCTTTCAGAGAAGCCCCTTGTCACTGCACGTATACAAAACACACAAAAGCAAAATAAACCCAGGAGCCCTGGGTTCCATTAGTTATTCCTGGTCTCCCTGGACACTTTAACTCAATGGTATAACTGATTTTATTTTAAATGTGGCCACTGAAAAAGACAGTAGTGTCAGAACAAAATTACTTCAACATCTTTTGTTATAGTATTGCCTAAAATGAGGTATAAACGCCAGATGATATGTGAGTTGATTTTAGGTCTTATGATAACTATTTTTTTTTTTTTTGAGACCAAGTCTCACTCTGTCACCAGGCTGGAGTGCAGTGGCATGATTTTGGCTCACTGCCACTGCCTCCCGGGTTCAAGCAATTCTCCTGCCTCAGCCTCCCGAGTAGCTGGGACTACAGGTGTGTGCCACCACGCCCACCTAATTTTTGTATTTTTAGTAGAGACAGGGTTTCACCATGTTGGTCGGATGGTCTTGATCTGCCCACCTCGGCCTCCCAAAGTGCTGGGATTACAGGAGTGAGCCACCACACCCTGCCACTATTTTTTGTTTTAATGCAGGTGTATTTATTTTTAAATGTGACTTTACAAATGATATCGTTTAAGAAGATGCTGAGTATGGGTTTCCCTGAAAGTCACAGCAAAGAGAGTTCACTTGGAAAGGTATCCCAGGAAGCAGAAGTGAGGATCTGGGAGATTAAAGTGGGGATCAAGGGAAAGAAATACATGGAGGCATGATTGAGTTGACCATTGCTACAGTCAAGCAGCGTTTGATCCACAGGACCTTCTGAGGCATCTTATGACATGGGTCTCAGGGCTGTCTCAGGGGATGGAAGGGGAGAGGATTTATCCAGCAACTCCCAGCCTCCACTAATCAAAGGTGGACCCACTCTTCTGGATTGCACGAGCATGAGTGGCCAGCAGTCCTGGCAGGTGGTCTGAGGTGCTAACCAAGTAACTATGCAAAGCTGGCTGGCTGAGACCTACATGTAACTGGCTACCGCAGCAGTAGCTGGAGTAAGAGGTAGGCCCTAGATTAGCTAAATAATGAACTGGAGGTGTCCAATATGCCACTGTAAGTTTACTTTAAGTGTATGTGTTATATACATAATTGTATAAAATTACATATAAATATATAATCTTGTATAATTATATACATAATGCAGTTGATATTACTACGTATGTTAATCTGGGTTGTCCAAGTAGCAGAGGAAAAGATGGGATTAAATGTACAAGAAACATGTTAGGAGTCATGTGTATAAGACAGGGGTGTCGAACCTTTTGGCTTCCCTGGGCCACATTGGAAGAAGAATTGTCTTAGGCCATACATAAAATACACTAACACTGATGATAGCTGATAAGAAAACAAACAACAAAAAAAACCCTCATGTTTTAAGGAAGTTTACAAATTTGTGTTGGGCCACATTCAAAGCCATCCTGGGCTGCATGTGGCCCACGGGCCATGGGTTGGACAAGGTTGCTATGAGAGATAATAGGGAGGGAGCCAGGAGAGACTGAGAGAGCCATCAGGCTATGCAGCAGGTCTGATCCTGAGTGAAGGAGAGAGGGAAGGAAGGAAGATTATTCCTCATGCCCAAGTCTCAGAGTCTAGTGCAGGACTAGGGAAGAGTCTGGCAAGACTGCCTTTGAGAACCCTCAAGCCCAAATGCAGCAGTGTTGTCAACTCAATCATGCATCCACCTATCGGTTTCCCTCCCTTCCTGTTTCACATTCCCAGGCCCCCACTTCTGCTTCCTGCAACACCTTTCCAAGTGAACTTCCTGCCAAAGCCTTTGCCTGAGGTTTTTGAGAAACCCATATTTAGCCTCTTCCTAAACAACATCATCTTTGAAATCACACATATTAAAAAATGCACAAGTAGCAAGACTGAACATATTCAGCACAGTGCCCGAAATCAACTCCCATAACACTGGTATTGGTGCCCACTGGAGGGACAGCGCCTGGGGACAGGTCCCCCTGCGGTGTCCCTGCTGCATGCAGCCATTGGCTGGGAGCAGCTGGGGGGAAGAAGGGCTCATTGCAAATGGGACTATGGATTTCCCTAGGCAGAGCTGGACCCCTGTGTCAGTAAAATCCCTGAAATCAGAAGTCTGACAGGCACATTCTCAAGGTCACCTCTGCACACATATAATAGAAATTATGAAGATTAGATAAACATGTGACTGCAGTTTTAAAAACCTGGCCCATAGCCAGGTGCGGTGGCTCACACCTTTAATCCCAGCACTTCGTGAGGCCGAGGTGGGTGGATCACCTGAGGTAGGGAGTTCAAGAGCAGCCTGGCCAACATGGTGAAACCTCATCTCTACTAAAAATACAAAAATTATCTGGGTGTGGTGGCACACATCTGTAATCCCAGCTATTTGGGAGGCTGAAGCAGGAGAATCATTTGAACCCAGGAGACAGAGATTATAGTGAGCTGAGATGGTGCCATTGCACTCCAGCCTGGGCGACAGAGCAAGACTCTGTCTCAAAAAAAACAAAAATGAAAACAAACAAACAAACAAACGAAAAAAACCTGGCCCTTTCATAATTGTTGAGAATCAGACTCACTGTTTACCTGGCTCAAAGACACTAGTCCTTAAAATTCTAACTACAAACAAGGGAGCTCCTCTTGTTCCTGAGGTGGAGAAACATGAATTTGGGGCAGATTTCTGTACAAGGCTGTCCTAGATTTAGTGAGTGGATATTTCTTTTCCTTTTACTGCCCGACTTCTCACCTTCTAACATTTCCCCAACCTCAAATCCTTAAGTGTTTCTCTCTTTGGCTTTTTCGTTTTGTTCTTCCATAGTCAGCAGAGGAGCTCTTTTGAAGCAAACATGGGTGAATTAAAAAATAAAGCCTGTGATCTGAATTGCAAGAGCTTCCTTCGGGAGATAAGTGTTCTGAAGTCCCTGTTTGCCTGGGGTGGGTCTGGGGTAGTTGTAGCAGGCTTACTGAATAGCTGTTTAGTTAGTTGTTTCTCTGTTTGGGGCAGGTAAGTCGGTATTCATTCAGCATGGATAAATCAACTTTCCTCATTCTCTTTCCTTTCACTGTTAGTGAAGTAGCTTCTCAGATCTGCCCTTAGAATCCTTAATTCCAGTTAAAACAAAAACTATCAATGCGAAATAAGTCACAGGAATTGTTCTAAAGCAAAGGCATCTGGGTGCTTTCGTGTTTTCCTTCCAGAAGATGTTGAATTAGGAAAAATTTAAGGTGATCTAGGAATTCCCTGAATGCTTTTGGTGGTGTGAACATATTGTGAAAAACAAGCTTCTATTAACGCATCAGCAGGACAAATATTGAGAAGGATAGAAAATGGGTTTCAGCAGCCTGAAGCTTTGAAGAAGAGCTAAGGAGAGTTCAATTTAACTTGTTTTTGGATACTGTCCTGGAGCTCACACTCTTCCTCCTTCTCGTGTGTCGTGTGGACATGCAGAAGACGAGGATATGATTTTTGTAACATGGAGCATTTTTAATCCCTTTCCTGTCACACTAAGTAAATAACTCACCGTGAAATACTCAGGAGATGACTCTAAACTGCAGTAGGATATGGAGCAATGTACAAAATTTTAGATGTGGACATTAATAAACCTAGCCAGAGAGTATGGTTTAATGGCTTGTCGTGGTACCAGAAACATGGGCGCCATTTAATGGAAGTTCTATCCTCATGCTTGGTTGTCTCTTAAATTGTAAACCCATGAATCCTCTGGAAGCAGCTGCCTGGGAGCAAACAGTACAATAAAACTCACCTTTCCTCAGCCTCAAAGGACTGCTGGCTTTCAGCAAAGCCCAGGTTAAGGAGGTGGGTCTCTTCCAGCCCACATCTCTTCTGTGATAACAGGACTCTGTTTTCTATTTTAGAGCAGCAGAACATGAGTCTTAGGAAGGTAAAGATGTCTGTCCAAGGTTACCCTGCAGGGCTAGTCAAGAATTATAGACCATGTTCTCACTCATAGGTGGGAATTGAACAATGAAAACACATGGACACAGGAAGGGGAACGTCACACACCGTGGCCTGTTGTCGGGTGGGGGAGGGGGGAGGGATAGCATTAGGAGGTATACCTAATGTTAAATGACGAGTTAATGGGTGTAGCACACCAACATGGCACACGTATACATATGTAACTAAACTGCACGTTGCACACATGTACCCTAAAACTTAAAGTATAAAAAAAAAAAGATTTATAGACCAGGAGTAGGACTAAAGCCTCCTGATTTTTATTTCAATATTTCAGTGTTTTGACCTCCTCCTTGGACATTACTTATGTATGGAACTCACATATACACAGAGATTTCTCAAAGACCTATATTTAAGGGTACTTAGCATAGCCCGGCTATTCACAGGTCCCTGCTAGAGCTACGGCAGCAAGGAATGAAAACAAAGGGAGAATTTAATGCCTATTGAAAGCTGACTCAGAGCATGTAAAGGTGAAAGTGTGTGGTCGGAAGGCTTAGCTGCCTGTTGAGTTCTGTTATTCAGTAACTCAAGGAGCCTGTTGTGAGCTGCTTTGGCGCTATTAACACATCTGGAGCTAGTGGCCATACACTGGGGACTTTTTAAAATGTAAAAGCAGCTTTGTAGGCAAACTTGTGTTAGAATGAAATACTTCTGAAGACCAAAGGCTAAGTTTATAGAGTGCACCTCTCTCTCCCTGACTCAGTTCTGGGGGGCTTTTGATGGAGCGTATGCTAAACCTATACACTTATTTGGAGGAGTAAAAATTGTCCTCCTGTCCTGGGTTGTGTTTACTTTCAACGTAACCCTTTGGATCTCTGAGCAGATCCAAAAATCAAACAAACTAACAAAACAGTCAACAGAGTGGAGACTCTTCTGATATTCTCCGTCTGCACCTAGACCTATTTCCCCACCTGCTCTAGGCCCCATGAGGGTGAGTCTGGATAGTGGGCTCCCTTTCCCGCTGGGTGTTGGGTTGGGTTTGGCCAGTGGAGGTCACTGTCAGGAGATGAGAGAGTAAGAAGAGATGGAGAATTGTTATTTATTCTCTATGTCATGACCAGTTTCATCATTATCATCTCTTTTCACCCTTTACCTCTCCAGATTTCTGGAAATAAATTCCAGAATAAGAGTTCATCCTGCCGATCCAGAGCCACAGTTTGGAGACGCTGTATTCCTAGATTGAAGGCCTGGCTCCTGGTGGACAGCCTTCTCTCTAAAGCTACTCTCTCCAGGTTCTGGCAACTGCAGCCAAAGGGCCAAAGGTAAATCATGAGGGAAGCCTGCGGTGAAAGTAAGGCAGCATAGAAATGAACCAGGAGCAATTAAATGAAATAATAAAATGACAGGTGTCTTCACTTGCTTTATAGTTGGTCTAAACATGGTATCTTGGTGGACCATTCTGAGATAAAGTTGGGACACAGTGTCTTGGAATCACAATCCACCATTTGTTCCCTTCCACCTGGCCTCTTTTTCCTCATTCCCCTCCAGGAATGCATGGGCATCAACGGTAAGGCTATTTACTAACCGAAATGCCAATGCATGCCATTTTCCCCAACAGGAACAAAAGGGATTGAAAGTCAGTCCAGAAAGGATAGACTGTTACTTTGGACTTTATTTCCAGAAATCTGCAGAGGTAACAGATGAAATGAGATGATGAAGCCAGCCATGTAGAAGGTCTCAGGACATGGAGGTGCAGTGAACTTACCATGAGAGGGTAAGTTCTGGAGAAGCTGGCCAATGCTTCCCAGGACTGGGGCAGATGCTAACTCTTGCTCTTTCTTCTCAGTAATGGTCTTGTTTTCCCCACGATTACCTTTGCACCGACATCCCAGTGTTTGGACATGGAGGCTAAGACATAGGCATCGTTTGCTGCTAGATCTGCCTCTAGCCAAGCAGAAGGTGACGAACAGTCACTTGGGTTCCCTGCTGAGGTTAGGGCCAAAGCCACAGCTGGCTGTGGTAGAGGATTCTTTGTCTGAAGAGAAGGTAGCTCTGGTAGGTGGACACGGCAGTAATAATATCATCATAGTAGCATAACCAGTTAATGAGATCTGCAATTGCCACAGTCAGTCTCAGCATGTTTCTGTCACCATCCAAGCGATCAAAACCTACCATAGAGCCCTAAACCCTCCTGTCTTCAACCATTTCCTTGGCCAGGAGTGGGGATTTGTTTGCCAAAAGTGATATCCTAAATACTGAATCTTGATGATCATTTCCACCCTCCCAACATCTGAGAAGGCTGGAATTTCTCTCAGTTGACTACAGGTTGTGTCTGACTTTGTGAAAGAAGCTTTGTCTCCAGGGGTCTCTTAATTGGGGTAAGAGAAACTGAAACACCTTCATTTATGTCATGCCAACCTTTCCAAGAGCCCAAAGCACATTAGGATTGTCGCCTTATTAATGTGCCTTACTGCAAAGCCCACAGAGCAGCACACACCTGCCTGGAAGGTGTAAGGCTTCAACTGAATGGTACATGCCACCGATACAGAGTCATTCACTGACACCCCCAGCCTGACCCCGCTTAGTTGCTGAGATCTGATGAGATCAGAGCAGAAGGTGACAAGGCTGTGAGCTTAATTAAAGGAATGGTTTTGTTCAATCCATGCTCATCCTTTCCCCCTTCACCCAGTAATTCTCAGACATGCCAAGAAAATCACAATGAGGAGGAGATTATGACCTAGTGATCTCATTCAGGATGTGACATTATCTCATTTCAACAGCCTGGGAAGAGCAATGCCATTTTCAACTCTGGGAGAAATTTGACCAGTGACAGAGCAAAATTTAGCCCAGACTTTTCACTTTCCTGTTTATCTCCAAGGTAAGGGGTCCCCAGCCAGCTGTATCAGGGAATCCAAACACCCTCCCAATCTCTAATACACAGCTTGCTGGCAATGAAGCCTCCCCAACCCCTTCTCTCCACAGATAAGTGGAATCCACATGTCCTAGAGGTGAGACATGTACACTCAAGGAAGGAGTAAAATATATAAAGTCTTCTCACTCCAGCATCTTTGCTTTTAAATTTCTTCCTAAAGAAGGAAGGATTTCTGCCATCTTCACAAAACAGTAGAGATTTCAACCTCTTAAACCTATTACTCAATATTAAAAGGATTTGGTGACTGAATAGCCTTAAGAGTATGTTGCTCTCAGCTTTCTGTCCCGACCTGCTCTTGGTCACTTTCATTCATTTGCTCATAGCTGGCTGCCTGGATTAATTTTCTGGACTGAATACATTTCCTTGCATTACCCACTTATGTGATAAATAACTAATCTGACTCATCAAAATGCATTAGAATGCAATGTTCCAGTTACTGAGGGACATTTAAATTCAGCAACTTGTCTTCTTACTCTTACCACCAGAGATAGTAAAAAATTACAAAGTGGTGGAGACAGTGATAGAGCCCATTTTGTGCCTAGAATTTGTACCAGTGTCCTTGTTATTACTGCTCCAGCAATCCAAGAAAAGTTGGACCTGCCTCTGTTTGTTTTGTACTTCTTAAAATATTTTTCAAATTAAACTTTGAAATGTAACTGGAATAATTTCTGAGAAACATAGCATAGCCCAGACTATAAATCATCCAAAACAGCATTAAGTGGTTATACTAAATATACCTAACACTGTTTAAAGTACCCTAAATATATCATTCCTCTTCTAGGATTTCCATATTCTACATTTCAACACAGGCCTTCTAAATCAGATGATAGTCGGGTTGTACGAGTAATACGTCTAAATGAGATGCAAAAAGAATATGTTGCAAAGAATGTGGTATAAGTAACAGTCTCTAACTTGGTGTAATGGACAATATATTTCAAAAATCTCCCAATATATGCAAGAAATCACTAGAAAACAGATTTACAACATGTCTCTTTGAAAGAAAAAAAAAGGGGATTTTTAGAACTTTATTTATTTATTAAGAGACAGGGTCTCACTATGTTGCCAGCCTCAAACTCCTGGACTCAGGCAATCCTCTTGCCTCAGCCTCCCAACTATTAATGGCTGGGATTATAGGCACACATCACTGTGCCCAGCTCCACAACTCATTTTGAATTATCTATTAGAAACTAAATTAACACAAACAGCGATCATGGAATCAGCATCCCAAGAATAGTAAACATAATTGCTATACATAGATAAATGCATTAAAACATTTTTATAGATATACTAGTGAGTGACTTGTAATTTCCTCAACATAGCTTTATCTTGTTACATTTTTTTCTCATGGCTTTATCTTGCTTCTTTAGGGATGGTCTTATACACCTATGTTTTCACCATTACATACCTGGAGGTCTTTTTTGAGGGTGGAGGGGAAGCCTGAATTAAGAGACTGCTGAGAACCCAAGAGCTGAGGAGGCAAACCTTGGTTTCCCATTGACTTCCTTCCCAAACTTTGGTGACCTACTCTTTTTCCTATGCCCTTTATTTATCTATGAAAGGAAGATTGTGAGTGATTTGCCTTCTTGAATTGGGAAGGACAAAAGTAAATCTCATAAAAATACTGTAGAGCCGTTTCCCAATAGAACATGTGGAGCTGATTTAGGCAGACATTTAATGGGTTGCACAGAGAGGCTGCAGATGGTTAATTATAACATCATAGAAGCTCATTGCTGATGTCTCTCAAATATTCCTGGGGAGAAGTGTTCAGACACAAGCATCATTTATTTGTGGCATTTGACTAGCTTAGTTGAGAGAGCAGCAAAGGAGAGTGTGCAGCATGGTGTTTCAACATGTGGGTGCTGGGCTCTGGGATCTGGGCTCTGACTTCCTAGGTTCAAAACCTCCATCTGCCACTTCTTAGCTTTGTGCTTTGGTGCAACTTATTTAACCTTTCTAAGCCTCAGTTTCCATATCTTCAAAGGTGATTGGAAGGAATAAAAGCAGTAATGCGTGTAAACTGCTCAACACAGTGCCTAGCAAATATTAAATACTCATGCATCTTATTATTACTAAGAAATATATGCTAAGAGTTTGGGAGTGTTCAGGAAGATGGGAGCAAACAAAGGAATACAAAGATGTAATTCTCCTTTTCAAAGACCTGCAATCTAATTGGAGAAAAAGCATATATATTCAATATGTAGTGATATAGTTTTGCTGTGTCCCCATCCCAATCTCATCTTGAATTGTAGCTCTAATAATCCCATATGTTTTGGGAGAGACCCAGTGGGAGAGAATTAAATCATGGGTGCAGACTCCTCCATACTGTTCTCATGGTAGTGAATAAGTCTCTCAAGATCTGATGGTTTTATAAGGGGTTTCACCTATTGCTTGTTTCTCATTGTCTCCTGCCCACTGCCATGTAAGACGTGCCTTTTGCCTTCTGCCATGATTGTGAGGCCTCCCCAGCCATGTGGGACTGTGAGTCCATTAAACTTCTTTTTCTTTATAAATTGCCCAGTCTCAGGTATGTCTTTATCAGCAGTGTGAAAATAGACTAATACATGTAGAAATCACTATAGGCTTTGTGGGGACTGAGACCAATTTTTATTTCTTTATTAAACTTCTAGAGTTGTCTTATTCAAGAATTTAAGAGGATGGAAGCTTTGGCTGCAACTTGGATAGACCAAAATTGGATTCAGATTATCTAGGACTAATGATTGGTTATGTCAAACTTCCTATTGTATGGGGTCAGGTTTCAGAGTTTCTTAAAAGAGGAAAGTCCTTTTAGAGAAAATTCATAAGACTGCCAATTTGTGTGCTTTTCATAAGCAAACTATCTTTAATATATACTGTGTTAGAATCTTCAAAAAAAATTCTCCACAATTCAACATATGGCTTTTAGAAGAGGAAGGAAAATCTCCCACTGGGAATAGCTTTCAATTCACTTGCAGATCCCTTGAGGGCTGAGTCATGTCTTACTTTCTCTGAATGTCTAATTGGGCCTAGGACAGTTTGAGTTGGAACTCAACAAATTTTAATACAATTGAATCCAATTGCATTTTATAATGTGAAGATTTTTGTTGTTGTTTTGAAAGTGCCTTAACAAAGGCAAAATGGGCTTGGAAGATGGCTGTGAGCTCTTTAGTCTCTCTTTGTCATCTTTGCACTGGGGATAGGGTCTCTTGAGCAAACAAAGTGACTGATTGGATATTAAAACACCCTCTGGTAACCCAGAGCTGCCCAAAGCAAACCTTAGCTTTCCACAGACTTACTCCTTGGTATTTCATTCATCTATAAAGGGTTTTCCACATAAGAAGGGGTACATGGGAATTGAGGTGTATTGAAATCTTTGAGGGCCATGGAGAGTTTGCAAAACTCCTCCAGGTGATTCTTCACCAGCTCTCCACCCACAGCTACCAGTGCACATTCCAGTTGGAAAAAACTGCTGCAAAATAACATCTTTATCATAAGTCCAAGAGTTGACTTGTCAAAAACCCCAACCTGTGTGACCAGGAACAGTAAGCTCATCTTTAGTTTTATCAAGGAGACACCTCACTATCCAAAATCTTTATTGTGCCCAAACACAGGTGGAAAAAAAATGTAAACTGTATTCTGACCCATGGGGGTGAAATAGACAATATGTAGATTAGAGTTCATATGTCCCTTTGCCTGTTAAACTGAGGCATGTTCCAGAAATGGTTTGGGATTATGAAATACAAAAATACACAGGTATATACCATAGATAACTCCACATGTAGGATTATATCAGTGAGATCCTGAGAATGTTCTTGGCGACTGATTACTTCTCTCACAATTCTCCTCTTCACATTCTAGATAGAGGGACACTCTATGTTTCAACAAGAACATAGTTGAAACACAACAATCCTCTCTGGGCCAGTGTCCTGGAGAAAGGGGCTCTTGAGAAACAAATAAAAGGTCTCAACTGCCTTTCCCTCCTCCCCTGGCAGAGTTTTTACCCCTATGACATAAGTTGACTTAGGTAAGATTTAGGCTGGGCATGCTTTCTTCTAAGAAGGCTCTCAGCTTGGAAGGGTAAAGCAGGTCTTTTGAAAGAAAACATGGTAGCTGCTCATGGTTAAGGAACAAGGTCAACAGAGGCCATAAAGCTTTGCTTTCCAAGTAAGAGAACAGACAGGAAGTTAGGCAGAAACCAAAGCAGGGGCAATCAGGGAGCCTGAGGCTGGTATCCATGTGCTCTGCAGAGCCACTGAGCATGGCTGAGCCATGTCCAACCTACATAACCATACATAGCAATTAGCCCTGCTCACATCCCCAAGAAGCTTAAGCCAAAGCAGTAGGTGGCTGGATAGGGACATGGCTTCAGCAGAAGTGAGGGAACCCCAAAGCCTGTTTGATAAAGGGAAGCACCCTCCATTGGAGTCAGAGAATCTAGATTGACAGAGTAGTTCTGATCTGAAGAGAAAGAATAGAACTGAAACCTACAGCAAGAAGAATGTTCAACAATGGGGGAGGAGAGAGAAAAGAAAAAGTTAAATTTGGGACAAGGGATGTGTGATACTGTGATACAATAAACATATATTTGGTATCTGTCCCTGGGCCCTGGCACACAGCTCCTAAAACTCATGAACTCTCTTATGTATGTCTTTTTGTATTGTGATCAGCTTCTGAGATGCGGGTAAGTAGTCTTGAGGAACTGAGCCCTTAACCTGTGGGATCTGACACTATCACCAGGTAGATAGTACCAGAAATGAATTAAACTATAGGACACCCAGTTGGTGTTTGCTGCGGAGTTGCTTGGTGTGTGTGAAAAAATTCACACATACACGATTTGGTGACTAGAGGCGAAATATTCAGTATTGTATTGAGTGTATTGAGGATCAGGGTAGGAAAAACACTTTGATTTTTCCTATTTCAAAAGGATGAAATTAGGGAAACAGAGAAGAAAGGACAAAGACTCAGGATGCAAGAGGAGGCTGATAATAGTAGTATTAGCAGTTAATATTGAGCATTTACCATGTGCCATCTCTGTTCAGTCCTCACAACAAGGGGCAGCAAAGTTTTCCTGTAAAGGGTCAGACAGTCTTGCAGACCACGTGGTCTCTAGCACAGCTACTTGGCTCTGACTCTGTAGCACAAAGCAGCCATAGACGATATGTAAATGAGCTGGCATGGCTGGATTTGGCCCATGGTGACAAGATTTGGCCCAAGGGCCATAGTTTGCCAACCTCTCTGTTCTAAGAGATGGGTGGTATGATTATCTCCATTGTAGACTTGAAGAATGAGGCTTAGTGTGTGGAGAGGGGGTGATTTGGTTTTCTCTTGGCAGGAACACCAATAAAAGGCAAGCATGAGTTGCACCCAGAAGAGACTTGCCCAGCAAACTGGGCAATGTAACATTGTGTACAAGTAACCAACATGTACCTGAAACCCTTCAGATATCCCTCACATTATGGCTGAAAAGATCCTCAAAGCAAAAAAATCAAAACTGTCATTAAATAGACCTTGTGAGTGCTGGCTTTTAGGAGCATGCTGGGGCTGAGGATGCTAGAAAAAAAAAAAAGGAATGAAGGCTGTTAAATCCCCTATGTTGCATTCTTGAGAGGAACATTCTATTGATTTTTTGCTCCTCCCAATGCTGGCAGTACAAAGTCATGCAGGAGAAGACATGACAGGCAGGAAGCAGGCTGTCTTCAGAGCCAGACAGCCTTGCCTTCAGGCTCCTGCTGGACCTACTGACCAGAGTACCATCTTTTGCAGTGAACAGATGGATCCCTGTCTTTTAAGAGCCTGAAATCTAGAACAGAAGGCACATAACAGATTTCACATTATCATGGATCTTCTTGAAGTGGCTTTGCTATGGCATCTTTGAGATTAACATATTGGATCATATAGTTACTGTTGAAGCCTTGCGTTCGACAGTCCTTGAAGGCTAAGGTCTTCTGCTGCATCACAGGGTATTTACAACCCTGACACTGATGAAATAAATATCACAGTGACAGTAATAGAGTCTCTATTTTAATTGCCAAAAGACTGGAAACCTTTACTAACAGAAAAAGAAATTGTGGAAGAAAGCAGAGTCATGGACATTATACTTACACATTTCTGTTTCAGCAAAAATCCTAAGATCACAACTTACTATTATTAGCTATTTTTTTTCAGCTGTGGGAATTCATAGACATAGTCTATGATCCAGACAGGCTCCTTCTTACATTCCTTACCTAAGGAAGCTAAAGCTTATTAAAGTGTCTTTTAATTGGACTTGTTTGACCTAATCCTCCCATAATGCTTCCCTTATCCCTGGAAGGGTATGGTTGATGTGTATTCATCTTTTAGCTGTGATTTCTACTCATGTAATTTGTTGTGTAGATCCTGCATGGTACAATATGATAGCCATTCGCCACATGTGTCTACTTAAGTTAAAATTAACTTAAATAAAATTAAAAATGCATTTCTTCAGTGGTGCTAGCCATATTTTAAGTGCTTAATGCCACATGTGGCTTGTGGCTATCATAGTGGAAGCAAAAGCATCAAACATTTCCATCATTGCAGAAAGTTATCTTAGATGGTACTGTCACTGTAGAATGGCAGCTGTGGAGAGTCTAAGCAGGCATTGCAAAGATGCCCTCCTGGACACCTTCCTGCAAGGACAGTGAGTGATATGTCAGTACAGTGGTTACTTATTGTGATGAAGCTGATGAAAATATATTCATGTCTTCATTGGCCCTTCTAGGGTGCAATACCCGGCTTGATTTAAAATTTACATTTGAACAAGGTAAAAAGTTCATGAAAAAGAGACTGAGAGAAAATATACCAAAATATCAAATCTGATTGTTTTGAGTAATAGGAATATTGGCCATAATTTTGTTTCTGGCTATTTGTAGTGAGGTGTAGACATTTTTTGTCTGCTCCTTCCACAGTGTATGACTCAGGAGTGTTACTTGAATTCCTGGAACCAGCTATGCCTGAAGTCAATCCATTCCAGTTGCACTTTCTTCATTCTGTGAGCCAATTAAGCTGATTTGAGTTGGGTTTTTATTACTACCAAGTGAATACTAATTTTGCTATTTTTTTAATTTCTGTATCTTCTATAATGTTCATTTATTTCTCCTAAAAGTAGAAAAAACAACCTTTGGAAATTGCATGTGATAAACAGTGTGTTCTATTATATTTTGTGTATCATCCATGTACTGATATTCACAAGCTCTTACAAAGCAGTTTTTCTGAATAAGCTAGGAGTGATTTCCAAAAATCCACAAGGAACACAGCATAACATGCCAAAATAACTTTGTTTATTAAAAGGAAATTTGAGGCAACTGTT
Organism: Homo sapiens; assembly: GCF_000001405.40. Lineage (NCBI taxonomy): Eukaryota > Metazoa > Chordata > Mammalia > Primates > Hominidae > Homo > Homo sapiens. Next base: position 204,273,049 of record NC_000002.12, on the reverse strand, counting down.
ATTGCTGAATTGTTTGGAGTCCTGGCAGCAATTCTCCCCAAAAACATGATTTGAACTTCTTCAGTAACTCTTGTTGTCAGACTTGGTTGTAAAATACAGAGTAACATCTCACTTGATCAACAAAACCCAAATTAGCATAATTTATCATTAGAAAGCATTCTCATTTGCTAATCTGGCGAGGTCCAGGGATACTAAATCACAATTTTCCATTTTAACAAATGAGCCCATTTGCAATTCTTCTAACACCCATAGGTTTGGCTGATCAAATGCATCTACCAGACTTGGCTTCAAGCACAGGCTAGAGGGAGTTTGCCCTGGGATGATATTTTGGTTGGCGATGCTATTGAAAAGATTTTAAATTACCCCATTTTGCAAATCCTTCTTCTCTCTTAATTGACTAGCCAGCAATAGTCACATAGGTATTTATATCTCTCACCTTGTTTACAACTCTGTTAAGCATCAAATATCAGTGTCCCCTTGTCTATAATTGTTGAGACACCTAGTGAAAAGCAGAAAGAAAATAGCACATTGCCAAGGCCGCCCATAGTGGATCCTCCTTCAGTTATTCCTCCGTGTTTTCTAGGCTCTTTCACAGATCTTTTGGCAGTGGGCTTGACTGGGCCTTTAAACACATTAATCCTTTCCTTGAAGTCACACATTCCACAGCTTGCTTAGAGGTGGCTCCAATGGCAGGATAATGTTGGTTGGAATGTGCTGCCTGCTGGCCCCTCAGACTCCCCCCTAGAGACTTGTCACTTGTTTGCTGTAGCAACTACTACTGTGATATTTTGCTCCCTCTCCAAAGGGGAAGACTGATCTGCCTACAGGGTCATCTAAGGGCAGGACCATTCGCAGCTGTGCAGAAGGAAGTGCATGACATGAACCCACGAGATGCTCTTAGTACCTGTAGCCTGTCTTCCTGCTATTGTTACTCCATGGATTTTCCCTTTGGGTATCCAAACCACATGACTTCTCATCTTTCCTCTGCCAGACTGGTTCCTTTTTTCTCAGCAGCCTCTCATTTTGTGTCCAAACCCTACAGAGGGTATGGATTGTATAAACCTGGTATTTCTCTGGGCCATCGTCTCATGTGAACAATACTGTTGTCATAAAGGTGTACGTTTGTCAAAGGGTCTTTATATTTGCTATCTCATTTGAGCTTCACACCCTCCCTGAGAACTGGAGAAGGTGGAATTACAGTCCCTATTTTAGAGATGAAGAGGCTATTACATTTTTTTCTACTTAAAATCTAATAGGACTTCCTTATTCTTTTTCACTTGACTTTTTGACTCTGAGGCTTACCATGAACAAACACTCCAAAGGAAAGAAATGGTTGTGAGGCTTCATAATCCTAAGAAGAGTCACAGATAATAGAGATAGTTTATCAATATTTCCCACCATCAAAAAAACAAAAAAGGTTTTATTAACTATCTGTAGCTGGGTACTCTTGTATAACTGCTTTAAGGAAAATAAAAATGTGTTCTTCTCATTCTGTTTCCCACTGGGAAAAATAGTTGTACAGTCTGAGTATTTTTACAATTAATAATAATTGTCACTCATATTTATTGTGGTATTTTCCTGCATGCTAGGCACTGTGCTAAATTTCTCACATAGATTATATCATATAATCCTCACAACAATCTTTTGAAACATTTATTAAGGAAAATAAAGACTAAAATGACATTATTAAAGAATGTATGAGAGGCAATTTCACATCTGATTAAAAACTTGGAATTTGGAACTAGACTGGCTAGGTTCAATCCCTGCCCTCTCATTTACTAACTTGCTGTGCTGCAGTTTTCTCATGTTAAACTGGGATAATAATAGTACTTACCTTGAGGATTATTTTGAGAATGAATGGGTTAACATGTTTACACACGTTAAGTATTATACTTTAAAGCACTTAGAACAGTGGCTGGCCCAAAGAAAATGGTACATGAATGTTGCTGTGGTTATTACACAGCTGTGTGACACTTAGCAAGTTAACTAATCTCTCTGTGCCTTCCTGTCTCAGTTTTCTTTCATTTGCAAAATAGAGATAATAACATTGCCTGTCTAATAGGGCAGTTTTGAGTTTGAGGGAGACAATTCTAAACTACTACTGTCTGGCACATTGTAAAGGTTCAATTAATGTTAGCTATTACTGTCAGGCCTCTGAGCCCAAGCTAAGCCATCATATCCCTTGTGACCTGCATATATACATCCAGATGGCCTGAAGCAACTGAAGAACCACAAAAGAAGTGAAAATAGCCAGTTCCTGCCTTAACTGATGACATTCCACCATTGTGATTTGTTCCTGCCCCACCCTAACTGATCAGTTGACCTTGTGACATTCCTTCTCCTGGACAATGAATCTCAGGAGCTCCCCACCAAGCACCTTGTGATCCCTGCCCCTGCCTGCAAGAGAACAACCCCATTTAACTGTAATTTTCTGCTACCTACCCAAATCATATAAAACTGCCCCACCTCTGTCTTCCTTTGCTGACTCATTTTTTGGACTCAGCCCAACTGCACCCAGGTGATTAAAAAGCTTTATTGCTCAACCAAAGCCTGTTTGGTGGTCTCTTCACATGGACTCAGGTAGCAATTACTGCCTTAGGTCCTAAGCTGATATATTTGGGAACTTAAGTAGTCACAAGGAATCCATGCTCCACAAGTAAAGCTCTCTGAACACCAGACCACTCTTAACTATATTTAAGTGGCTGGGTTCATCAGAGTTTTGAGATAGTTGCACACAAACTCAATTTTAGAAAGGTAAACAAAACTACTTACAAAATTACTTGCGAATGAAAATAACCCAGAATCTGACCACTGTCGGTGAAGTCAGTCCTATTGCTTCTCCTTCACCAGGCAGCTCAACCAGCTTAGCTTATCTTCTTGGTTAAAAACTACTTCTTGTAAGGAAGGTGGTCCTCAAAGTTGCTGCCCGTAATTGTAGCATTTGGCTTTTTAAAAGGTCACAGCCTTTGGCAGAAGGGATTGGGCAGCATAGTCAGCCTCTCAGGGATTTTGAAAACTTAGGTACCAAACAAAAGCACAGACAGACTTGCCCAATTAAACCTCCTATCGGAAGAACATACGGAATATGGGTGTTGAGAGCGAAGAGGAATCAGAACACATGCAGAGCTCGAAACTGCTCCTGGGTTTGGAGGATCAATGTGTATCGAGAAAGGGCTGTGTATGGGCTACCAACCAGCAGAAGCACGTCTCAGAGCCCAGGGAGCAGGTGTCTGGCACCTCTCGGATCTGGAGCCGGTTTCCACCTCAGCTGACATTCAGAAGGCATAATGGCAGTGCGTATCTCTGCCAAGGATATGTATGGGATTTATACAGCCTGTGCCCACCTACCTGCTCCATGTGGAAATTTGCTCTCCCGCCCACCCAATTAAGAAAATGGGATGTAGAAGACCAGAGGGAGGGATGGTTATTCTATTGTGGTTGGTTTCAGTCACAAAGTTTGTTTTCTAGCAGAATTCTGGGTTGCCACCTTCCTGGGAAACAAAACATATAACAAACGACCTCAATGTGAATTGTCACCCCTTTTCCCCTCCAAAACTTCACAAAATTAAGAATCTTCACCAAACACCACCTGCAAGTCCCCAGAGTGACCTCTGGTTGGTCAGAAATCCAATATTGTGACAGCATCAACAAAGAAGATTAGTCTGTACTGGTTTTTGAGATCGGGTGTTGAATGAATAAAAGTCAGGGGCAGAAGCTTGCTCTTCTTTGTTTAAAGCCATGTCAGAGCATGCTTTGAAAGTGCTTGACTTCATGCTTGATGGGGCTTGCTCTGAGCCAGGCTCTAGAATGGATTGGTACTCACAGGCCTTTTGAGTCTCCTGCATGGAATTTCATTACTGAAATTCTTCAGGTCATTTCCCATGGAAGTCATTACCCTCATGACACGCACTGTGGAGGGCTGACTCGGAGAGCTGCCACTGTCCCCTCCCAGGGTTGTGAGCAGCACCTTCCAAACTCCAGGGGTGACAGATCTGTTGCAAGAGAAGAGGTGCTATTTTTCTTGAAACAGAATTTGTTCCCCTGGAGAGATGAGTGCCAGCAGCCTGGGAGGGGCTGATGACTGGAACAAAATTCCTATCAACAAAGACTCTGTGGGACATGATGGGGAGACCCAAATGTGTCCTCTAAGCCAAGGTGTAGATGAGTCATTGGTTCTTTTGCTTAGCAAGTTCTATGGGCCTTTTACTGCTGTGAGGAAAATACATAGAAAACACACTATCAGAACCACTTCTATAAAAGATCATTGAATCACAGTGTGACAAAATATCTAAATATGTGGCAAAATTCTTCCAAAGTTTAGACTTAACACAAGCACAGAAGTCGCCTTTGTCCAAAAGCTTTGCAACTTTAAGCACCATGGCGCCATACTGCTTCCTAGTGGACGTGACCCAGGCTGTGGTTTTTGGTACTTGCCTGCTAGAGATATAATTTGTTTAACATCAGTTTTTATTGATACGGTGAAATCTATAGCCTTTGCATTAGCAGAACCATTAGTAAGTTGGGCTCTGAAGGTCTGAGCAAATGAAGCCGAGGCTTCTGTCCAAGACATGCTGAGTGAGCTGGGCTTCTGACGCTCCCACCTGGCAAGCTGTCTCCCATTTGTTTTCTCACCCACTTGGAAAGAGGGACTTGGGATTTGGTGCTGGTGGTTGAATTTTTCAAACCCATTTAACATTCAGGAGTAACTGTGGCTTTTTAGAGGCAGAAATGCATCCTGCCAGAGCTGGCATTTGGACTTGAGCTGTAACTTCAAAGTTTCTTTGATCCAAGCCCTCACCAGTACCTGCCATCCCCGATTGGAGTGCTGAGTGATCAGTGGCACTGCTCGTCCACTGAAGACACTGAGTAATTGGAAAGGCACGTGACGGGTTCCCATTGCGATAAAAAAAAAAAAAAAAATGCTCCATGCTCTACGAGTTTGTATCAGTTAACATGGTTGCAATTAAGAAATCGCTTTGTGATTTTTGCCAGTTTTAATGGAGAAAAATTAAAAGAATCAAAGGAAGCTTCAAATGCATCTAAAACTGAAGTATGTTTTAAAGCCCCCAGTGAGTAATTTTTGTGCCACTTCTTACAAAATTATTCAGGAGACTGTGAGTTCCTTGAAAATAAGAGTGACAGCACCGTTCTCTCTGGTCTTGATGGCATGATAATGCCAGCTGCCTCTTCTGTGTTTATGACATGTTGGCTATATGAGGAATTCATGCTTTAAAAATATAATACTTTGAAATCCTAATTACAATATTTAGGACCTCTGGATGTCTTGTCTTGTTGATAATCTGTTCAACTTACTGAATAAACATGAACATACTAAAACAGCATTTTGTTAATATAGATCTCTGACCTCTTTTCTGAACCCCTTGAGGCCATGTGGGTTGAAATTCAGGATTTTTTAGATTTTTAGAAAAAGGAATGATTCTGGCAAATATGTCATTTATTACCTAACACACCAAGGGATATCTGGAGCTCTTTATAATCAAACATTCATACATTTGCAGAGGTGCATATGAATAGCTGCCCTTAGTGAAGCTGAGCCTCCATGTGAAGGTGACAAAGAGATATAAATATAAACAAAGGTTCTAAATAGTCTTGTGTCAGTTCCAGTCACATTTCCTGCCAAATGAGTTAAGAAAAACTTTTGTTTATCAGAGCTTTTTGGATTCTGGAATTATGAAGAAGGAATTGTGGGCCCATATTCTGTGTGGAATCTGTCCCCCGCAGGATTGTCAAAATTAGGAATGATTTACTGTGCCATTTTTGCTAATTTCTCCCTATTGATATATCTTAAAGTACAACTTGAATCAAAGTCTCCTATATAATAAGTTCCTCTAAGGAGCTAGTAGGCACCTTAGGAAGTTACATTTCAAGCTTCTTTCTTTCATCTGCAAATAGGTTAAACCAAACTGCTATTTTCCAATGTAGAACATTCTTTTGATTCATTCATTCATTCATTCATATGAAACATTTATTTAACACTTGATATGTGCAAGAAATCATGCTAGATTCTGACATAATCCACAAATGGTGTGGAAGTAATAGTGAGTAAAAACACCAGAATGCAGGAATTAAAACCACTGAGCATAACATTCATGAAAAAATCAAACTTAGGAGATAGCCACTTTGAATCAAGGCAGCCAATATTATTGAAACAAGAGACCTGGCCTCTTGAGTTTCCCCAGACATCACACGACGGAAGATGCTTTTACTCCTAGCCACAGTCAGGAGGCAGTGATATTACTGAAGGGTAACCTTTGCCATTCTAAAGAAGCAAGCAGGAAAGAAGGAGACACTTAGACAGATGTCACCTTCACGCGGAGGCTCAGAGCTGAAGGAGGTCATGCCAGAACACTCCAGAAGCTGTTATTTGGGGATAGAAAGGGATAAAACACAGCAGACAATATTACTAATCTCTAATACCTGGGAAGCTTTAAGAGGGACAATCAGATTAGTCAGGGACCTTGGGTTACTGTTTTCAGGAGGACAAAATCCTCACAGTCCCCCGTTCTTACCTAATCTTTGCCTATGGTATGTCGTAATTAATATCCATGACTTCTTCAAAATTCATTGAGAGAGAGAGAAGGAAAAATTACTTCTCCGAGGTTTAAAAAATCAAGGAATGAAATAAAGATTTCAGAGATATTATGTGGGGCAAAAAGGGCACTAGAATGTATGGGGGCGGTGGGGGGGTGGGGAACAAGAAAAGGTTACTGGGTAAGAAGAGACAAGACATTGACCTTAAGTGGACACATGCACCAAACTATAAATTAAACACATCCTTCTCTGTGTTGCAGAAATCTCCCTGGTTCTTTCAAGGATGCCTGGGTTGCGAACGGTGCTACAGGATGGGTAATGACAAAGTGGCTTATTCCCAGGCCCTGGATGTCGCATGGGAGTGAGCAGATGAGGCCAGCGGCAGCCTCCCTGGGCTGCCATGTGGTGGGCTGGGCTCATGAAGAAACCCTTTGTTCTTCCTCTCAGTTGCCACTACAGTTGCTCTGTGTTTTATTTTCAATTAAATTTCTACTAATCCCAAACTACGGAAAAACATAGCTGCTGGCATTCTTCTTTCCCTTCTGAAAGCAATACAGTCTGCAGAGAAACTTTTCATTGTACAAGCCCCGCCTTGTACACACCATAAAAGACGCATATGCCACCGGTTTGCCGACAAGTGCTTTCAAAAAGGTGCTTAATGGGCCCCTGGACCCTGGGCTTCCAAGGCAGCCAGTGAATAGTGCCTCTTGTTAGGGCAGTTGCTATAGCAAGCCCTTGTTTTTAATTCAATTGCACAGTAAATAATACTTTACACATGGTGGGAAACAAATGGTCACTTTAAATTGCTTACTCTTCATGTGGTCAAAAAGGGGCATTTATGCTTTGAGTAATGGAGTAGAGCACCTGCTTCTTCAACACATTTGGATTTCAACTTTTTCCCACCTTGCAAGGTATTGAGGCATAATGTGTTCTAAACACTTGTATCGATGTGAAATGGGATTTTATTAACATTGTTAAAAATCAAGTTTTACAGGAACACTTCCTAGTTTGTTTGGACTGAGGTCTAGATGGGAAGTTGTATTTCTTTCTCCTCCACAGACCCTCTAAGCTCTACATTCCTTGACATTGAAGAGATGTTTGTTCCCATTTAAGGGACTTCAGGGAGAAAACTGTAGCACCAAGAAACAGAAAATATGGTTTGGTAAGCATCTGTGTCACATGATAAATAGTCGACAGCTTGGGGAATATCTGATTGTTCTGGAAACCTAGAAAAATGGGAATGGGCTGAAAGAAATCAGAGGGAGACAGAAAGGGGGCACCCCTCCTGGTAACCCACAGCTGGGGTGGGGGTCAGGAATTGTACACTTCTGGGGAATAATTATAAAAGGAACATAGAGGTTAATAAAATGGGGACATACTCCTCTCTCTAGACTCAGAAAGGTGAAAATTACTTATCACCTGCTAGAGTGGATGTGAGAACGGGCCTGTGACCAAGTGTGTGGCAGGGAATATTTTGTAATGGGTAAGCAATCTGAAATAAAGCCTGCAACAGGCTTCCCCGGGCTTCCTCACAGAGCAGCATCTTGTGGCTGCTGACTCCTCATTAGAGGACAACAGCTGTTTCTCACTATAATTAGCTCACAGTTCAATAGTTAGCTCCAGTCTCTTACACCTGTACCACACGCAACATGGAAATTACAGAAGCACATGTTGTTTTTTTTCTTAAATCACCTCCACTTACACACATTGTTAAGCATCTAATAGAAAACAACCGTCCCTTCCCTAGTTCTTTTCCTCTTTGGATTGCTTTTTAAGAGCAAGTTGGGAAAGTCTTTGTTTTTATGGGCCCCAGTTCCCATTTCCAATCTCACCTCCATGCTCCACAACCCCCCTGAATTAAAGAAGGTCTCCAGCGTTGTCAATCAACCCACCATGCACCAGGCCATAAAATCTTATTTTCAGCCACCTGCAGGATGATGGAGGGAAGAGGAAACCGAACTGAGGAAGAGGCGGGAGCAGAGCTGCAGCCGGCCGCTGAAGATGGTTTCAACAGAATTCTTTGGCGGGTGGAAGGGTGCGGAGTCTCGGGTCATTTCCTGCGAGGTCTGGGCTGTATGGGGGGAATCTGTAATAGCACTGCCTCACAGTTCCATTAGTGTCAGAACTCATTAGGAGCCCAATCCACTCGACAGCGGTGGGCACACAAAAGAAAGAACCAGCCAAAGTCTGCAGACTGCGGAGTAGTTGTTACAATTTGGGGGCAGGCGGGAAGGAGGGATTGTAAAATTCCCGACTGGGTAATTAGAGTCAGCAGGGGAGCAGATAGGCGATAGCAGGCCTTTCATTTCTCTCCTGGCTGTTTTAAAGGATTGGCAGGGGCTGCTTTCTTCCAGGGGTGAGGCGATGTGTCATAATTCACAAAGAAAAATGATCGTCAATTTGTGCCCTGTTCCTGGGTTAATGCGAGGAGGCGGACTGTGGTAACTATTGTTATTAGTATCCGGTTAGGGCAAGGAGTGGAGGGTGGCATGAGGCAGCTGGCTTGGGTGTGGTTAACCAAAGAAACTTAGTTGATTAGCTGACATCTAATCAATTAATATCACAGGTTCACGTTCCTCAAGCACTGGGTAAGAAAACTTGTGAAGGCTGTGGAGGCGTGACAAAATATGGCAGCAGTATTCTCTATACCAACTTGCTTTGGCATTACAGTACGATTTTCTTCAAATTCAACTGCAGCAGCAAAGCTAATAGGTGATGAAGCTGAAACAGACACAAAATGGTTCACTCTGGCTCTTGTGTTTTCATTTGATGACAGTTTCATAAAATATAAAAACTCATCCACCCAAAAAGGATTTTAAAAATTTTTTGTAACTGAGGCATAATCTAGGTGCAATAAAATTCATCTATGGTTGTGGGTGCCTGTAATCCCAGCTACACAGGAGGATGAGGTAGGGGGATTGCTTGAGCCCAGGAGTTCAAGTCTAGCCTGGGCAACACAGTGAGACCATGTGTCTACAAAAAAAAAAAAAAAAAAAAAAAAATCCATCTGTTCGAAGTGTGCAATTTCATGAGTTTTGACAAACATGTGCCTTTGTGTAATTATCACTACAGCCACGTTCAGAACATTTCCACCTACCCCAAATGAGTTTTCTCCTGCCCTTTGCAGCCAATTCTCTTTCCCAACCCCAAGTCCCAGCCCCAGACAACCACTGATTTGATTTTAGTCATTATGATTTTGCCTTCTCTAGAATTTTATACAAATGGAATCACACAGGATACAGCCTTTTCATTCTGGCCCCTTTCAGCTCGTGCTTTCAAGATTCTTCTGTGTTGTTGCATTTTCAGTGATCGGTTCCTATTGCCTGCTGCGTTGTGTTCCCTTGTATGAACGTACCACAGATTGTTTACCTGCTTGCTAGCTGAGGACATTTGGTCTGCTTCCAGTTTGGTGTTATTGTGAATAAAGTGGGTATGAACATTTAGGTACAAGTCTTTATAGGTACATGTGTTCATTTCCCTTGTCAATCTTCCCTTCTGTTATCAAATAGGAAAATAAATAAAATCAGTCTCCTTGACTGATCATCCCACTGGTGATAGAGTGTCTGTTGACCTAGCTGAGTTATGGGAACCAGTATAATTCTATATGTTTCCGAACGTGGCAACAGGGAAAGAAAAGTGGTGAAGGAATGAGAGTTACAGCTGCCACCTCTCAAGGAGGCATTCAACAGAGACCCTGGAGTTCCAGATAGTCTTCCTGTGTTCGTGACTGTGTATGATGTGGCCAAATTTGAAATCAGTGTGTAAAGCTTGTATAATTTCCAAAACAATAGAACTCCATTAAGCACCAAACTCAAAACTTTCTTTGAATAGCTTATAATCTAAAAACTCTAGTGATTATAAAGCTACACACATATCAAACGGAAGTACAAAAAGCGAGAAGATGGCCGGGCGCAGTGGCTCATGCCTGTAATCCCATCACTTTGTGAGGCAGACGGGGGCGGATCACCTGAGGTCAGGAGTTCGAGACCAGCTGGTCCAACATGGTGAAACCCCGTCTCTACTAAAAATACAAAAAATTAGTTGGCATGGTGGTGGGTGCCCATATTTCCAGCTACTCAGGAGGCTAAGGTAGGAGAATCACTTGAACCCAGGAGGTAGATGTTGCAGTGAGCCGAGATCATACCACTGCACTCCAGCCTGGACGACAAAGTGAGATTCTGTCTCAAAAAAAAAAAAAAAAAAAAAAAAAGAGTGAGAAGAAATAAAGCTGAGGCACTTCATTGGAGCTTCATTAAAATTACATTTCTGAAGACCTTGGGGAATGGACTACCAGACACTGACAGGAAAGCAATGAGATGCTTTCCCAAAAAAAGCCTATAGAAGTTAAAGGACAGAATGGTCCATTTTTGTATTCTGAAGCTACCATTCGAATAACAAATTGGCTCCGTTTGTGTGTCAAAACACATGGCAAACTGCCTTGCTTTGCTGAATTGACTCTTAAAAAGCCAAGCCATGTTCTTTCGGCTTTATACAGCAGCAACGTGAAAGGCTGTGAAGCTGTGACAGTGCCTGAGTGGATGCCCTGTGGAGGAGACTGGGAGGCAGCTGATTCTCCTATTGCTCTTTGTGGGCCCACTAGTTGGCCTTCATAAAAATGACCTTTGTGCCAGCAGCAATCATGTCTTTCACTCCTCCCAAAACTAGAAAGGCACAGAAACAAGAAACCCTTCTAAGCATGCATTTTTAAGCCAAAGCTTCATTTTCAAGAACACCTGAAACCCAAATGATTCTGCTTGCATTCTGTCTCCTTAGCTCCTTTGTCAGGGTCCTGACCTTAACTCTGTTATTATACAGTTTGGAATTTCTGGAGCCCAGGTTTACCCTGAGGGAAAATAAGAAAACAAATAAGCTTTAAAAAAAATTTTTTTGACCTAACCCTACATCCTAAGGTCACCACTGAAATACATCAGATTCAAAATCTACAAGGTCTTAAGGTCAAGCTCACAGGAAAGTCAGGAAAACTAGAAGCTGTGAAGGACATAGATCTGCTGAATATATTAAGCTCGCATATGTGTGTGTGTGTCTGTGTTTTCTAATCCTCTAAGGTAAATTTATACCAATCCATACAGATGTACTCTTTTCTGTTTATTATTCCCAATTGTGTAATGGAGGTTAATGTCATACAAAGGGGAAAAAAAAGTCTGGAGTTTGACAGGCACTCCCCCTATTTTGTTTTAAGGTGAAACAAAGAAAATGAAAGCTTGTTCTTTGGGCCAGGATTTCTTGCTCCCTAATTCTACCCAGACTGGATCGTCTTAAATCTGATTTGGGATTTGAGCATTATTTGGATTAGCTCATTAGTGGGGCACCATTCTGACAAGCCACTAATCTGGGGCACTGGTGCACAGCACCATGACAGTATTATGCTGAAAATGAGAAATCTAACGAGATTAGACAGATCCTAGTGCAAATGGTCTAAAGGTATTTTGCATGGAGATCCATGAGCTGGGGAATGCAGGAGGCAGGCAGATGGAGGCATCAGACTCAGTTGAGCTAGAACACAGCAGCTGCAACACCCAGAGTGATCTTCTGCTGAAAGGCAGCAATGTCACACCTTTTCTAAGCAGGTTCTGTGGAATATCAAGCAATTGTCAAGATTAAAAAGTAATAATAATAATAAATAATTAGGTGGTGGACAGGGGGCAGTGGGAGGAGCTATGAACAGAGAGGGAATTTTATTGTAAGACTCGCATGCAGTTTCGTGTCCCTGTGGTGGGAGCAGGAACAAGTTACAGGGTAAGAACTAATTGGCAGCTGGGACCAGCAACCTGTTATGTTCTAAAGTTACTCGCCCAGTACTGGTTGTAGAGAAAAGCTCCACTGTTGCTTTTTCCTCTGGTACAGTTATTTTCTTTCCTCCCATTAACCTGTGATTTTAGTTGTTTTTAAGCTGAACCAAACATACTGGTTCCCTTCTGCTTAGAATGGGGCTGTTGCTAAGATCAGAAAATGCTGAACTCCAACAACGCGTGATTTATAATGTCCAGATGTGGCTATGGGGCAGCAGACAACACACAGTGGAAGGGGACTTTGTGTCTCCCCCATCCCTTTCCCTCCTCGTTCACTCAAAGAGGAAACAAAAGTTTCCATGGCATTTTCTTGCTTGTAAGTGGAAAATCAAGCCATTAGCAGAGCCCAGGAGTTGGCCCCCTGGGATGTAATTCCTTCTTCATATTGTGCTCGTCTGCCACCTCGTGGTGACTTTTAGGACTCCATGAAAGACCCGCTTGTTAATATAGCTCCCCCACCCCATTTAGTGCCCCTCCTAGAAGAAGCCTAGAAGAAAATTCAGTCTCAATCCATTGTATGGATCATCTTTAAAATGAGCATGTGCAAGACAAAAGCAAATGCATTTCAGTACATGTTCATTACATACAAAATCAAGCACATGGCTTCTTTTGTATTCTTCCTTGCCAGGCAGTGAACGAGCATTTTGACTTAAAAGTCAAGAATTATCATCTAAGTATTTAGAACTGAATTCAAGACAGAATTCTACTTCCTTATTTTACCTTTTCACATGTGTTTAGGGATTTAGAGGAGAAACTCAGCCAGAAACTAATGGATGATACATTTTAATGGAGTGCCTCTGTTTGTTTTAAGTATCTTAATCAAGTGTGGATGAAGACCTTAAGGGGTATTGGAATAATTCAAGAATGCTGGTCCCAACATAAGAAGGTGAAGCAAAGTCATCACAGACATATTCCTAGTGTCATAGAATCATTAAACTGTCTAAAGCTGAGAAAAGGATTCCAATGAAGAGAGAGTAAAAAAAAAAATTCCCTGAGAAATGTATCTTCCTAAACACATTTTAACCCTCCCTGCCAGAAACAAAAGGCAAGTCCAAAACAGTTGTCAGAGTCCAGAGTCTGAAAAAACAGAGTTCTAAGAATCACTGGGAGATGATTTGGGGCACTATTCTAAATGTTACTCTTATAAACCAAGCATGAATTATCTGTAAGGTTTCAAGTATCCTAAGCCAAAAAGAAAGCTGAAAAAGGTGGACTACCCCACATTTTTGGTGATATAGAGAGGAATGGTTCATGCTTCAAAAGACTATTCTAAACATAATTGCTTACAAGAACTTAGGCAGCAAGGAAAAGAGAGGTTTTTAAGTTTTCCCTTTGGACAAAATCCATTGTAGATTTTTGCTTTTTTGCTTTTTCTTCTTGAGATTCATGAAAACCCTTTGTCATTCAACTGTGGCTGAGCAGTAATCTATTGTTTCACTTAAACACACACCAGAAGAGATGATGTTGATTAATCAAAGTAGAAGAAGTAGATATGCTTTGAAAACAAAAACCCTGTTAGTGCTTCAAAATGAGTGTCCATTGGCCATCAGGAACTCTGTTGCTAGGGAGATGGTTCCCAGGCATAGGTGCTTTTATGGCTGCTGCATTTAACTGGAGGCATAGTCCCCTGACAGCTTGTTTGATGACCTTTGGACTGATGTCATGAATGAAAGGTTTTCAAATATTTAAGTTTTCCTGTGTGTCTTAGCATGAGGGGATTGTGCTGGTGTGACTGCTTTTCAAAGGCAAAACTAGGAAAGGAGAAAAGAAAAAGTGGGGATACAGGAGAACATGATCAGATAGCCATGTTGAAAATGGGTGGTGTCAGGGAGGCATGGACAATAATGTGAGCTCAGAGACAACACACCCTGCTGGTCACTGAAACAAGACTTGAGTTGGGAGCAAGGCTGTCCCACGACTACAGAGAAACCAACATGATGTGACTTGTATTAATCATATTTTATTAAGGAATGACCATGTGCCAGCTTCTTATGTACTTCATCTCATTCATCCCCACTCTCACCCAACCCAACATGAGGCCTTATTGTCAACACTTAACATGCAAGAATACCAAAGCTGAGCATCAGAATAGTGAAGGGCCTTGCCAAATGATAATATATTGATTATTATTATTACTATCATTATTATTTTGGTCTGATCTCAAACTCTTGCCTACCTCCAATTATCTTCCTCCAGGGACTTTCATAGGACTTGAAATTTCTGGGATTTAGTAGCAAGCATTTACCAACTGACACTACCCCCGTGCAATGAAATATTTTTGGATGAAATGTGTATAGGTGTGTATGCACACTCAATATAATTGCAGACACGTCGTACTGTTAGTGGAACTCAGATCCTGATGATGCAAAAATAGTAAAACATTTTGACTGAAAAGTTGAAGACTAAAGAATATTGAGGGTAGGTGCTGAGGAGGAAACTTTCCAAAACTAGAACATTGGACATAGAATCTGGATGAATTTCAGATGGTTGAAGATAGAATCTTTTCTGGTCTGAAGGTTGGAAAGCAACTGTCACCAAAGAGATGATCGAGTTGACTTTTGATAGATGCAAGGAATCAAGTAAGATCTGGTTATGCGTATTGTCCTAGGAAGGCAAACAGACCTCAGTGAGGCAATTAAAAAGGGACCGTTTTATGAAAATGGCAGTCAATGATTTGGATTGGGGGAGAATTGGGTGTTTCCAAAAGGGAAGTGTGTGTGCATGCATGCAGTGAGGAGCATGGGACTGGAGTAAAAATGGAAGGTGACGAAAACAGAGGGGAAAAGCAGCTGAGAGTCAATGAAGCTTTCTTTACTACTTTGCTGAGAATCCATTCACGCTAATATGTACTACACATATTCTGTCATGGACATCCTGTCCCTTAACTGAGAAAGAAAAACAAAGTTGTAGCATATTTGCATTTTGTGATTACTTTGTGAGAAAAAAGTGCCATGTAGGTAGGTCAAGGTAGCACAAATGGGAAGAAATACATGTATTTTTCAAAGTCAGTAGAAGGCAAATGCCATTCAGAGGAGCTCAAGCCCTTTATTCCAGCCTAAATGCAGGAGGGGAGTGGACATTCCCGCCAGGCCTAGGGCTCTGTGGGACTTTGTAGAGGCTGGGGGCTGCAGCTGCAGAGAGGCAGGCATGAATATACCAGGCCATGAGGCTCATTAGGAAAAGGTAAGGCCTTGAATTACGATTATAGCCTGGGAATGACACATCTCATTCATTCAGTGAGTTACTTACCCTCTGGATTGAGTTCATGGACCTATGAGTCACACAAACACATGTTTCTTGATCTTTGAGGACAGGAGGAGGGTAGAAAGCTGTGCCACATGAAGAGAGAGAGGGGAAGGGTGGGGACAGGCTGCCCAAAGTTTCCAGGCCTCATTGCACAGGTCTGCTTCACAGGAGGACCTTCTCCTCCTCCCGGGAGTCTTATCCCCACATAAGGGTTAAGAAGCCAGGCCTGCTTTGTCTGGTATAAAAACCTGCCAATTGCCAAAAACTCTGGATGAGGCTGGCAGGGGTGAGGTACATACCAGAAGGGAAAACAACTTCCTCTTCAGCAATTTGACCTTTCTTCCATTTGGGGAAGATATGTGTGTGTGTGTGTGTGTGTGTGTGTGTGTGTGTGTGTGTAAAAAGGAAGTAGTGGTGTGGGGGTGGGCAGAGGCTATCTGCTGGCAATGAAATTACTTTTGTGCTTTTACCCAAATCGCACCAAAATTGGACAAGTAATTTACTGACCATCATGTGATGCCTGCTTCTCTGATAATGATCTACTAGGGTATCCTGCTTTATAGGGGGAAAAGGTAACAGCTTATATGCAGATACTTCCCTGCTGTTTTGGTGTCTTAGTAAAAAATCAAACCGCTCTGCCTTCAGTCCCATCTAAAGAAAAACATCACTTGCCTCCAACAAGTAGAATACATTTTCCCAGCTGATTGATGCTTTTCCATTTATTTTATAATGTATTTTTTTCCTCAGCAAGGGATTGTTCTCCAGAATGTCAAGGAGGAAATATTTCCCAAATCATGTTCTGTAATTGGCTGATTTGGACCTAATCAGCTAGTACAGACAGTGAGGTGGGGAGATGGGGAGGTGGGAATGGAGGGAAGCAGTGATTTGTCACACCGGTGCTCCAGCTCTCGGTAAGGAGGTGCTTTGTAATGCCAGCCTGCCAGGTCTCTAGGCCACAATCACAGTACCCTCCCCTCGCCACTCCACTACCCTCCTACTATCCATGTCTCTATCTCTGTCTCTGTTTCAGTCCCTCCTACCTCCTTCCCTCCATCTCTTTTTCACACACACACACACACACACACACACACACACACATCACACATGCCCTACCTCTTCAGATCTATCACTGACAGAACAGTTATTAAACAAAATCTCAGCCCAGGGAATTAATAATCTCAAAGATTCATTTCTTTATCAAATGTTGTGGCCTGAAGGAAGAGTACTTTGTGCTTGCAGAAAGACTGAAGTACATTAATTACCCGCAGGGAGGGGATGGGTTTGTGATTTTTTTAATACTTGCCAAATGAGTAGCACAACAGCCTGTGTGTGACAGAGAGAGATCTCAGGAAGTGTTTGCAAACACAGAGAGGTTACAAACCTGCTTTCTGAGGGCTTCATCATCCTATGGGGGCTAAAGAGGTTTTCTGGGCAGGAGGGGGTGTGAGGCAGGGAGTGAGGGTGGGGGTGGTGCTGGCTGGTGGTGCCCAGCCATAGATTGAAAAGGAAAGACCTTGGAAGTGTCATCAGGAGATCTTTAAATCTGAGAGTTTGATAGCTCTGCTGCCTTTGCAATCAGCCAGAGAAGTGGGCAGCGAGCTGTGGGGAGATTAAGAGAGTCAGGGAAGAAAAGAGCTCCAGATGTGAACTATAGGGTGTTTAACTACATTATAAGTTGTGTAATTCTTGAAGCTCAGCTCTGGGCTTGCAGTCATTTCGGCAGTAGCTGTCATCCAAGAGTATGCAATCACCCATGAAGTATATGATGTTTGGGCAGGAAATAGCCTCTCTTTGTTCCTCTTGACCTTATTCACTGGGACACTTGTGACTTGTCACTCTTGTGATACAGGAGGAAAGAGAAGTCAGGGGCTTGTGGGAGAACTCAAATCAGTGCATCTTGGTAAGAAATGCAGGGTGGCCTACTCCCTAGTTATCAGGATCACAAACTTAAATTGTCAATTTGAGCAAAGCCATGATCATCATCACCAAGAGTGTCTTCCTTTAGTGTCTGCATTTCCTATTCCAAATTTCTGATTATTGTGTGAAATATGCTGCCCTAGAAGTTTTCTTCCTGGTAGCTGGTTTACAATTACAAATCAGAGCCACTTGTTCGCTGTGACTCCTATTACAATCTCGCTGAGTGTCTGTGGGTGGCACTCAGGTTAATGTCTGAGAAGTTGAGCAGTCTGGATGATGACCCGGGGGTAGCTCTTTACCAAGGGGGGATGGGAGCTTGTGACACATGCTCCAGCCTCTGCCTTTTGAAAGATATTTCTGGGAAGAGTTCCTTATACTCCCCAGAAGTCCCAGCGAACGGAGCTCCCATTGCCTACAGCAGCAACCTTGATAATGTGCCTTCCTGTTGGCTTTTCCTTTCCTGTCTCAGGTTCCCCACCTCCTTGCTCCTGCTTTTGTGATCATCTCCCAAATAAACTAGCTCCACCCAAGTCCATATTTTTGGCTTCATTTTCAGGGGAAAACAACCTCAGACAGCCACTGTTTAACAAGCAAAAGGGCACCCATAGAGGTGACTGAAGCCTTCACTAATGCTTCCTTGCTCAAACTGAAGACCCACGCCAAAACTGGTTATCTAGCCACCCCAATCCGCATCATGGGGACTAGGAAGAAGCCAGCATTGGAGGTCACACAGAAGCCTGCCAACATCCAGGATCATAGGAGGGTCTGCAAATGCTGCCTTACGTATCATGGGAGGCAAGCTAAGTTAGGAATGTTTTCTTAACCTTCCCATGTCCAGGACAGCGTCATAAAATAAAGATAAATTAATTCAATTATTAATTCATTGAGAATGTGTTGAAAAAATTGTTTGGTTCATCTCTGTCCTGTCCTTTAAATGTTTTTTTATTTGTTCTATAATGTGCATATAATTTACAAAATAAACATATACATAGATGGGGGTGCTCGCTCAATTTTTTTTTTACTCTTGGGATCCATGAGTAAAAAGCATAGAGATCAGTGTAAAAGTGGTTAACAGCATGATTTCTGATACTGCTTTGCTTGTGTTCAAACCCCAGCAACATCATACAAGCTGGGTAATTCTGGCAACTTAATCTCGCTGTATCTCTGTACGCTCACCTCTTAAGCAGTAAGGATAACAGTACTTACTTCAAAGGGTTATTGTGAGTTTCAAATTACATAAAACCCGTGAAGCATGTGGAATAGCACCTGCACATCGTAAGCACTCAATACAGTTTAGTGATTACTACCAATATTGTTAGTATTTTGTTGAGCTTATATCCAACCACCCTATTGACCTTTCTTTTTGGTTCTAAGAGGGTGCAAATTGATTCTGGACTTTTTTAGTAAACACTAATTTCCTGGAAAATCATGACAATTTCTATATTTAGTCCTTATTTCTTTGTCTTCTTGTTTTGCCCCAGTGTCACCTTTCACACTGTGAAACAACAACAGTGACAGTGACTTTGTTTCTGCCTTTAATAGAGATGCTTCTACTGTTTCACTATTAAGTGTAATACTTTTTACATATCTAGTCAATTTATTTTATCAAGCTAAAAAAGCTTCCTTCTATTTTTACCTTGCTTAAAACGTTTTATTTTGTATTGTAAAGGGAACGTATCAGCACTTAATAACTGAAAGAAAAACCTGAATTCATTACTCAAGTAAGAAAGAGAATACCCGCTAGCCATAATCTCTCTGAGCAAAGCAGCCTGCTCATCCTGGACAAGATTTGGGGTGAAGGGTTGCTTTGAGATTATGTTGATTACAGAAGTGGTAGTTGGTTGACCTCAAACATAAAAGTGTGGTTTTGGGGGCAGGGGGCAGGAGGCAAGACTTATTGATTGGTTAGGTTTCAGAACTGACGCTGGCGTGACTCCACCACTAATTGGTTGACTCTCAAAAGTATGGGACTGTCACTGAATCACTGAGCTGGCACTCAGATGTAGTGAAATAAGTGGTCATCAATCAATTAGTGTATATAAATTGTCATTGATCAAGCAGCAGGTAGGACATGGCATCTTGAAAATATGAAAAATATTAAAACCAAGTGGTCATCCTGGCAAGCAGCTGTCTTTAGAGATGTACAAATAAATGTTAACAAGATGGCATATGTGGGGAGATTCCTGGTCCTAGGAAGTGGATCTGAAGGTGGAAGTCCAGTGAAACAGATAGAACATGTTCTCTGGAGAATACAACAAATACAAAAGGTGGTTATTCCAGTTGACCTAGCAAGCCAGTATTTCTGTGGACAAACAATCAATAGTAATATCAAAGCAGGAACAAGAGGCAGGTACTATCCAGATATCTAACTAGATGCACATACTGAGAATCAAGGAGCTGAGCCTTGGCTGGAATTCAGGTGCCAGGGTCTGGGGCAGGGGGAGTTATCAAGAGGAAGTGACCTTCAATCTCTAAAAGGTCTGGGATGTTAGACAGGTTGCCCAGGCTGGGAACCAGGCCTAAGTTCACAAGACACACACCTAATGAGCAGAATGGAGCCACAACATGATCTCAGAAGGATGCAGAAACCATGTATTAGGAGTAAGGCACAAGAAGAGATCACACCGGTAGCAAGAGTGACTGGATGCAGAGTTCTTTGAGTATTAAAACCAGAATCCCTGAAGCAGGGATGGGGACTTTTGGCAGCACCAAGTGGTCCTACCTGCATCAGCAAGAAATAGAATTCACATGGTTCAGATGAAGAGCCCTTAATGAAGGGACTTCTTGTTTAGGTGTATGCAGAATTAAAGGACATTCAGTGGATGATGGTGCCCCCAGAGACTGGAAGTGAGGCACACTTAGGACTAACATGGCAAGGGGAGGAAATGGTGGCACAGGAACCAAGAGCTGGAGCCTAGGAGGAGGAATTTCCTGGTGTGTATTTTTAGTCTTGGAGGGACACAGCTCCTCCAAGAGACTGGCTGGCAAGCTGACAGGGAGTGAGGGGAGAACTACCTGACCTGTCTGCCCCAGCTCTGACCTGCTGTGGGGGCTTCCCTTAGCACCCTGGCAAGCAAGCCTGGGTGATGCAACCTGCAAGGGGGTCAGTCTACCAGACACCAAATTGGACAGAGAACAGTGGAGAAGGAATGAGGGGCAGGGGGTGGGGGTGAAGAAAGAAAGAAGAATAACCACTGCACTCCCCAAGTGGTGAGTAGTAGTCCGGCGATAGCAAACCAGTGATGCTTTTGAAACACGTGGGGATTTGCTTGCATGGCGTAGACTCCCAGTGAGGAATGTGTTGGCTCCTAGTTCACTGTGCACTTGTGCTGGCTCGTGAGCCGAGCCTTCCTGAAGCTTCTATCACAAGGAGAAGTGGCGGGAGGAGTCAAAGTCACAATGGAGTCTTTGTGTTTTTATCACCGTGTCAAATTATGATATTCAGTGGAGGCAAGGAAGTGAGTGAACCAGTATGATTTTGCAGTGTAGATACTGCGGCAGAGAACCACAGCTCGTGCGAATCAAATGGTGCCTCATTCAGAGACACAGCAAATGCGGGCATGTGCTCCTTTCTGCATAGCCAGCTCGAGCCTCTGCCTCGGCAATGGCCAGGGTTTTGTGAGTTAATGGCATGTGACACAGAAAAGGAGCTGTGAAGGGAGCAAATCTCTCTT
This sequence comes from Homo sapiens, assembly GCF_000001405.40. Lineage (NCBI taxonomy): Eukaryota > Metazoa > Chordata > Mammalia > Primates > Hominidae > Homo > Homo sapiens. The sequence goes on along the minus strand of NC_000002.12, from coordinate 204,251,850 downwards.
TAAAGTGAACATTTTATAGAAATCCCATTTTCTCTGGGGCTCAAAGCCAGGCCGACTTAGTGGATTAAGCTCTGAGGTTTCATTCCTGGGCTGGATTTCAGGTCAACGCCAGCCTGCAAGTCTGCACGGGGGATGGGGAGAGACCCTAAATGAAAGGAAGTGGTGATTTCTGGAATATTACCTTGGGACACGGGGGTGGCCTCCCGCAACTGTGTTGAATGAGCCTGGGAGTGGGGAGGAGCTGAGAAGCCACTGTGCTGCCCAGATGATGCTGGCACTCATTTTCCTATCTGTGGCATCTTTTACCCGGGGCAATTGCTGGGTGCCAACTTGGAGGACAGCCTCATTTGCTTTGTGACAGTCAAATGCATTTTTGTCAGTTCCAGACAAACTTACATAATTATTTCTGTCACCTCAAGACAATTTTTCCCTCCAAGTCACTTCAAATGAGACAAGAAGCAGGTGTTTCTTGCCCCGGTTGCACCAGTTTCAAGCACCCACAGCCTCCAACCCAACCAGCTGCCACAGCCCACATGTACATGCGTTTTCACTTTCTATGTGAGAGTATGTTACAGATACTGCCCTGGGTGTCTTGAAATCAGTGGGAATCATGTGAAGACTACACAATAGGCTTGGCTTTATTTTACAAAATGGCATCCTGGCATGTGGGATTACACAGGCCCTTGTTCCACTCTCTCACCTCTCAGCCAAAAGCTGTTTCTGGGTCTGATGATGGGGAAATGGTATTGGAAGCTACAATCATCTTATTACTAGTTCAAAGGTGTGATGAGTATTAGAAAGCTTTTGAGCTGTCTCCTTAATTAACAGTGCCCCTATTTTCTATCTATTTTTACAGCATCCCTAACCTCATGGCAGATACAGATATTAGAGAAAGGTCTCCAGGTGAGTCTTCTCTGATGTGGTCAGAAATGGGTTGTTGAGGTCTTTGAACGTTATTACTATTTTTGTGGGTGTTTGTGGTTAAGATCGTAGGCATTTGGTTTTTTTTTCCTACACCTCCTCCTTTAGAGCCCAGCAGCTCTGTGGATACCACTGGAATAGTAGCTCATAGAAAATTGAATACTCTCTGTTCTCCATGTGGCATTTCAACTGTGCTGTGCCTGAGCTGGATAAAATGCCTCCTATTTTATCACCTGAGTGTGAAAGCTGGTGAGCATTTGATGTTCTTTCAGTGCTTGGGAAAAGCTAAGTGATTTTCTTACAGGATATGGATTCCTATCTCTTTCAGGTATTATTATTCCCAGCATGATAGGCTTATTTGTTCTATCAACAAGTATTTACTGAGCTCTGGACTAGAGTTGAAACAGAAGGACCAATCGAGGGCTATTGCATCAGTCCAAGGGAGAGAGAATGGTGGCTTAGGTTAGGATGGTGATAGTGGAGACAAGGAAGAGAGCATGCTTTTAAGATGTATCTTGGAGGTGGAACTGACAAGAGGAGCTCTATGCCAGGCACAGGGCTTGGCCCTGAGGCTACAGCAGTAAATCGTGCAAATGAGAATTCTTCTTTTACAGAGGTTATATTGCGGTGAGGAAGAAAGACAATAAATATCTGCACACATTAAAATATATAGATTTTAATAATCTCCAGGAAAGAATAAAAAGAGTGGTGCAGTAGAGAATAACTGGGGGGAAGTGGGTGGCGATTTAAGTTGAGTGGTCAGGGATGGCTTCCCATGAGGATGAGATTTGAAGGTTGAGAAGGAGCCACATAGATAAGAAGCTGAGGAAGCACAGCCAGGCAGATGGAAGAGTTTCCATTGCTGGTTGGAGGCAGGACAAGCTGGGCACATCTTAGGAACCACCAGGAGGCTGGTGTGCCTGGGGCTGTCAATGATGGGGAGAGGAAGTGATCTTAGTGGAGTTGCCAAGATCACGCAGAGCCTGAGTACGATGTTTAGTTTTTATCCTAAATGAAGTCAGAAGCCAGCGAAGAATTGGACACCAAAGAAAGACAAGATAGGATTTTTGCGCAGAAAGATTACCCTGGCCAGTCTATCAGGAATGCACTGTAAGTGGGCCGAAGCAGGGAAACCAACCAAGAAGCTTTGGCTGTCATCAAAGCCATAGCTAGTGGTTGACTGAGATGGTGATGGTGAAGTCAGGAAAGAGAGAAGGGATTCAAGATATATTTCGGAAGTAACCTGACTGAGCTGGGTGGTTTATGGGTTGTTGTGGGCAGGGTGTGGGAGGAGAAAAAGGGATATGTTTCTGGCTTACATAACTGGGTGAAGAGTGATACCATGTAATACAACGAAGCCTGGGGCAGATCAGAAGTTAAAATATTTCTTTCTTTCTGGTTTGCTTGCTCCATCTTCTAAAGTCACATTACTTATTCATTGATGAGGTTTAGGGAAGAGTACTGGATGCAGAGTTGGGAGATCATGTATTTTTGTCCAGCTGCTGGTATGTCCTCAACGAATACACGATACCTCACTTGTCTCACTGCAGCTGTGGCCTTCCAAAGGCCGACCATACTCGGACTGGATTGGCTTGTTCTGTATGGGTCTGGGATTTCTCCCCACTTTCAACACCACCTCCAGGGCACCAAATCCAGAGGAAGAGACATTGATCCCTGTGGCTTAATAAAGAGTAATAAGTAGTATTTCTGTAGTAACATTGGCACTTGGAGAGGCAAATTCTTTGGCCTGAAAACTAACTGTAGCGGCCGCTCAGCTGCAGAGGTGCTGAGAGAATCATTAAAGGTACAGAACTAGAGAAATTGATAGATTTTATTGTTTTGTTAAGCACCTAAAACTAGCAATTTATTATGGAGCATTGTTTAAGCATAGTCATCATATAGTTTTTTATTAATTCATTTGCATAAAGTAAGGCTTATAGATTATTTGCACTTGTAGAGTATGTTTATACATATCCTTCTGTCTCTGAAAGTCCTTTAGAATAACATTTTGCAAAGGCACTTTGAAAAGTTTAAAGTGCTATGCAAATACAAGATGTTATTAATATTGACCTGTCAAGTGATTAGATGCTGGAGTAAAGAGAACTTTTCTTCCCTGGTAGACACTATGTAAGATTCCTGGAACCATTTAGAGTTTGGATCCTTACACTTTGACACAGAGGGTTATATTGGGGACACAGTGCACTGTTTTGTTTGTTTGTTTGTTTTGGTGCTGACCCCACCCCAGCTTGTGCTGAAGAGACAGTCCTATGCTGGTGAGGGGTGCCATCCCCCGTTATAGACCATCGGCTCCCAAGAGGTACCCAACCCAAAGGCAATCTGTAAGTTGGCCAGCAACTTGTGATGCCTGCACACAATGAAGATGAACTTCCAGTACTACTGAATTTTTTCTTTTGGGAATTTGAATTCAAAAATTCTGAGGAAATAAGAAAGCAACTAGCAGAGAGAGTTGAAAAGTTGCATAGAGAGATGCTGTGAGGTCAAGTCAGGACCATCGCAAACTCAGATTATGAGGTAGCAGAAGTTTGGAGTAAACAGATCAATGAGGTAAGGAAAACTTACTATCCTCTTCAAACAGCACTCATAAAAGTTTCCAGTGGTCTGCTTGCTAATTGCCAGCTTCAACAAGGTACGGGTCCTCCTCTTCTTCATCCTCTTTGGAAGTTTGGATGCTTTTGTGTTTTCTTTGTGAAACTCTCTTCTCCACAGTGCTTTTGTCTCTTCCCCCTTTCTATCTTTATCCTTATTTCTTTGAAAATCTTGTCCACTTTCTTATAAGTCACTGGATGGAGATGATTCAAGCCACATTCTCTCTTAAGGTCAACTTAAGACCCTATTCTTCTCAATTCTTTTTTCTTTTTCCTTTTTTTTTCTTTGATTTTTTTTCTTTTTTCTTTGAATTTCTTCTTGCTCTGTAGCCCAGGCTGGAGTGCAATAGTGCAGTCATAGCTCACTGCAGCCTTGACCTCCCGGGCTCAAGTGATCCTCCCACCTCAGCCTCCCAAGTAGCTGGGACTACAGGCACCCACCACCACAGCCAGTTTTTGTTTTTTTTAAAGAGACAGAAGAGACAGAGTCTTGCTATGTTGCCTAGGCTAGTCTCAGATTCTAAGGCTCAAGTGATCCTCCCACCATGGCCTCCCAAAGAGTTGAGATTATAGGTGTGAGCTATCACACTTGGTGTAATTTCTTGATTATCAGTATCTGCACCTACATTGATATACCACCTTAAATTTTTCCCATTCAAAGTAAAACTTTGTCATTTCATTGCCACTCTTGCCTCACTTTTCTGCTAATGACATTATTAGAAACTAACACAGGCTTTAAACATGATATTATCTTTGATTTCTCTCTCTCTTTATCACCTTCTCTAGCCAGTTTAAGATAAAAATGTATTTTGCCTCATATATTTGAATATCTTGAATATCTGAATATCTTCTCTCTCCATTCTCACTGATAGCCACCCTACTTTTCATGCAGATGATGTTTCTCCCTCTTCTTAATCTATCTTAACTAACTTCTTTGTGTTGCATTATAGTTTATTGGCCAATATCTCCAATTATGTGGTCATTTCCTTGAGAAAAGAAATTGTCTTATTTATCTTCATGTTCCCCTCCCCACCCCACTCCCATAACTGAGCCTGGCACAATGTTTTTCACATAGGAGTTTCTGCATAAATATTTGTTAATTTGTATGAAGGAATTTTACTGAACGCCTTTCTCAAATAATGGCATTTGATTCTAACTCCATTGGTTGCTTATCTGCTATTTCAAGTTAGTGAATTATTTTTCCTCTGCCAAATACCTTTGTATCTGGCTCATTTTGGAGGTCTGCCCTATTAACACTTACTTGCAATCCTCAATCCTCTATTAAAACTTTTAATGTGTGCAAGTTTATTCAAGCAGGGAAAATCGCCAATTGTAGTGAAGTAAAAACAGGCCCCATGAAAGTTGTGCTATCTTGGGCATGTCAAATGGCCAAGAAATAAATAGACCTTAAGGAAAACACATACCCTCAGATTAGAGAGATGTTTGGTAATTAAAATATATATATATATACATATATATCTTGAAGGGGTGGATAGGGGTAGAAGACAAGGATGTTCTCCAGAAAGCAGCTTGATTGAAATGGGGCTATTAGTATAACTGGGCGCCTGGACTGACATCCTTTCTTCAGAGGCCTTAATTGAGACTATGAGCATTCTCAAAAAATGGTAAGATGTCATCACGAATGAAATAGAAACATTTGTCCTGGAAACTTTTATATCAGATATTTTTAATGTTGTTCATGCCAAGGATCACAGAGAGAACAAATAAAGAAGTTCCATGTTCTTGTTGGAAGGAGCAACTGAATTCGAGTTAGCTATTGCTGAATGTTCTCAGAATTGACCAAAAAGGAGAGAGTCGGCGTAGATGTTATCTAAAGTCTCTCACCATGTAAATATTTGGTGATTCTGCTATTTAGTAGTAAAGTTAATTGATGAAGGCTCAGTCTGAGTCAGGCTACTCACAGAAGAGATGCTGAACTTTCTGGGACCAGAAGAGCTGCTCTTGTCCTTGAAGCCTACTCCAACGGCTTCAAAATCATTTCTAGAAGTGTCCAGGGGCTTCTCTCCAAGGGCCTGTCAGAAAAGACACCAGAGGCTGGGGAGGCGGGCTGCGGGGGCTATTCTTGCTTGCCTTCCCCCAACAACTATGGCAGCTCCACTTTGATCTGTTTTGACATAAATTTTTGTTGGAAGAGAGAGCTCTGCTGCTTTGTAAGAAAAATAAAAAGATAGAAAAAGATAAAGGGGGAAATGAACTTTAAAAATCCCAGATCTAGTGGTTTGTGAAGTAACCCGTGCTTTTTCACTTTGGCAGCAAACCTTCTCCGATGAGGTGGGACCATTGAGTGTTGCCCTGGAAATGTGACCTGGAGGCTTGCTTTGTGAGCTCTTCCTGGTCCTACCAATAGATGAAAATTCTGTAACATGTTTTTTAGAAACTTGTGATACAGCCATATACTCTCTGCAATCACGGTACTGGAGAGCCGGTATTTTTTTTCAGAGTATTTATCAATGACTTTTTTACTTGGATCCTATGGTCACCGCAGGCATCATCATGAAAAAAAAAGTTTGGGTTTACTGGAATAGAGATTTTGTTTAAAGTTTTATTCACTGGGGATTTAGGAGAGGATAGGAAGGAGTGTCGAATTGGATAGTAAGAATATCTCTGGGATATAAGAATAAGGTGGCCAGGCGTGAGGGCTCATGCCTGTAATCCCAGCATTTTGGGAGGCCAACGCAGGTGGATTACCTGAGGTCAGGAGTTCAGGACCAGCCTGGCCAACATGGTGAAACTCTGTCTCTACTAAAAAAATACAAAAGTTAGCTGGGTGTGGTGGTGGGTGCCTGTAATCCCAGCTACTTGGGAGGCTGAGACAGGAGAATTGCTTGAACCCAGGAGGCGGAAGTTGCAGTGAGCTGAGATTGTGCCATTGCACTCCAGCCTGGGTGACAAGAGCAAAACTTTGTCTCCAAAAAAAAAAAAAAAAAAAAAAAGAATAAGGTACAGAGAGGAGTGAGGGATATAAGTAAAAATTATACCTCCTTATTCCATTAAATGCTTTATAGTTTACAAGGTGATTTAACATGTATTATTTCACTCCAATAAACAGACATCTAATGTTCTGCAGCTGGAAGTAGGAAAGGTCAAGCCTTTCATCTCCCTAACCCTCTGTTAAGCCCACCTATAAACACCCTATTCTGGGTTACCCCACTGCCTGCTCCTGCTTCCAGTCTGCCAAAAGCCACTGGGGAATCATGCAGTCTTGGCCTAAGAAAAAGTCACGTGTCCAACTCTGACTTGGCCTTTGTCTCTTTTCAGCAATCATATTTATTTATTCTTCTATGCCATGCTCCAAGGCTAACTTTCTGTATCTGTTCATCCACCTTTTTTTCCCCTTGCAGTGGGTTGAATGGATTTTGGGGTGGTCCCCAAAAAGAAATGTACATGCTCTAATCCACGGAGTCAGTGAACATTACCTAATTTAGGGAAAAGGTATAATTAAATTAAGAGTTGAGATTAGATCATCCTGTATTATCCAGGTGGACCCTAAATCCAATGACATGTAAGACAGAGGACATTTTGACACACATACAGAGGAGAAGGCCATGTGAAAACATTGGAAATGGAATAATGTGGCGTCAAGCAAGAAATGCCAACAGCCAGCAGAAGCTGGAAGAAACAAGGATTCTCCCCTAGGGCCTTCAGAGGTAATGAGGCCCTGACAATATTTTGACTTCAGACTTCTGGGATCCAGAACTGTGACAAACTACATTTATGTTGTTTTAAGCCACCCAGTTTGTAGTAATTTGTTGTGGCTGCCTAGGAAACTGACAAACTCCTTAAGCTCCTACACTTGCCATCCTTTCTAGCAGTAGATGGACTTGACTTAGACTATTCTGAAAGATTGAGGCCATCCTCCCCAAAATCCCTCATTCATCTTTCCTTTAACCTTAACTTTAACCGATCTCCTTCACTCCTCAAATCTGTCTTTTTGCAGAAATTTGCCCTTTTGTTTCTTCCTTCTGGTTTATCTAAGGGAAAGATGCCCACCCTCCCTTCTTTGCCATAGCTGAATTCTTCATCTGTGCCACTGATCCCATCCCTTCTTGGGTCTGTAAAGGCCCGGTTGTTCCTGCCCAGCCTTCTTACTCCTAGACTGGGGTGGAGAAAGAGTCCAAGGCTCTAGGCAGTTCCCAGAAATGCAAAGCCACGGGGAGCCATTATAAAAAGATACGTCTGAATGAAGGACCAGTCAAAAGGGAAGAAGATAAACTCTGGACTAGGACTAGGGAGTGAAGCAGGAGAGTTAGTCAAGGAGATGACCAAACAGGAAGAGTGGAAGAGCACAGAAGTCAGGAAAGAACTCAAACTAAGTAGAAAAATAATTCTCCAAGCCACTTGTGAGTTTAAGGCCCCATTCTGGTTAATTTCACACTAAGTGGGAATTCCTCCATATGTCTTTTCTTCCTTTTTATTTATTCTCCACAATTTCATCTTATCCTTTCTGCCTTTAAACATGTTATTTTCTCTTGTCTTAAAAAGCATTTCCATTTCCTAACTGCTTACAGTGAACACATCATTTTGTCTGTCCCATGTCTCTTTATTTTGGGGTTTTGGAAATTAGCCATCTCTTTTCTTTTGGAGAATGTCTTGTTCACTTGTGCCTTCTTCCATGGTCCTGTGTTGTTGGTAATAGCTATTGGCCAGTCAGTCCTGCCTTGGGATGTTAACATTGAAACAAAGAATCCTTGGCCAGGCGCAGTGGCTCATGCCTGTAATCCCAGCACTTTGGGAGGCCAAGGCGGGCGGATCACGAGGTCAGGAGATCGAGACCATCCTGGCTAACATGGTGAAACCCTGTCTCTACTAAAAATACAAAAAAATAGCCAGGCATGGTGGCAGGCGCCTGTGGTCCCAGCTACTCGGGAGGCTGAGGCAACAGAATGGCATGAATCCTGGAGGCGGAGCTTGCAGTGAGCCGAGATTGCGCCACTGCACTCCAGCCTGGGTGACAGAGCGAGACTGCGTCTCAAAAAAAAAAAAAAAAAAAAAAAAAAAGAACCCTTTGGTGACAAAGCTGACATGAAAGATCTACCAGCCACAATTTCCTCTGCCAAGTGAAAGAAGCTAGTCTACAGTAGGAGGAAATGAAGCCAGTACTGAGAGAGAAGCAGAGATAAGAAGAAAATAGAGTCCTGGAAGTTATTCATTCCCTGGTGATGATCATCCTTAAAGTTCTCAAACCCATGCCTTACCTGGTTTGAACAGGTGAGCCAATAAGTTTACCCTATTGCCTATGCTTGCTCAAGTTCAATTATTGTCAGCAGGAAACAAAATATCTCTGATCAAGAACCCTCTCCTTCAATTTCTTACTATTCTCTTGTCCTCAATGACCACCTCCTCCTATAGTTTCCCAAGATAATTGCCTCCATGTCAAAATTAGACTTCTAGTCAAATTCAGGAGACTTATTTTTGTTGTTGACAATATTTCCCAATAGTATTTGACTGTCTGCTTTCACATATGTTCAGGTCTCAGGGCCCTCTCACGTTGCACTGTCTTATTATCTTATTTCTTTGCTCATTCTTTGCTCCTTTTTCCAGGGGTTTGTCATCTTCGTAACCCCTAAACGTTGGCAGCTCCTAAAGGTTAGCCCAGGATGTCCTCTTACTCACTGTTTCTGTTCCCATCCTCAGTAATATGTACTTTCTCTTTGGTCAGCTCTCTGGGTTGACTTTAGTCTAAATTGTAGCTTGGACTCTTATTGAACATGCCCAAAACCAGAGACACTGAGTGACCTGCCCAAGGCCGGCCATCTGGATAGCGCTACCCTGCTTTCCGGGGAGCCTCCCCTGATAATTCCAGAATGATACATTTTTATCCTTAGCACAGTGTACACTCGTCTATTTTATGGTTGTTTATGCTTCTCAAATTAGTGCTTTATTATTTATTTTGCTCTATAGCTGTATATTCAGCTAGATTGTAGGAAGTTGCTATTCCACCATTTTTCCCATAAGAATATATGGATTCCATATTTGAAAGCACAACCACTTAAATTATAATTTTATTACCATTGCCAAGAAAGCATTTTGAAATCAAAATACATTAAGCCAATCCCATTATTTGATCGAATTTTCCATATAAACCATTTAAACAATTTCCTTTTTATTCATTTACATGTAACCAAAATTATTTTACTCAAAATCAATTCTTATGAGTTGTATGATGAATATTTGATTTACCCATCACTTTTTCCCCAAACATATGAAATGTTACCTATTATATCTTTTTCTATTATGATTTTTCTTTTATGACCACCAAGTATAATTGTCCAGGGTCAAAATTATGATATAGTTTTGTTTAGAAGATTTAGTTCTCCCGTCATTTTTTAGCCAAGGACAAATTGTGCCATCTGCAATTTTAGCCATTGTCTGTCTTGTGTTGATTATTTCAACCAACTCTATGTTTCCTCAGATCCATTTTTGCTTTTGTTTTTGAGACAGGTCCTCCCTCTGTCACCCAGGCTGGAGTGCAGTGGTACAAACATGGCTCATGGCAGCCTCTACATCTTGGACTCAAGCGATCCTCCCACCTCAGGTCTCCAAGTGGCTGGAACTACAGGCATGTGCACCATGCTTGGCATGTTTTTTGTGCCAATATTTTTATTGTTTTTTGTAGAGATGGAGTCCCACTTTGTTGCCCAAGCTGGTCTCAAACTTGCCTGGGCTCAGGCAATCCTCCCATCTCAGCCTCCCAAAGTGCTGAGATCACAGGCATCAGCCACGACACCTGGCCTCAGATCCATTTTTAAATTCCAATATTACCAATGAGCTTGATTCTTTTGCCAATTTTTCGTTTATAATAGCTTTTACTGTTTGCAAGTTTTAGCCAGTCACTTTTATTTTGTTTTTCACTATGAGTAAGGTTCGTTATGAATTAGACGAAAAAGTGATAATTTGTATTTCATCAATTCAATCACAAGTATCAAGGGAGGGCCTACTACACACCGGGTGCTAATCAAGGCACTTAGGATACATCTGTGCAAGAAGATAATGTTTCTGCTCTTATGTAGTTTCCTTTCTAATTGTTGGCTAGAAAAGAAGAGACAGTCAAACAAATAAAGGGGCAGAAGAATTTCATACTGAAATAAGGACTGTGAAGAAAATTAGACAACATAATGTGACCGTGACAGTTTAGAAAGCTACATTAGATCAGGTTGTCAAGAAGGTTCTCCCTGAAGAGGTAATATTTGAGCTGAGACCTGAATGACAAGGTGACAAGCATAGAATAAGTTTCTTAACAGTTATATTGCTAAAATTATAAAAATGTGTTCAAATAATTCTAAATATACTGTGTCTCCCTTTCCCACACCATGTGGGAAACAAAGAACAAACTGTGGGGTCATAATGGTGGAATCAAAACATACTATTTTTGCATATACTGCTTTCTTGCTCATGGCCACATATGGCGAGACAGAACTATGCAAATGAACATGGTTGTGCTAGGGTAGTAGGAGAATAAGTGTTTTTGTGTTCCCCCAATTTTTTAATATTCATTATGGCTTTTCAATAAAAGTATATGATATGTGTACCTTGTAGGCTAGTTTTTCGTTTTGCACTGGTAGGGGTGACACCGTATCTCCTCCGTGAGACTGGAAGTTCAATTGTGGGTGGGGCATGGTGGCTCACGCCTATAATCCCAGCACTTAGGGAGGCCAAGATGGGAAGATCATGAGGTCAGGAGTTCGAGACCAGTCTGGCCAACATGGTGAAACCCCGTCTCTACTAAAAATAACAAAAATTAGCCAGGCATAGTGGTGCGTTCCTGTAATCCCAGCTACTTGGGAGGCTGAGGCATGAGAATTGCTTGAACCTGGGAAGTGGAGGTTGCAGTGAGCCAAGATCATGCCACCGCACTCCAGCCTGGGTGACATGGCAAGACTCCATCTCGAAAAAAAAAGAAAGCTCAATTGTGGAAAAACACTGCATTTTATTCTTCTTTTGTTTCACCATTGATTACTAGCATTAAAAAAATACTTGTGGATAGATGCTTCCTAAAGATTTTCTATCTTCAAATGCAAACGGAGTTTTAAATATGGTTTTTCTAATGAAAATCAGAATTTGAAGCTCTAAAGTAGTAAGTTATTTCAACAATTATAGCAGGATCTAACCATTTGAATCCAAATGTATCCCTGTAAAGGACGTGTAGACTTTTCTCTTTCCATGAAAGTTGCTTTAAAATACTCAAACTCTTCTTACAAAGCGACATCAAGCCAACTCCTCTCCTTTTCAAATAGGTACTCCTTTTGGATGAAGGGACTTGCCAGACAACAGAACAAACTCTCCTAGAAGACTGAGAGGACAGCAAGCAGCTGTCCACACACAGATTGAGACAACCGTGACCATCTGCAGTTTAAATGGCAGTCACGTTTGCACGTCTCTCCAAGGACTAGTGCTCAAAAATGTGCTCTTCTTCCTGTCCTGGCCTGCATGCAACACCCTAATGAGGAGTCAGTGGGATTTCAGCTGTACCTTCACTCTGGAAGGGATCTGGGAGGGGAAGGGGTAGGGATTGGTCTTTTCTGCTTCCCCCACCCCCTGGCCCCACCCCACCCCCACCTCCACAATCCTCTTTTCATTCTGCCATGTGTAAATACACACATTCACACCCACTAACACGGGTAACTTTGAGCAAAGTATAGGTTTTGTTTTGTTTAGAGAGCCCATTTTAAACAAACAGATGAAGTGCACATAATATTTTTGTTACTCAAAATCTGGACTACTTAGCTTTAACATTGAATCACTGAAAAAGCTCCAAGAGAAACTGTATAATGTAATGCACTCTGCCAATGTTTAAATGTTTTTTTTCTTATAAAATCACAAAAGTTATGCTTAAAATAAATAAATAAAAACCAGTCTCTATCCAAGGGTCTAGATTTAGGTAGCGTGGTTTCATATGAAGCAAAGGGGACAAAGGTACTTAAACAGTATTTAAACCATTGTTGGTATTGCAGTATCTGTGAAAAAAATTAGTCAAAATAAATACTACATCCCAGAGAAAGTACAGCATTTGGGCAACATTCCCATTATTGTGCAGCCTTGGGCAAGTCATTTACTCCCTACATTTTTACATTATCTCTGTAAAACAAGTTGTATTTATTTATTCATTCATTCAACAAATATCTTTTGAGTAGCTGCTATATGCCAAGGACACTCTAATAACTGAGGATATTTTAAAGGTGCTCTTTGCACTCAAAAAGTTCATTGGCTAGCAAGGGGGCAGTCATACAAAGAGTGCTAATATGGTAGTATTAAATATCATAGTCTCTATTGGTTTTCAATTGCTACTGTAACAAATTACTGCAAATTGAGTGGCTTTAAGCAACACAAACTTACTCTTCTACATTCCTAGAGGTCAGAAGTCTAAAATTAGGGTGTTGACAGAGCTGGGTTCCTTCTGGAGGCTTCAGGGGAGAATTTGTTTCCTTGTCTTTCCCAGCTTCTAGAGGCCGCCTACATTCCTTGATTCATGGCCCCCTCCTCCATCTTCAAACCACATCACTTTGGTTCCATCATCACATCTTCTCTTTCAGACTTTGACCCTCTTTCCTCTCTCTTACAAAAACCTCTGTGACTGCATTGGGCCCACCCGAATAATCCAAGACAATCTTCCCATCTCCAGCTCCTTAACTGAATCACCTCTGCAGTGTCCCGTTTGCCCTGTAAGGTACCATATTCACAGGTCCTGGGGATTCGAACATTGAAATCTTTGGAGAGCCATTATTTTGTCTACCACAATATTCATTATAACATAAAGAATAACCTCTGCACAGAGTAAGATGTAAGCTTAGAAGAAGGCATCCTAAATCTAATGAGAATCAAAGAGGCACCACTCAGCTGGGATTTGAAGGCTGAATAGAACTTTGCCTGATAGAGACATCAGAAAAAGCTTTGCAGAAAGTGGGCACAATGACATCCTATCAGCTTGAAGAAAGGGAATCATTCTAGAGGACCAGAAGTTACAAAATTTCGGGATATGAAGAGACCTTATGGAAACTCTTTTGATGACACAGTGTTTGACAACTGAGGTAACAGGAAGTTCAAAGAGGGGCCATGACTTGCCCAAAGGACGATGGCTAGAGCGGCAGGCCACCAGGCACTAGGCTCCTGAAGACTAGGTCTCCTTCCCCCATTCAAGCCCTGGAGAAACCTTCCAATGCTAACATATCTGCTTAGGTCCAGATGGCTGGGGCCTCTTTCCTCCCACATTCCAATTGAAATAAAATTAATGAGAACCTAATGCAGAAATCAACCCATTGTTAACTGACAAAATACAGTGTTTGATTTTAAATAAGAAACATAGTACTTTTTCCAAAATAAAAAACTTCAGAGGCCTTCTGGGTTGATAGTTTGGAGCAGTAAGAAGGATATAAATAAAGATAATGAGCCACATTCATTTTTAAAATGACAACTCTATAAGCTCAGTGATTTCTTCTTAAAATATGAATTGGCAGGTGTCAGCGGCAGAAGTTGTCTGAGTACGAAATGGATATTTGTTGAATAAAACCCATTAATGCTTATAGAATTCACTGTCTCGGGGAGGAGTTCATGACAATGTGATGTTCTCAGAGATGTAGTCAATGAGATTTTTATTCATTATTTTAGTCACTAGTGGGGAAAGGGCCAGATTTGGCTCCTAATCTGCAGCCTGAGCACTTCATAAATACTGATTTAAGTGATAGCCTGTAAAGAGTCCTAATTGTGCCACAGCGCAATGACATTACTTAAGTGTGATGTGACTGCATGAATGCCCTGACTGCTTGCAAATACTTTCATGGCAATTCAGAGACTTAATCCCAGTCTCTTCCCCACGTTTCCATTTGGGGAAGTTACATTTTTATCTACAGGGCTTTGTTTTGGTTTTAACTACGGCAATGTAGCAGTGGATAGTTTTGCCTGGTTCCATATTATTGCAAGCCCCCAGACTCCCCTTCAAACAATCAGGCATACTCTTGCACTTGGTGTCTAGTTTAGGGGATTCTGCAATGACCGGCTTCTCCTTAATTTCATACTTGGCATTTTGGATAGCAATGCACATTATATTTGGTATAAATTGCATGGGGTTTGGAGTGAGAGACTCTTACTAACTTAAAGATAAGTTAGAAGTCTTAAGGAGAAATAATGTCCTTCACCAAATGACTGTACATTTGAAATTTCAGTCCTATTTTTGGATTGAAATTTATTCCTATCTAGTTTTACTAGAAACTCAGAAGGTGATCACTTGGAAGTATTTGTTGAGAATGCTAATGTCGCAAAGAGATAAGAATGATGGGCAGTCTTTCACAAATTCAGAAAAAATGATTGGGTCCAGACTGGAGAATTTGTAGGTTAGTCTGCAGGGAGCACACTGGCTGACAAATTAGATAGAAGTGGGGACCAACAACAGTTCAAGACATTTGTCAAGGCAAGGAGAAATAGCCTAGATAATATGAGAAGCAGGGAAAAAGGGATAATGGGATCTGAATTGGCTGTGTGCCCAACAGTAAAACTGATCAAGCTAGGAAGGAAAATGTCCCAGACTAGGTGTTGAAGAGAGACTGATGCATTCCAATAGTGACCAGGCAAGGCATGTAAGAATCCAAGGACAAGGGAATAGTGGTATCAGGAGACTGGGCAGCATGTACTTCACTCCTAAAGCCCTAGTGTGTAACTGAACTCAAGAACTCAGACCAGGCCAGGCGCGGTGGCTCACGCCTGTAATCCCAGCACTTTGGGAGGCTGAGGCGGGCAGATCACAAGGTCAGGAGTTCGAGACCAGCCTGACCAACATGGTGAAACCCCGTCTCTACTAGAAATACAAAAATTAGCCGGGCATGGTGGTGTGCACCTGTAATCCCAGCTACTCAGGAGGCTGAGGCAGGAGAATTGCTTGAACCCAGGAGGTGGAGGTTGCAGTCAGCCAAGATCACACCTCTGCACTCCAGCCTGGGCGACAGAGTGCGACTCCATCAAAAAAAAAAACAAAAAAACTCAGACCAGACATGGCCGGATCTTGCTTTCTCTGTCTCTATCTCTATCATTGAGAGCGGGTGGTGGAGACTGGCATTTTGAATGCATCTGGAAAGTATTATCTCTAAGTAATATTTATACTACTATTAATAGTAATAATGGAACTAATTTGGGCTAGATTGTGCAGCTGAAAAGATATGGTTCAAAGCTGGCCCTTTCTAGTCAGGAATCTGTGACTTGCCTTAATCTCTTTGGAATTTAGTTTCATTGACAGTGTCATCTAATTGTCTGTAGGTGAGGATGGAATAAAATAACGTAGGTGAAATGTTTGACTCACAGTTGGACTCTGAATGTTGGTTTCCTTTGAGGCTGAGATCTTTACCACTGTCTTTAGGCACAATACTAAAGAGGGCTTCTGTCCTCATTGTCTCCCTATTCTTGGTTCTTTTATGTCTTCTTTGATACCTCCTACCTCTACTTCTTATAGTAGGAAGAAGCAATACAAAAGACTCATGGATCTCAGCCACAACTCAGGAGAGCAAATTGATGATAGAGATAGAGATAGATCTTAATGTTTCCATAGCTGAGCTTCATTTCTATCACAAGCCCTGATATGCCTGTGTAACAGACTAGTCCTGAAAATCTTCATAGTTTAAAAGAGCAAAGGTTAGCAGAGAGTTCTGTTCTATACAGTTTGAGTAGCCCAGGCTGATGCCAGCTCTGCCGTCATCTAGCCATACTATCTGGTAAACATGAACTCTAAATGTCAGCAAAAGAGAAAGAGAGGGCTGAAGGAGGTGCACCATCTCTTAAATGCCTCAGCTTTTGATTACTTCTGCTCATAGTCTATTGGCAAGAACTAGTCACATGGCCCCCACCTAGGCTACAAGGAAGCCTGGTAAATATGGGAGAACATAGTTTGCCTCTACCTGAACTTCGAGTGTTTTAGGATGTTTTTTGATGACCAGTGATAGAAGAAACCCAACTCAAACTACATTAAGCAAAGAAGGAAATTTATTAGTTCACAAAACCAAGAAGGGGGTCTATTACTGGAAGCAGGCATGACTGGATACAGAAACTCAAATTGGGTAATATGTTTGGTTTATTTCCATTTCTGAGCTTATCCTGTCTTGGCTTGGCTTCAGTCTTTGGAATGTTTCTCCCTATGTGGTTAGTAAAAATGGCTGCCAACAGCCCTCGGCCCGTATCCCCTGCTTAGTAACACTGTTGGAATGAGCCAGTCTTCCCTTCAAGTGCTCATGGAGAATTCTGGGGGAGGACACTGATTGGTCCAGCTTGGGTCACAAGGGTATCTTTCCACCAATGACTTTCACCAGGATGGGATTCTCTGATTGGTTCAGCTTGTGTCACATGACATCTTGTAGTAGGGATTGAAGAGAGACCAGCTTCATCTCCACTCGACCAACATGATGCAGGTTTTCTACTGGAATGCCGAGTTATTTCAGGACAAGGGGGAAGAGCTACAGGCCAGTCAACAACACCAGCTGCCCATCCCAGCAGGATCACTCTAAGGCATCCCCTTTACCATGCATCACTTGGGGCTGGTAAGTGGCTTTTATAGTGCCTGCCCGGAGGAGTTATATTGGAAGTGATGGGTGCCGATGGGCAAATGGCCACTCAATCTTCCAATATTTTGTGGAAATAATGGTTATATCTTTTGCAAATTTAACACAGAACACAGCTGGGAGATATTTGCAATAGAAAAAAACTGTGATCAATGATCTGTGCCAAATCATAAAATCAGTCTTCTTTTAAAGTAAAAAAATAAGGACGCATCACATGGGCAGGAGGAATTTCTCACAGTGGCTTTATGGCATGCTTTATGGCCAGTCTGGATTACTGTGTTGCTGTATCTCAATCTTTTCCAGGAAGTCACCACTTCATCTCCCATGCCCATCAGCCTGAATTCAATCCTGTGCCTGCCGGGCCTCCATCTGAGTGGCCATCTAGCAAAATAACCAATTACATTAGTGACTGTGGCCTTCTGATGACTTCCTCAGTTCTGTTTCTAAAGCCCATTTAAAATACATTTCTCGTTTTACTACACATTCAAATTTTATTCTTCTGGTTATAGAAGCATAAATGTCTGCATTTCATACAGACTCAAAATGAAGGGTATATAAGCATGTATAAATCTCACGGCAAAAGTTGCATTTTCTTCATTGAATTGTGCTCGATATTTGGGTGAATGAAAATTATATTATCTGGCGACTGCTCACATTCTTCCATATCTAAATATGCAAAAGAGGCCCACACACAATGTGTTTTTATTTATTTATTTATTTATTTTTACAATTGGGCTGCTATAGACCATATTTTAATGTGAATAAAATTTCTTTCTGAAATCTAACAATGCCCTGGTGGGCATGCATATTTTTATGCCCATATGATTGGAGTTAAGTTCATTCCATCATATAAATATTTGGGAAGTTCAGTTGTTGGGAATTGAAACTTTATCTACTGTGCAAAGTGTGCAAAATGGGAATAATAATATTGACCTTGCATCAGGAAGGTGACTTACAAAACAAGGACACAGCCTCTCGTGACATACTGGGGTGGGATGGGGGTCGCTCTTCAAACTTGGGACTGGATAGCTTCATATAGGGAGAAGGCTTTTGGCGCTTTATGAAAATAGGAAGGGAGTGCCTTTCCCTACCACCTGGGAGGACTGAGGCTATTTTTTTGTTCACTTAAACAAATAATAAACAAATAATAGCCAGGTGCTGGTTATATCAGTGAATAGCGTGACAACATGAAGACTGCAGGGCTTCATCCTCTACAGCTGTGAATATTACAGAGCAGTGATGCCCTAATGATCTGTTTCTTCTGCAGTGAAGAAAACAAGTCTTCTTCTGAATATTTTTGAGAAGTAGGCTTTAGGATCCCTAAATTTAGCCTTATGCTCACCAAACCACTATGTCTATTTGAGAAATCCTTAAATCACTCCTATATTCATGGTTTCCTGAAACTATCTGTCAATACACCAAGGTTTCTGCGTAAACTAGCCAAACTAGCAAGATCATCATAGAGTTATGTGAGCATCCACAGTGGGTACTTTAAAGGAGTGCAAATCATTTTTAAAATGATGTTTCTTTCCTCCTGAAACTTTTCCATGCACTTCAACTTCTAGAAAAAAATGGGATTTTCTACCCCACAGGTGTACAGTTTCTGGCAGAGACTAGAAGGCCAGACCTGGAATCTATAACTCCCCATTTCCTGAATAAATGACATTTTTAAGGATCCTATTTTTATGTTTTATTCAATACAATTACTGCATTTGAACACCCATGAAATATGAACACACATGGAGAAACAAATTAAGAGGAGATTGAAATATCTCTTCAGTGTTGTCTAGCAGTTGGCAAGTAATGTATGGGTCTAACTGTACTTGCTTCCTTTCCTTAAACCTTGACATGCCAAATAAGAGATTCTCAGCAAATTATAGAGTTTTAATTGTTTAAAGAGGGGTTTTATGTTTCCAGGAAAAGAGATATGTAGTCATTGCTAACTTCATTGAATTTAATCACTTCCAAAATCTACACTGAAAAAGTTTCATAAACAATGTGTAGACATAGAACCTGCACTTGGCAATTCAACACCACTGGTCTTGAGGATGGGTAAGACAACACTTTTTTGAAATGAATTTAACCTTACAGTCCTAAAATGATATTAGCTCTGTACATATAATAGTAGCAGTCCCCACCAGCTCCCCGCCCTTTCTTCTCCTGTTTCTCCATTCTCTTTTTTTCCATGCTTCCATTTATTTTCTGACTCTATAGTAAAACTTTAGCCTTTTCATGCATTTGCTGCTCTAAGATGTGCGTTTGCATTACTTCCCCTACTCTGCTTCTTTTCTCTCCAATTACAGAAGTCCTAACCTTAAGATGTAGCTCCAGTCTCATGTCTAGGTAAACACTTTCCTGACTACCCATTTCCATCACCTATTGCTTCTCAGAGGTACCATGAGTATGTATTATCTGCACCATTATTTTGGCACAAATTGCCTACTCAATCTATATTGTCATAATTTTTGGTACGTGTTGCCTCTTCCCAACTAGATGGTGAACCTGAGGATAGGAGATTTTAAATTATACATTTTGGTATTCCTTGCACTCAGAATTGGCTGCTTTTATGCATGCCTAAGTGCCTGTTATCTCCTGTTATCTCCTATCCAAAGGAGAAGGCCATCTGCAGATGCTCTTCTTCCTTCTTCTCTCAGGACGGACTGTCCGTGGACAGGATCTGAGATGAAGCATCAGTAATGCTTGGCATCAAGTAGAGGCCAACTCTATAATACATCTTTCTATTGGTTATACTTTCTTTCTGTCTCACCACCCACGATTTTCTGCCTCCCTACACCCTAATAAAAGAGTATATATAAGATTTTGTCTTGATTTCTGCTTTCTAAAGAGCTCAAATTAAGATGGGCTGCATAGTGACAGTTTCAAAGAAGGAGTTGCTGCCCAGCTGCAGGGAGCAAGGTCAGCAGACAGCCTCCAGCTGTCAGCTCCTTCAGGGAGCTACCTCACTCAAGTACATACCCTTCCTGGGGCAGCCCCATCTGGAGACTGAGCAAGTCAGGCTATAAAAGCAGGGCCACTCTGACCCAACACAGGATACTTCAGACAGCCAAAGCAGTCCAGAGCACCTACCAGGTTGGCTGAGGCTTTGCCAGATCAGCAAGAGGAAGAAGTTTGCCCTCTGCTGTGTAGTCATGCTACCTCCCCTTTCCCTCCACGGATGTGGGTCCTTCATAAACATCCAGCAACCTAAACCCTGGCTCTGTCTGCTCTGGAGAACCCAGCCTGCCACTGTATTCATTCAAGATTCTTGAGTTGCACAAACACTCAGCCCAAATTGACTTAGGCAAAAAATAAAATAATAAAAACTGTATTCCGCCCAAGGACTCAGATGGTTTAATCAAGGCACTATCTTTTTTTTTATTCTCTCAGCTCTGCTTTTCTCGGGTTTCATTCTCAGGCAGATTCAGCACATGGTGGCCCCCAGAACCTCCAGGCTTACCACTCCAATAGAAAGAACTCCACTTTCTCAAAAAGTCCAGAAAAGTCCTGGAATTGAGTGTCATTGATGTAGATTGTTGTTTCATTTGTCCAGCCCTAAACCAATCACCAGAACCAGATAATTTGTAGAGCCCAGTCCAAAATGAAAATGCAAGGCATCTTTTTTCAAAAATTATTAAGAATTTCAACATGGTGACAGCTGAGCATTAAGTCAAACATGGGACCCTTGTGAGTGTGGAGTCCAATCCAATACACTGGTCACTGACCCCTGGCCCTGGCTCTGCCATTCACTGTGGCTGGGGGATGATATGCTCTGCCTCATAATACTTGGTCATGTGCCCATTCCTAAAGTTGAGATTAGCATTTCCCAGCGAGAAGTTGGAGGAATTGATGCTGAGTATGGCAAAACCATTGATGCGGCATCATGCATTCACTGTAGTCACATACTATCTGAAAAGGTACCATAGGGTAATGGAAAAAAGAAAAAGCTCCAGCTTCACAAAGTCTTGGGTTGAAATCCTGAGTTTAACAGTTCTGGAGGTGTGGCTTTAGGTGAGTTATTTAACCTCACTGAAACTAAGTTTTCTTTCATGTACAGTGGGAATAAAAACACCTACCCGCGTTGCAGGGTTGTGATGATGATGTGAAACAAAGCATTTAAGTGCTTAGCCCGCTGCCCGGCAGAGAGTAGGCCTCCCACAAGCAGCGGTCATGGTGGCAGTGATGATAAAGATGGTAACGATAATGTTGGGAAGCCACACAGAGCAGTGTGTAGAATGGAGTAAGACAGAACCACATGAATTAAGTCACAGTCTTGGGGCAAGGTACTTCATCTTTCTGAGCCTCAGGTGCCTCCACCATCTTACCCATCACCTAGGGTTGCCCTGTGGATAGTGGGCGTGGGTATAGAGAGCCTGGTATCAGCATTTGCTGCCCTCTGTTAACCAGCAGAGGCCTCTGGAGGAAAGGTATGGAAGGCTCCTCTCCTTGCAGAACTGGAGGACAACTCATTCTCATTCCCAGGGCTGAAGAGGTGATTCCAGCTCCAGTGAATAAGTACAAGCTAAGAACAAGTGACAGCACTGAACAGAAAGCAAGCCAAAAAGGGTCTTTAGCTGCTTTGCTCAGAACTGGGTAAACTTCATATTAATTACTATGTGAAATCCTTAACATCTGTCTTCATCTAACATTCTCCACTTTTATCCTTTCCTTCCCTACTTCCCATATACAGATCAGAATTACCAGCATCTCATTCCCTTTGGGCTTCACGTTCAAAAACAAATTGTCATATTTAGTTAGTATCCCAAGTTGTCACATTTGCATTAAAACATGGACTTTTGCAGAAAATACCGTAACCCAACGAGTAGATGAACGTTTAGGCCAGAGGTTATTTGCCATTGCTGGGCCATCAGAAGGATTTTCTAGTATCAGAATTGATTTATTTTGATGTGTGTGTGTGTGTTCATCATTATATATTAATAAAATGTTCAGAATTCAGTGATCATTTCAATAGAACATATAGAAGGCAAAATAATTATAACATTCTCTAAAGGCACTTATTTAGGACCATAGGTTTGGAATTAAATTAGAAAAGTATTGTTCTACTAGTCTAAGGATGGGATAAGCATGCCATATTTGCTATTTCTATTTAAAAATAAGAAATAAGAGTTAGTTGGAAATATTTCCAGATGATTGAGAAACATAGTACTTGATATTATGTAGTACTTTTTTTGGAACTATTTCTGAGGTCGATAAAGAGGAAATTTGCAGTGCTTTTTCAAAAAATTGATATTTTTTTCAAAGCACTGTACCCTTCTCACGTATTCCCTTGATAAATATCACACCTCTCCCTGGTGTAATAAGCATGAGACTAATGTCAGGTTCCCAGGGATTCTCATGAAAACCCTGAATTCACTTGTCAGTTGTGGTCATGTCACCAGCACTGATAGATTTCCACAATCATTTTGTTAGAAATTAAGAACAAACCAAAAAAAAAACCAGTATCTGTCAGTTCAGGTTTGCAAAGGGAATACAAGTGGAGACCAGGAATGACCCTCTGGCCAGTCATGACTCCTAAAATCCTAAATATAGGTCCTCTCTCTGTCTTGAGAAACTGAAGTGAAGCTCACACTGTGAGAACAAGTAGAAAGGTGTACACTTGCAGGGAAATATCTAAACTCAACAAAAATCATTAAAAGTAAGCAAAACAGTGTGAAGCGCCAAAGAAGAAATCTCAAATTCGAATTCTGTTTGGATTAGGATGTATCGTCAAGATCCTGAGTTAATGACAAAATCCTGGTTATTTCCCTTCATTGTAAAATAGGGGCACTGTGGTCTTGGTCTGCTGTCTCTCTTCAGCCCCAACCCTGTTTTGAAAGAGCCAGCTCCACTTCCACTGAGAATTCCCCAATCTAGGTATCCTCAGCAGTGCTCTAATCCCGTGTAATTTTATTAGTCTCAATGGCAGATCAGCTCTAAGTGCCCCCACAGAAAGGGAGCTGTCAGCCCTGCTATTGTTTCCCACTTAATGTGATTCCGGGCAGCCAAGAAGAAAGGCAGCCAGAGCCCTCCGTCTCACATTACAGACCCCAGTTTCTAAACCAATTAAGGAAAGGGGATTTACAGTCCTCAGGATTAGAGACTCTGTTTATATTATCCTATATTTCTTCTCTTAATACCCTCCATTTTATGTCTCCTACCGGCCCTCCCTCGTCTCTGGAAGGCTCCCATTCACTTACCCACACATCTCCCTATTTGCTTCTCTGGGTTTGCTTTTTGAGTGCGGTAACTGAGCTGGGTAATTCTCACTGATTGTTTTAATTATGTTTCAGAATCCTTGTGCATTTGCTGTCTGGAGAACTGAGTAACGAAAATGCTGGGGCTGGGCCCAAGCCTGATATTCAAGCAGACCTTGATAAAGCGGTACATTTCTGTGCAAGCAATCATTCCAATTGATTGAATAAAAACATCCTGCAGGATGTTTATCAGGGAAAGAAAGCTTGGCTCTCACAAGGCAGATTGGTCAGTATCCTGATATTGCAGCAAAAGGTGCCAATTTTTTTTTTCTTTTTAGAATCACATTTGATGTGGAAGGTGAAATAAGGTTTCACTGAAGCAAGAGAACAAATGGGGAAGATAATCTTTAAGAAAAAGCTCCAGACCATTTTAAACAAACTGTGGCCCAAACTGAGTGTTAGTCCAAAGCTTCCCTTTTCTTCTGCTTTTCTAAGGGAAGCTCGTACCACAAGAAGTCCAGCTGATTTTCTCCTACCCAAAGATATGTATAATTTTTCCCTTGGCTGGTGCTGTGACAATGAAAACCTCACTCAATGGGTTTCTATTAGAACCAAATGGATTTGGAGAAGCATTTTTACTCTTAATGGAGACTTTCTATTGAATTCCATTTTTCAGCATTTTATTTTAGTTTCAGTTGAATATTTAAACAGGTTTAAATTTTAACTATCTGTGCTGAACAAGCCCCGATATATATTTTTTAAATTGCTGTAATACTTCACTGCGTTTCATTTTTAACCTGATACAATATGCATAATGCATTATGTTAGCATTACATAAGTTGGGTGTGCTCAGACACCAGGCTAAGGCACCTTTTTACATAGTTAAGTTACACCATTGCAATGGACTGTCTTATCAAATTATTTTTATAACAGCTTTGTTATTAACAAAGCATAAAGAGGGTTCTAAAATTCAACTAAGGACTTATTATTGTAGGAATACCCATTCTGATTAATGAAACTTATATTTAAAGTTGTCTTTCAACTAAATTATCATATTCCAGTCTTTTCATGTCATTGGGAAGAAAAAGCTGTGTCTCCTTTGGGGAGAATCATATTTCTGGTTTTGTAGGTTTTGGTGGTTGTCCTGGTTTTTTCTAGGATTGCTTTGGCCCTTTGAAATTAATAAGTATTTGTGTGTCCTAGGTACACTGGGGGAAGGGGGAACAAAGACATGTAAATAACATTCAGTTCTCAGGGAACTCTGATGTAAAAGCCCAGATATAAACATGGAAGGTTAGTAAGTCACAAAGGACTGAAGAGAAACACAGTGCAGTGGATGAACGTTCTAAATGGATTTAGACTGCCTAAGGGTTGGGATCTCAGCTCTAGCACTTAGTTGTTCTGTGATTTGGGGCAAGTCAATTCACCAGGGGTTTCATTTTTTTCTCACGATAAAATGCTGATAATAATTGTACTGATCTCACAGAAATATACATATAAAATAAGACAGTCCTCATAAAGCACTTAACACAGTGCACACTGAGTGAAAAGAGCTCAATACCTATCATGGGAGTCTAAATATCTCATAGAACCAGAAAGTATTTCCAAATACAGGGCACGACTCATAGATAAATGTGTAGCCAATAAGAGTTTAAGCTGAAAGCTAGGTAGAGGACTTGAAGATGGAGATAGGGTTTCAATAAGCAGAGAGATGAGGGGACCCTTTGCCTGGTGTTTGGGGACAAGCTCTGGTGACCTCCCACATCAGTATGAAGCTGAATCCGGGAGAGATACTGCAGGGCAGCCCCTGTCCAAGAGTAAAACCGGTGCATGTAAGAAGCGCAGTGAGTGAAACAGCTGTGGCTTTTCACCCCTCACGATATTTAAACTGAGGAATCAGTGTACATTAACAGTGCTTTATGAAAACAACCTCTGCTCCATCCATCCAGCACAAAACCCACACTCACAATTCATTCGCTAGGCTTATAAGTTTCTCAGGCTGTAGCAAATTGGAGAAATTGATGTTTACCCTGAAAGCTTGTACCACACGCTATTTGTAGCTGCCGTTGCCTTGGTACATGTCTGCCAGCGTGCCCGGACTTAAATCCCTGCATGATAACCTTTAACTCTTTGCTAGGAGGCAGAATCAATCCAAGGTAGAACTAAGTGGGAGGATAGAGGAGAGGGAAGGTACAGAGACTCAGGGACCCACACCACATCTATCAATAGACCAACATATTCTGGGCACAGGTGGGAGCAACCAGTCTTGTTAAATAGCAACAATTTCTAAAGTCTTTCCTGTGCTGATATTTCCAAAGAGTTCTTGGTCAATGTAAGAGAAAAAGCATTTCTGGGAAATAGGCTGATCATTTGGGGAAGGGAGAAAAGACTGAACTAAGTGTATTTCTGACAAATGCAAAGTGTACTGTTCCTATGTGAACACACTATGCATAATTTGGTTACAGGAGGCCACCATCGCAATTCTTTCTCAATCTCCCTCTTCCCCTCTCTCCCTCTCTCTCCTTCTCTCCCTCAAAGAGGTTCCACTGATTAATGCCTGAGAGAGCCTGGCAGCTTTCTGCTTTCTAATATGCTTCCTTGTATTTGCTGCAGGTGTTTAACTGGCTGTAAGGACAGTGTGAGGCATTTTGATGTATGTAAATTATGCCCATACTTTGAGCCTAATCATTGTTATAAAATTTATAGAGGATAAAACACAGGCAGTCATAAAAACTGAATTTTTACTTTGATCATGCAAAGTTATGGGTTCCCTCGATGATTAATCTTTTATGGGTCTTAAATATCACTGCCAATGTGAAGATTTAACAGTTTTCCTTCTG
Organism: Homo sapiens; assembly: GCF_000001405.40. Lineage (NCBI taxonomy): Eukaryota > Metazoa > Chordata > Mammalia > Primates > Hominidae > Homo > Homo sapiens. The sequence goes on along the minus strand of NC_000002.12, from coordinate 204,225,739 downwards.
GCCAAATCTTCTCAAACAATAGAAGGGTAAACAAAAGCCACCCAGGATAATAGCGATAGGAACAAACTTACTTGCTGAGTGGTTTCAAGCTCAACACTTAGGCAGGAATAAAACAAATGTACTTTTCTAAAAGCAGCGATAGAATTAAAAATAGGAGATGATTTGGATAGTCCAGAACATTTCAGTCTTGCTCTGCCACAAGCTTGCTGGGTGATCTTACGCATGTCACTGAGTATCCCTGAACTTGTTTCTTCCACCATAAAATGTGGAGATTACCTTTTAAAAAGTTCCCAGGTTCTATTCCAGCTTCACCATTCTATAAAGAATTGTAATATATTTCTCGTTGTATTAGATGTATATATAAATAAAATTTACTGTGCTAGAAATTTGAGATTTGCACAGAATCATGCCGTAGGTATTGGTGGGGGTGAACAGCCCTTAAGTTGAGGAAAACCTAAAAAGAAAAAGAAAAAAAAAACAACAACAACAAAAAAAAAAAAATCCCAAATGAATAGTCAAGTGACTGAGCAAGTCACCTGACTTCTTGAGATGATAATCTCATCTGTTCTGTGGGGCTAATAATGTCTAATGCATGTATCCCATCAAATAGCAAATGAAATTCAAGCTATGAGTGTATTTTGAAAAAATATCAAAGCACTGTAAGATTGTGCTTATCACTGTTGTTTTTCTTTCTCTCAGTAGCAATATTGTCAGAAAAACAGGCACCTTTGCAGTATTACCACAGTATCTAGCACAATTCTTGAATCAAATGAGCATTAAACAGAGATTATATTTTTATTGTGGAATTGAATCATTACTAAACCTTAAACATCAAGGATCAGAAACACCAAATCTTGATGGCAGAAGGGAGGTAGGCAACATGGGTAGAGGACTAAGAGCAAGGGCCAACGCTGTTTCCCAGGAGGGCTCCAAGAACATAGGGTTCTCTGTTTAAGTGAGCTAGGCAAGCTCCATGCTTTCTCTTCTTGGAAAGTCACAATTCTCGTTAGCATAGTAAAAGCTCTGAGCAGCCCTGCAACAAAATAACAACATTCACTTCTACTTAACCCTGTGGTCTCCATATTTATTTGTGCCCTTAAATTCTTTCACTAACATTTCTTAGCATACTGAGTTGTTAATATACAGAACATAGTTGGGGAAGAGGTGAGCGAAGAGGCTCTGTGTCACTTACTTTAGAACTCTAGAGCAGCCATTTAATCCTTCCACTGCTCAGATGCCTCTTCAGTAAAGCTACTGTCTTCACAGGACCATTGTGAGTTAAGTTAAGAGCATTTAGTGTTCCCCTTCTTCAGTCATTGCTGCAGATTGTCCCTGAAAACCTGAACACATAACACCCTAAATGTCTCACCTCTCCTAACACGAGTCATTTATACACATTCATTTCTCCACCACCTCCTTACAGCTCTGAGAAATTGCCTTGCTTCAGGCTGGGTCCCTGCCATGTGACAATGGACACAGCGCTGAAGAACCAACTATGAACAAGACAAAAGATTGCTGCCCTCATGGAACTTTCTGTCCAGATGGAGAGACAGACAATTAAACAGGTAGTTATGCTTTGATATGATAAATATTCTAATAATAGTAATAGCTAATATTTATTGAATGCTTACTCTGCATATATTAATGATAGCAGCAGCTGCTCCAGATGGTCTGCCACTGCCAAGATGCCAACTGCAGCAGGGAGGCTTGGCCAGGGCCTCACGCTCCATGGAGCAGACAGCCCTGCCCTTCCCGGGTGCCACTGGAGCTGCCCACGCCGGGCTGTAGACCCGGGCATCTCTGTGCTCTTGGGGGCCCAGGAAGGTTCCCTTTCCCCTGACAGTCTTGTAAGTGCCTCCTGCCGCTGCCTGGCCTCTCCCTGCTCCTGGAGGCTGCTCTGATCATGGAGCAAGATTGGGACCAAGCTCGGGTGCTGTCGCAGCCCGGTCTAGTGGGCACATGCTTGAGGCAGCACTGACACACCAGCCCTCTGCCAGCTCGGACCCCTCTGGACTTTAGGCGCCAATGAGCATGAGAGGGAAGCCAAGCGGGGACTGAGGGCAGCTCAGCGTTGGCCTGCAGGCATCCCTTGGCACGAGCAGCCTGGGTGCCATGGACTGCAGCAGGAGGCAGACAAGCTCCTGGGCAGAAAAGGGTGGGACCCTGGTGAGGCCCCACCTTTGGGCCAGGGAAAGCCTGAAGCCTGGGGACTGGGCTGCCAGTCCTGTGGACCAGAGAGAGAACTCATGGTGCTTTTTCCTGGGCCCACCCCTGGCTGCCCATGGACCAATCAGCATGCACTTCCCCCCTCTGAAGCGCATAAAAGCCCCTGGACTCAGCTAGAACAGAGTAGAGGACGGGACGACCGGCTGCAGAGAGGAGCTGCCCTTTCTGCTGATAGCTGGAGAACACTGGATGACCAACAGCAGAGCAGAGCTTCCCACTCCAGGGATGACCTGCCTGCAGAGAGGAACAACCCACTCTAGGGCCTCCTCTCTGCTAAGCTGTGGAGAAGTCAGGGTGACCAACAGCAGAGAGGAGCCACCCACCCCAGAGCCTCTTCCTCTCTGCTGAGGGCTGAACACTCGTCAGGACACCCTGGCTACAGAAAGAAGCGGCCCACAGTGGGTCTCTGAGCTGTTCTAGTGCTCAGTAAAGCTCCTCTTTGTCTTGCTCACCCTCCACTTGTCTGCATGCCTCATTCTTCCTAGTCACAGGACAAGAACTTGGGACCTGTGACCCAAATGGCAAGGCTAGAAGAGCTGGAACACAAACAGGGTTGAAACATGCCCCTTGCTTGCCACGTTGCCAGTGAAGAGAGGGAGAGAAGAGCTGCAGCCCTTCGGGGATCCCAGACCTGGGAGCTCCCCAAGCAAGGGCTGTGACTCTCTCTTTGAGGCCCTGTGCTTCCTAGCATCTTCAAGCTTCTGAGTGCTACCACATTCCTTGGTGCCAGCTGGGGAAGCTTCTTGCAGTGCGCTTGGTCCAGGCGCAGCCTTGCAGAGAGCTGGTGCCTGTGCTGGCTCCTGGAGCTGCCCGCCCCACTGCAGTTGCTGGCATGCCTGACTGTGTGCAGTGGCTGGACCCTACACTTGCTCAATCACACACCCCTTGCCACTCCAAGCCTGGCTCACCCTTCCTTGGCAGACGTGGGATCCAGACCAGTAGTGTTAGCTGAACACAGCCTGCCAGGCCAAGTGGGCTCAATGAGCCGAGTGGGCCCAAGCAAAAGTCGGGCAAAGGTGCCACCAGCCACAGAGGTTTCCAGCCAGAAGAGTGACACCCCAAAGATCCTATAACATTAATTCATGTAATCCTCACAACTTTCATACAAAGTGTATGTTATTATATATTCCATTTATAGATGAGAAAATGGGGGTAGAGGAAGGTTAAAAGAAGTATGTGGTACTTACTAGAAGAGGTTATAGCAGGTGCCTCAAAGATGTGTTTTCTGAGACCTTAAGATGGGGTGGGAGTAGTCAGCACAGGTCAAGGAGTGCAGGAGGAGTGTTCTATGTTAAAAGGGCAGTAGTGCTATGGGGAAGGAGAGAGAGAAGTACATTGCAGCCCTGAGAGAAACCCAGTAGTCAGAGTATGTTGTTAAAGGTGGGGGGTGGGGTTGGTGGGGGGACTTGGAGTGGGTGGTGGTGACAGATTATGAGGCAGAGAGATAAAGACAATAGCTAGATCAGGAAGGGCATGCCAGCCACTTTAAAGACTTAACTTTATACTTAAAGCAAGCAGAAGTCTAAGAAAAATAGTGTTAGGATCAGTTGCTCTTGTGGCATTTAGAGAATTCAACTTGCTGCAGTATGGAGAAAGGATTAGAGGCAGGCAACATCAGAAAATCAGTTTGGAGACTGACACAGTATTCAAGGTAAAAGAAGATGAAATAGAGTAGCGACTGTGGTAATGGAGAGATGTAGATGAGTCGCAAAAGCATTTGGAACATGAATGCTTGGCTCCGGCAAGAGGAAAGAATCGAGGCAATGCTTGGCTTCTGGCTTGGGCAGCTGGGTAGAAGGCAGTGCCATTCATGCTACCAGTGGTAAGGAAGCAGGACTGGGGAAAGGTGATAACTTCCCTCTTGATGATGTGATGGATTTGAGGAATCTAGGAGACATCCAACTGGACATGCCCAGTAGATACTTGGAAATGTGAGTGTGGAGCATGGAAAGCAATCTAAGCGAAATAGAGCCTTTCCCATGGGATAGAACCCCATGGACAGTCTTCAGGAAGTAGAAGACGCAGGGGGAAACTGCCCACTTGGACACTTCTGGAAACTGCCCAGTTGGACACTTCTGGATCCAGATGTAATTGGCGTTCGGAGTGATAGAGACAAAGAGCCAAGTAGGAAACAAAGAAAAGAAACAGAACCTTATAGTCAAGGAGCCACCAACTTTAATTTCTCAGGATAGTAGATGCTCCTGATGCCTTGACCCTATCTCTTTGTCTCATCTATAACCCTGGCACGCTGACAGAGTTCTGCCTCTCAGCCTAAGAGTTTGATATGGCATTCAAATGCTTGATCATCTACATCCAGAAGAGTCAGTGTTCCAGGGAAATTCTCAACAAAGGAGAAAATGTAGTTGATAAATATCTCAGCTTCCTATATCCTCAGGGGCCCCCAGCGGCCTACAGTGGTAATGAGGTCATTAACCTACTTTTTAGACTTTCCTCCCTTTCTCATCTCTATTTCTCTGTCTCCTCCCTCATGTTGGCTTCCTGGAATCATTTCCCAAATAACCTACCTGTACCCAAGTCATTGTCTCAGAATTTGCTTCTGGGAAAACTCCAACTAAGAATAACAAATTATAATTACTGCCGGGAGTGACATGTAATCCCAGCTACTCTGGAGGCTGAGACAGGAGGATTAGTTAAGCCCAGGAGTTCAAGGCTGCAGTGAGCTATGATTGCACCACTGCACTCCAGCCTGGGCAACAGAGCAAGACCCTGTCTCTAAAAAGAATAAAATTAAATTAAATTAAATTAAAAATTATAATTACTTATTTGCTTCCTTATTTGACATTTCTTTGGAGATATATATTATATATATGCAATATATATGTATAGGTATATGTATATATATACATATATAGAGGGATATGTGTGTGTATATATATATATATATATATGTAAAAATGTGTTGGAGGAATACTTAATAGAAACCAAACTGATGTTCTATTTCAAACTGATGTACTTATTTGCTTCCTTATTTCACATTTCTTGGGATATATATGTGTGGGAATTTATACTAAGGAAATAATAATGGACAATGTTCACTGAGGCATGAATATTTTTGTGGCAAGAACAGAAACCAACCTAAATGTCTAATAATAATCAAATTAGCATACATATCCTATTATGGGCTGAATTATGTTCCCCAAAAATTTATATGTTGATGCACTAACCCCAATGTGACTGTACTTGGAGTTAACTAAGGTTAAATGATATCATAAGGATGAGGCCCTAATCCAACAGGACTGGAGCCCTTATAAGAAGATGGAGAGACACCAGAGAAATGAAGACACGGCAAGAAGGTGGCCACCTGCAAGCCAAGGAGAGAGGCCTCACCAGAAGCCCTGTTGGCACCTTGATCTCGAACTTCCAGTCTCCAGAACTGTGAGACAATAAATCTATGTTGTTTAAAATACTTACCCTAAGGTATTCTGTTATGACAGCCCTAGCAGACTAATATACCCCCAAATGGAATAATAATAATAATGATATACAGAGATGATTATGCATCAAGCAAAGTTCTAAGTGCCATGCAAATATTAATGTATTTAATCTACACAGGCTACACAGGAATTTTATGAGGAAGATACTTGTATTATTTTCATTTTATAATTGAGGAAATTGAATTACATAGAGGTTAAGTGATTTTACCCATGATCATGCAGCTAGTAAGTAGTGGACCTAGGATTTGAACTAGGCAATCTGGTTCCAGAGGGCATGCTCTAAACCAGTAGTCTCCAACATTTTTGGCACCAGGGGATGGTTTCATGGAAGACAATTCTCCCGTGGACTGGGGTAGGGGATGATTTAACTGCATTACATTTATTGTGCACTTTATTTCTATTTTTATTACACTGTAATATATAATGAAATAATTATACAACTCACCAGAATGTAGAATCAGTGAGAGCCCTGAGCTTGTTTTCCTGCAACTAGATGGTCCCATCTAGGGGTGATGGGAGATGGTGACAGATCATCAGGCATTAGATTCCCATAAGGAGTGCACAACCTAGAACCCTCCCATGTGCAGTTCACAATAGGGTTTGTGATCCTATGAGAATTTAATGCTGTTCCTGATCTGACAGGAGGCGGAGCTCAGGTGGTAATACAAGTGATGGGGAGTGGCTGTAAATACAGATGAAGCTTCTCTCACTTGGCCCCCCACTCACCTCCTTCTGTGCAGCCTGGTTCCTAACAAGTTACAGACCTGTGCCAGTCCATGGCCTGGGGGTTGGGGACCCCTGCTGTAAACCACAGATACTATCTCTCTAAGAAGATATTAGAATTATGGTGACGTATTTAAATTGCATGCAAAGATAGTATTAGGTGTTATTTTGAAAGTAGGTTAAAAACATATACAGTGATATGTATAGATTATGTATATATAGAGAGATATACACACATACATAATTTCTAATCATCAGTGCTTACATATATTATTATTTCATATATAGTTCATATATATATATTTACTGATATGGTCTGAATGTTTGAGTCCCCCCAAAATTCATATATTAAAATCATAGCCCCCAAAGCAATGATATTAGGAGGTAGGGCTTTAAGGAGGTGATTAGCTCATGAGTGTGGGGCCTTCATGCAACTAGTACCTTTATAAAGGAGACCCAAGAAAAACCCCATCATTTTTCCTCCATGTGAAGACACAGTAAGAAGACACCATCTATGAATCTATGAGGAAGCAGGCCCTCACCAGACACCAAATGTGCTGGTTCCTAGATCTTGGACTTCCCAGCCTCCAGAACTGTGAGAAATAAATTTCTGTTGGTTATAATCTACCTAGTTTATGCTATTTTGTTATAGAACCTCAGGAAGACTAAGATATACATACAGAGATAGAGAGACATTAAATATATATACACACATTATATATGAGACACATATTTATACATATTATATATACATTAAAATATTTTATGTAAACATAGCAAATACTCTAAAACATTATCTATGGCCATCTCTGAGTGGTAGGAATAATGTTCTTTTCTTTTTTCTTTGTTTGGCTGTTATATGTTTTATACATTTCCTACAATAAATATGTATTTATTTTCATTTGAAATTGATTATAATACGTTTGCTTAAAGTTAGAGTGGGGTATTTAAGTAACTGAATAAAGAAGTAAGGTGAGGAATAATGTGAAAGAAATTGATGTCTTTAGGTGGAAGAGAGTAAAGATTAAAAAGAATGTTTTGAGGAATGGGGTAGAATTTGAGTGACAGTGAAGGCTCACTTGGAGAGACCAAATTTTGGTATGTTGAGCATTCAAGGGGGGAATCGAAGTCAGTATTTTGTAGATCTTGGACTTAAACCTATCTGGCCAATCCATTAATTTGTTAATATTTATATTAATGAGTTTAGGATTTATGGTTTGGCTAGCTCTTTAATAAAACACAAATAGTGTGTTGTAATGAAAAAGGAGACAAGTAAGAACACTGTAGCTGTTATAATTGCTATAATGTGATCCTATTCCCAGATGTGGAAGTAGAGTGATATTTATATGTGAACTGGGTAAGACATAAGTTAGAAAAATGTCCTCACATTTCAGAAGCTCGAAAACTAATAGAGGGCCCAAGGAACCCTTACAGGGAGGATGTGTCATGGGAAGGTTGGCTTGTCTGGGGGCATTTAAGATATTAGAAAATATAAGCAATTTCAATTGTCAACGATTAGACAATCAGAGAAATTAGTCCTGCTGTGCAAGTTACACATCCCCTTGTTGCTCATTTATGGCTATCTATAAAAATATTATGGGTCAAATCCCATCACAAAGAACTTTAAGGAAGGTAAAAGATTGTTCACTTGATTGGAATTTACTATAATCAACATTGTTAGAAATCTCATTGCCAGTACTTATAGGCCACTTTCCCAGGGTCAAGGACTAGACATAGGACAAAGCGGGAGCCAACGTCCCTCCAAGATGAGGTGGTTCATTAAAGCTGCCCAAGCATGCAGACCAAGGCAGAAATGTATGCTTGCAGAAGTCAATTCTCTTTGCCCTCTGACATGTTCCCTTTTGGTTTTATTCCCCAGAGAACCAAGGCAATTACAATTTCTTGTAATTTTTTAAGGACAATTATATTTTACTCTTTATTTGTACTACACTAGCTAGAGCCACTGTATTATATTTCTCTTCCAGTTTGCATTATGTTACACAGTCAGGTGTTAGATGTTTTCATTATAACAAGCCACTAGGACCAGTAATGGAACATTGATTGTACTGAGATTGTGTGTGTGTGTGTGTGTGTGTGTGTGTGTCTTGCATACACGTAATATATATGAGGAAATTTTGCTATAACAAGACCAACAAGGTACTATTACCATGGACCATTGGTCAAAGCATAAATATGTTTTTATTAGACTAAATTTTGGGTTTCAGTGATATTCATAATAATAATATTTGTCTTGTAATAACAATGTAGAAATCCCCTATGGTGAAATAAAAAGCAACATTTCCCGATGTAGAAAGTGAATTGAAAATACAACTGTGAATTGAAAATACTAATCTCATACTTCTGTAATAGCAAAAGCTGCTTGTGTTCATGTAAGTCAACTGAGAAAGTTCTAGATGGTAATTGCTTAACAGTATTCCAGAAACTTTCAAGGGAGTTTCATTTATTTATTCATTCAACAAATTATTTAGCACTAATGTGTGCGTGGTAACATTAAAGGGTATGGGGATACCATGATTAACACACATAAACAATGCTAACTTTGTGGAGGTATGTTCTAGTAAAACACTGGCAAACAAATCTAGAAAATAAGATAAGTAAGAAACTAGGCTGGGCGTGCTTGGCGTGGTTGTTCACATCTGTAATCCTAGCACTTTGGGAGGCCGAGGCAGGAGGATCACTTGAGCTCAGGAGTTTGAGACCAGCCTGGGCAACATAGGGAGACCTCAAGTCTACAAAAAAAAATTTTTTCATTAGCCAGGCATGGTGGCACGCCCCTATAGCCCCAGCTACGCAGGAGGCTAAGGTGGAGGAGTCACCTGGGCCTGGGAGGTAGACTCTGCAGTGAACCATGATTGCACCACTGAACTCCAACCAGGGCGACAGAGCAGAACCCTGCCCCAAAAATAAAAAAAGAAAGAAAGAAACTACGGTTGACCCTTGAACAATGTGAGTGGTAGTGGTGCTGACCCCCTGTGCAGTCAAAAATCCATATATAACTTTTTACTCCCTAAAAACCTAACTACTAATAGCCTATGGTTGACCAGAAGCCTTACAGATAACATAAACAGTTGATTAACACGTCTTTTGTGGGTTATATGTATTATATACTGTATTCTTAAAATAAGCTAAAGAAAAGAAAATGTTATCAAGAAAATCATAAGGAAGAGAAAATATATTTACTGTTCATTAAGTGGAAGTGGATAATCATAGAGGTCTTGGGCATCATTGTCCTCGTTATGTTAAATAGGCTGAGTTGGAGGAGAAGGAAGAGGAAGGACTGGTCTTGCTGTCTCAGGATGACAGAGGCAAAGAAGATGGAGGAGGTAGAAGGTGAGGCAAGAAAGATTTATTGAAAAAAATATGTGTGTAAATGGACCATGCAGTACAAATTTGTGTTGTTCAAGGGCCAACTGCATATACTATATTAGAGAGAGAGACATAATAAGGGAATTAAAACAGAAAGTTTTCTGTTGTCGGGGGTGGAGTTGTAATTTTACATATGGTGGAAATGAAAGTCTGCTTTATGAATCTAACTTTTGAACAAACACCTGAAAAAGGAAGACTAGCTATGAAACTATCTAGGGGAAGAGAATTCTAGGCAGAGGGAACAGTAAGGAAAAAAGGTCTGAGGTATGAGCCTGCCTGGTCACCTGGTATTTTTAAAGAAAAATCAGGAGATCAGTATGGCTGGAGTGGAGTGGCCAAAGGAGAGAATTACAGAATATAATTTAGACAGAAAACAAGGTCCAAATCATGCATGGTGGCGTAGGTCATTATTAGAACTGAGAAGCCTCAGAAGGGTTTTGAGTATTCGAAACGTGAAGAACTATAGTGATTTCCAAGTAAAGCTATGGGCAATGTCACACGCTAATACTCTGATTCAAATCAAGTGCTATGGTCTGAATGTTTGTGTCCCTCAAAATGCATACATTCACATTCTAGCCTCCAAGTTGATGGTATTAGGAAGTGGTGCCACTGGGAGGTAATTAGGTCATGAGGGCAGAGTCCTCATAAAAGGCATTAGTGCCCTTATAAAAGAGTCCTGAGAGGGATCCCTCACTTCCACTGTGTGAGGACACAGAGAGAAGGTGCTGTCTATGAAACAGGAAGAGGACCCTCATGGGATGCTAAATCCGCTAACACATTGATCTTGGACTCCACAGTCTCCAGAACTCTAAGAAATAAGTGTTTGTTTTTTATAAGCTGCCTATGCCACCTTACTATGACAGCATGAAAGGACTAAAACATCAAGTTACTTACTTTTCTGATTAGAGTGTGATGATGTATAGAAAAGTTGTTTTAAAATCACAAATATAAAAGTTTCTTAAGAAGATTGAGATTAATCTTCTCTATTAATCTTAACAGATTTTTGTGTCCCATTTCTATTTGAGTCTGAAAGCAACCCTACTATAAGCCGCAAGTTTCTTTTCATTGTTGTTAAGTTTAGATTGGTCAAACTGTCAGAATTCAAGCTAGTCAATCTCAGATATAAAATGAAAACTATGGGATGCACTGTAAACATTCATAAGGTATTTATGGTACTGTTTCTTTACTTTCAAGAACATGCCTTAGTTTCCAATTATAAACAAATGAATTGAGTAATAACAGAGTAGCTCAATCAAACTAACTCTCTTACAAAAAAAAAGCTGTAAGATCTGGAAAACTATTATTACACACACATAGACACATGCAAACACACAATTATTTAAGGGCTCAGAAGAGTGATTAAAAGTAAGCAGAAACTGCAGGGAGGGTTTACTTTGAAAGGGAAACCATGGACTGGGTGTGGTGGCTCATACCTGTAATCCCAGCACTTTGGGAGGCCGAGGCGGGGATCACCTGAGGTCAGGAGTTCAAGACCAGCCTGGCCAACTGGTGAAACCCCATCTCTACTAAATATACAAAAATTAGCTGGTCGTGGTGGTGGGTGCCTGTAATCCTAGCTACTCAGGAGGCTGAGGCAGGAGAATCACTTGAACCTGGGAGGCAGAGGTTGCAGTGAGCCGAGATCGTGCCATTGCAGTCCAGCCTGGGTGAAAAGAGCGAAACTCTATCAAAAAGAAAGGAAGAGAGAAAGAGAGGAAGGAAGGAAGGAAGATAGGAAGGAAGGAAGGAAGGAAGGAAGGAAGGAAGGAAGGAAGGAAGGAAGGAAGGGAGGGAGGGAGGGAGGGAGGGGGGAAAGAGAGAGAGAAAGGAAGAAAGAAAGAAAAAGAAAGAAGAAAAAGAAAGAAAAGAAAGGAAGAAAGAAGGAAAGAAAGAGAAAGAAAGAAAAAGAAAGAAAGAAAGAGAAAGAGGAAAGAGGAACGATGAAAGATAAAATTTGCAAGTTTATGGTATTTAGTCTGAAAGTATTGCCTATTCCACAAGAGGCTCAAGTGACAGAAAGCCACAGCTTTACAGGATAAATTAAAAATAAATAAATAAACAAGGATACATCATAGTCAAACTGCTGAAAAAACAAACAAACAAAGATAAAGAGACAATCTTGAAAGCAGGCAATGAAAAATGAGATACTCCATACAGGAGAACAATGATAAGAATAACTTCTGACTTGTCTAGAGAAACAGTGGGGGGTAGAAGACAATGGTACAGTATCTTTAAAGTGCTGAAAGGGAAAAACTGTTAACCCAGAAGTTTTCACCCAGTGAAAATACCTGCCAAAATTGAAAGCTAAAATAAAACATTTTAACATGAACAAAAACTCAGTGCATTTGTTGCCAGCAGGCTTGCACTACAAAATATGCTGAAAAGAGTTCTTTTGGCTAAAGAAAATGGTATGCTTGAGTCTACATGAAAAAATAAGGATTTCTAGAAATAGAAAATATGTGGATACATCTTAAAGACTTCTGTGCATACATACATACACACACATATGTAATATAGTCAATTCTTGTTATTTACAGTAATTATGTTCTATAAAGTAGCTGTGAACATGAAATTAGTGAACACTGAATTATTGCTCCTAGGGGAAATACAGGATTAGGCTCCTGAAATCTTCTGGTCATAACATTTTCATCAACTGATCAATACTTGATCTTGTGTGTTTCTGTTTGAAGACAAGTTATTTCATATATATTGTTGATTCATTAATATTGAACTCATGGCCAACAGCAGTATAACTCCTGCTTGAAAGAAATTTATCTATCTCACTATTTTCTCACAGCCTTCTTGTGCAAAGCCTATTACTCAGCACTTCACCTCACACTTGGGGGACGTTTTAAATGGCAAAATCACTAACAAAAAGCACACAAATGCAATGTGGCACTAAATAGACTATGAAAAATACACTTATTTATAATGTCTATATAAGGGAGGGCTGAATTAAGAACGCATGGCTGGGCGTGGTGGCACATGCCTGTAATCCCAGCACTTTGGGAGGCCAAGGTGGGTGGATCACAAGGTCAGGAGTTCGAGACCAGCCTGGCCAAGATGGTGAAACCCCGTCTCTACTAAAAATATAAAAATTAGCTGGGCGTGGTGGCAGGCGCCTATAATCCCAGTTACTTGGGAGGCTGAGGCAGGAGAATCACTTGAAACAGGGAGGCGGAGGTTGCAGTGAGCCGAGATCGTGCCACTGCACGCTAGCCTGGGTGACAGAGCAAGACTCCATCTCAAAAAATAAAAAAAAAGGCACAGCATTTCCTGGTTTGACCTCAGCTGGGAATATATGCATCAGGTGAATTTTTTGTCTCTCTACACCTGTCTGCGAATTACCATGAGAAAGCTATTGTATTGATTTTGGGATTGTAAAAAAAATGTAGTGAGTAGGTGAATTTGCAAATATGAAAACTAGAAGTAATAAAATTGACTGTACATTTATATATATTTTCCCTTAATTAAAAAATGACTTGTTATATATAAAATTATGAAACTGTATGTAAGATTTATGAAACACATGGAGTTAATATAACAGATAAAATAACATGAAGAATGAAGGGATAAATAGATCTATACTGCTTCAAGGTAACTGTATTTTATGTTAAGCAATAGACTATGAACTCTAGGTAGATTATGAAAGTTAACAATGCATATTGTAATCCCTAGGACAACCACCAAAAAAAATGCAAAGAAGTATAGCTAAAAAGTCAATAGAGGAAATAAAACTAGAATATGAAAATCTGTATATCCCACCCCAAAACAGGGAATAAAAATAAATAAAAAACAAATAGTAAATGGCAAACCTAACTCTAGCCATTCTAATAATTACATTAAATTTGAATAACTAATCACTGCAATAAAAGCCAGAGATTGACAAAATGGATTTAAAAAAAGAAGATCTACCTCAATGCTGTCCACACTGCTCACAAAAGATGTACTTTAATACAAAAATACAAATAAGTTAAATGTAAAATGATGAAAAATGTTATATCATGCAAATACCAATCATAAGACAGCTGTAGTGGCTATTTTATTGTCAGACAAAATAAACTTGAAGACAAGGAGTATTATTAGAGACAAAACATGACATTTCACAATAATTAAAGGGTTAATTCATCAGTAACAATTACCATTTTAAATGGGTATGGACTTAAATTTTATTTCAAAAAATGTGAAGCAAAAACAAAATGAAGGGGAAATACATAAATGCAAAATTATAGTTGGAGATTTGTAACACTCTTTTCTCAGTGATTTATTGAACAACCAGTCAAAAAAATTAGCAAGGATATAGAAGATTAGACCACAGCTAACAATCTTGACTTCATTACATTTGTAGAACACTACCACAACAATGATAGAATGAAGATTTATTTCCAGGAAACATGGGACATTCACTAGAATCGACCATAGGCTAGGCTTATAAAGGGTCTCACTATACTTCAAAAGATTGAAATTTTATAGAGTATGTTCTCTGACCGCAAAGAGCTTAAATTAGAACTCAATAATAATAAACTATCTAGAAAAAACACAACATTTAGAAATTAAACAGTAAATGTTGATATAACCAATGGACAAAAGAAGAAATCACAAGAAAAATATGAATATTCATCATCTAAATTATAATAAAAATACAACATATCAAAAGTTGTGTGACGTAACTAAAGCAGTGATTAGAATGATAAGTGAGATTTTGAGTGCTTATGTTAGAAGACCTGATTTCAATGATCTTAAGATGCTAAAAAAGATGAGTAAGAAGAATCCTAAGTAGCACCAATAAAATAATAAAGAGCAGGTATCAATGAAATAGAAAAGAGGAAAACAGAAAAAAATCAAATCCCAAGAAAGTTATTTGAAAATATTAATAAAATCAGTAATCTCATAATAAAACAAATAAGGGGGAAAAAGAAAAAACACAAATTACAAGTATCAGGAATAAGTCAAGTTTCATGATACAAGATTAACAGATAAAAATCAATTGTATTTCTATATGCTGGCAAATAGAAGGTGGACACTTAAAAATTAATTATATTTATATAGCATCAGAAAACATAAAATACTTGGGAATAACTGGAACAAAAGGTGAGCCAAACCTCTGTACTGAAAACTACTAAACATCGCTGACAGAAACTAAAGAAGACTTAAATAAATAGACACACCAATTCATAGGTTGGAAGATTCAGTGTTGTTAAAATACTAATTTTCCTCAAATTAATTTATAGAATCAATGCAATCAAATTATAATGTCACCAGGCTTTTTTTAATAGAAAATGAAAAGCTGACTTCAAAATTTATATGGAAATGCAAATAACTTAGAACAGCTAAACAATTTTTTTAAAGAAAAACCAAGTTCATAGATTTACATATACTATCTGCCTTCAAGACTTCCTACAAAGCTACAATAATGAACGCAATGAGTTATTGGCATAAGAAGAGACACATAGATCAATAGAACATAATGCAGAATCCAGAAATTGACCTGTACTTACATGGTTAATTGATTTTTGACAATAATGTCAAGGCAATTCAGTGGGGGAAAGGAAAGTGTTCTTAATAAAGGTGCTGGGACAAATGAATATCTACAAGAAAAATTAAAAAAGAATCTCAATCCCTTCCTCATACCATACAAACAAAAATTTAGATGATGATAAATCTAAGCGTGAAAGCTAAAATTACAGCTTTTAGAAGAAAAGCTTTTAGGAATATTAAAACAGGAGAACAGCTTCATAAACTAAGGTAACTGAATGTTTCTTAAAAATCACAAAGAAAGCAATAAACAAAAAAAATTATACACTATCAAATTTTAAAACTTCTGCTCACGAAAAGACACTGTTAAGATAATGAATTGACCATCTGCAGACTAGGGAGAAAATATTTGCAAAACATATCTCTGAAAAAGGATTTGCATACAGAATATATAAATAACTCATTTTTTTCCTCTGGTAACATGTTTCATTTTATTTTTTAATATAATTTCACTTTTATTTTAGATTCAGTGGGTACAAGTTTGTTACATGAATAAATTGCATGGGTGCTGAGGTTTGGGGTACAATTGATCTCTTCACCCAGTAGTGAGCATAGTACCCAATAGATTTTCAACGCTTGCCCCCAACCCCAGTAGTGCCCAGAGTCTACTGTTGCCATGTTTATGTCCGTGGATACCCAATATGTAGCTCTCACTTACAAGAAAAACCCAATTTTTTAAAGAAGATATTCCAATGACCAATAAGCACTTGAAAAACTGTTCATCATCATTAATCATAGAGGAAAAGCTAATTAAAACCACAATAAGATACCACTACACATGCATCACAATGGTTGACATTTAAAATATGGGCCAATACCAAATGTGGACAAGGATGTGGGGCAATCAGAGCCTTTGTACACTGCTGGTGGAAATGTAAAATTGTGTAACTGCTTTGGAAAACTGATGTGTAGTTTCTTTTAAAGTTATATATACAGTTTCTTATAAAGTTCTACACATATTGGCTCAGTAATTCATTTCTCATTATGTATCCAACTGAAATGAAAACAAATGTCTACCAAATACTTGTACAAGAGTGTTTACTGCTGCTTTTTTCATAATAGCTGACAACTGAAGACAGCCCAAGTGTTCATCAACGAAAGAATTATAACAAAATACTGCTCAACAAAAAAAGTGATAAACTACCTATACATGAAAAAATATGGATAAATCTCACAGACATTATACAAAGTGAAGAAAAAAGATATATAGGTACATAACTGTATGATTCCATGTATATGATGTTCTTGAAACAGGCAAAAATTGTCTAAAATGACTTAGAAGCGCCATGAAGGAATTTTCTGAGAGATGAAAATATTTAAATGTATAATGGGATGAAGTTTGCATGAGTCTATCCATTCATTAAAATTATACAGCTAAGATTTGTCCATTTCAGTATACATAAATTTTGGCTACAATGGTAAATAATAATGAAGTGAGGGGGTGGGGAGGAGGTGAAAATATGGATGACCCAAGAAGAGCAGAATGTTGGAATGCTGTGGCTTCAATGTGTTTTCCAAAGTTTATGTATTGAAATCTTAATCCCCAATGCAAGAGTGTTGTGAGGTGGGGCCTAATGAGAGGTCCTGAGGGCTCTGGCCTCATGAATGGTTTCATGTTGTTATCACAACATTGACTTTGTTATAAACTCTAGTTCAGCACCCTCTTACTCGCACTCTCTCTTGCCTTTCATCCTTCTGACATGGGATGATGCACAAAGGTCCTCACTAGATGCCAGTGCCATGCTCCTGGGCTTCCTAGCCTCTAGAACTGGGAGCCAAATAAATTTCTGTTCATTGTAAGTTTCTCAGTCTGTGGTATTCTCTTATAGCAACACAAAATGAACTAAGAAATTTTTAATACTGGGTGATGGGTATACAGAGAATCAATATTTGATTCTATTTATTTTCTATTTATATTTCTGTATTTGAATTTTTTCTAAAATTGTTTTAAAAATGTTTAAAAGCCAGCAAAAATCCAATATTAGGGCAGACATTAAAATCAGGCCATTGACCTCAATTTGAGACACTTTTTCTATGAATGTTTAAATTTTTGATTTTCAAGTTCTTTTGAGGGAGACATTCTCCAAAATGATATTTCTTTTATGATTTTACCATTAGCATTCCATCAACAAATATTTGAGTGCCCTCTATGTCCAGATACTTTGCTGAGTGCCTCTTAGGAAAACCTTCAAAGATGTGGGTGTCACTGGGAATTGGGAGTTGAACAAGTTTTCTTGGGAAAGCCATTAAAGTGTTGGGATTAAATCACTCACTTTTAAGGGGCTTCAAAGTATCTGTTTTCTAAGGAATTTCATCTGAAATAAAAGAACACATGGAGTGGGTTTTCCTGAGATGTGAGTTGCCCCAGCTGTTGCCTTCCTTCAACTTCCTCTGTGGCTGCTACCACTGCAGCCTGTTCACCCAAAGGGTGTGTGGATGTGTTTTTGTTCTTGGATCTGCACCGACTCCTGTGTTCTTTACCAAAATCTGATGAGGACAGAAAGGGATTTTTCTCTTGTCAAAGCAACTTTTTAACATTCTTAAGTCTCCCCCTATGAGAATTTTTGGAAAGGGTAAGGATTGTGACTTCTTCTGTTGACATGACAACAGTTAGCAGCTGGTTCTGGGCTCATGTGACTTTCCTGTCCACAGGTCCCAGACCCCAAACCTGAGCCTCTTGCAAATGGGATGGATGCAATCTGCAAGTCCCACCCTTCCAGCTTTCCATCTAGTCTTTGCGCAGTAATAATGTGAATGGAAGTAGTCATGGGGAGATAGATGGTGATGAAGTTCAGGACATGCTACCCCCAAATACGACAGCTTGGCATTTGAGGAAACAGCAGAAGTAGGAAGGTCTCTCTGACCTTCTCTCATATAAAGAACTCATTTTTTTTCTGGTACCATATTTCATTTTATTTTTTTAATATAATTTCACTTTTATTTTAGATTCAGTGCATACATGTGCAAGTTTATTACATAAATATATTGCATGATGCTAAGGTTTGGGGTAAAATTGATCTCTTGACCCAGTAATGAGCATAGTACCCAATGGAATGCTATTCTCTCCAGAAGCAAGCCATAAAAGAATGCTCTGACTTTCCTCTAACATAGGTCATAGGACCCTCATTCACAGGGATCCTTCCTTTGCGCAGAGGAAAGGAATGAAGGCAGAGACATCAGAGAAGGTTCTGTACAAACAGGCCTTGCTAGGTTCCCCTCAGTTTATTACCGTTAGACCATATACCCTTTTGTCCAATCATACTTCTGCATGACTGTCCACTCTTCATCAAACCCAATCACAAAAATACAGCTTTTCATGTCTCTTTGGGTCTTTATTTCTGAAGGCTCCCGTGTCACATAAAACTTATATTAAACAATTTTGTCCATTTTTATCCTGTTCATTGATCTTTTGTTATAAAGATCTCAACAAAGTACCTTGCAATGACTGGGTAAAAGATATTAATTTCTGTCCCCTACCATGGCTAATGTCACATTGGGTGATGTACAGTTTGGCGACAAATTGACTATTGCTAAAGCCACTTTTCTTAAGGTCCCTGAAGATAGTGAAAGGGAGAGGGAAGGAAAGAGGGGTGAGGGAGGAAAAAGAGAGAGAAGAGGAAGGAAAGAGAAAAACTTTATCCAGCTGTCTGACAGAGTGGGTCTTAATTACATTCCTCCACATTACAAAAGGATTATATACACATTCAGATTTAGTAGACTGGAGAAACTTGCACTCTCTCCCCAGGAGAAGGAACATTCAGCTTTTCGGGGACTTTGCCTCTGTCTGAGATGATATGGGAAGAGCAATCCATGGTGGAAGAGAGCAGTCTGAAAAACCGTTCTTTCACTGACACATTCCTAGCAATGCCCAGAAATGCCTAAGAGGAAGGAAGCCTTATATTAACAGAGCAGAGATTTGCCTTTTTCTTAAAACACTTAATCTATTCTTTTACCTTATTTTAGCAATTCTGACTTGTGTAGTTTCTTTCGGTTTGAAACCATAATTCACTCTTTTTTTTTTTTTTTTTTTGAAATGGAGTCTCGCTCTGTCACCCAGGCTGCAGTGCAGTGGCACCATCTCAGCTCACTGCAGCCTCTGTCTCCCGGGTTCAAGCAATTCTCTGCCTCAGCCTCCCAAGTAGCTGGGATTACAGGTGCCCGCCACCACACCTGGCTAATTTTTTTGTATTTTTAGTAGAGACGGGGTTTCGTCATCTTGCCCAGGCTGGTCTTGAACTCCTGACCTCGTGATCCACCTGCCTCGGCCTCCCAAAGTGCTGGGATCACAGGCGTGACTGTGCCCAGCCTCATAATTTACTTTTTAAGGCAAGACACCTTTGAGTTTATCCATTTCTCACCTGCTCCTCCCCCTCACACATTAAACTCTCATCTACTTAAGTTAAAATTAAGTTTTCTTTTCTAAGAAGGTTAAGGAAATCAGAGAAGGAAAGGATCTAGGAAGAGGGTCTAGACACCAGAGAGAGCAAAGAAAATTCTTTAAAACCAGATCGAAAACTGTCTCTCTTGCTTCCTCTTTCTTTCTTTCTTTTCCCCTGCCAAGTAAACCTTTTCCTGATTACAGTAAACACCTTCTTAACAGATCAAAAGGAACGATTTTAAAGTGAGCTGCTTACTCACAAAATTCATTATGGTAATGCCCCATCACAGTGGGCTGAGCGGCTCCCTCAGCAGCCTGGCTTTGATCTGCCGCTGTGGCCTCGCATCTGTTCCTGCAGTTAATCTACATTTTGTTGGCGTCAGACTTTTTCAGGACTTATGCCTCGGGTTTACAAAGCAGCCCAGTAGAATAAAAAGAGCCAGCCTAGAGGCAGATTTTTTCCCTCCACATTTTAAAAATATACATTTTGAAACATCAGTCCCAACATATGTTAGATATTGAGCTCTTCCTTCCCACCCAGGTGAATTGACCCCTTTTACTACTGTCTGTGAAATTCACCCTGTAGTAGAGCTGTCTTAACACTGTAGCGCTCATGTCTGCAACGCAGGTTTCTTGCAGAGCACAATTTATTATTAATGATATAACAATTTATAGTGCGCCAGCTTCCTAAACCCCAAAGTATCTTACAGATGCATAACAAAGAGTGCCAGGCCACCTACCTATGCGTTAAATAGCGCCACCCTAACCTGAAAGGAGCCACCTCTACAAAGAGAGTCATTTTGCCTGTGTGGTGCCCAGGACTTCCCCAGGCTGGCATCAGTGCCAGAGGTGGAGACTGCAGCAAGCAACTGGGACTCTCTAATTTGCGATGATATAACTTTGACCTTTAGAAAGACAGAGCATTTTGATCTGATTTCTGCAAATGACTTACCTGGGGGTATCACTCTGTTGTTCAGTGTCCTACTCAATAAAACTGATGGAAAATAACCTGTTTTGTTTTGCCATCTGCCTGCATCTCTCAAATCACCAATTGCCCAACTCAGCCTTCTAAATACTTTTTCTCAGTTCTCACTCTCTTTGATATCTCTGAAGTATTTAGAACTGTTGTTCATCAGCTGGGTGCAGTGGCTCATGCCCATAATCCCAACACTTTGGGAGGCCAAGGCAGGTGGATCACCTGAGGTCAGGAGTTTGAGACCAGCCTGGCCAACGTGGTAAAACCACAACTCTACTAAAAATACAAAAATTAGCTGGGTATGGTGGCGGGTGCCTATAATCCCAGCTACTTGGGAGGCTGAGGCACAAGAATCGCTTGAACCCAGGAGGCAGAGTTTGCAGTGAGCTGAGATCACGCCACTGCACTCCAGCCTGGACAGTAGAATGAGACTCCGTCTCAAAAAGAACAAAAACAAAAACAAAAAAACAAAAAAACTATCAGGCCGGGCAGCTGGCTCTCACCTGTAATCCCAGCACTTTGGGAGGCCAAGGCAGGTGGATCACCTGAGATCAGGAGTTCGAGACCAGCCTGACCAACATGGAAAAACCCAGTCTCTACTAAAAATACAAAATTAGCTGGACATAGTGGCGCACGCCTGTAATCCCAGCTACTCGGGGGGCTGAGGCAGGAGAATCGCTTGAACCCAGGAGGCGGAGGTTGCAGTGGGCCGAGATCGCGCCATTGCACTCCAGCCTGGGCAACAAGACTGAAACTCTGTCTCAAAAGAAAAAAAAAAAAAAGAACTATCAATCATCCTCTTTCAAAATCTCTGTCCTCTCCTGGCTTCTATAATGCTAGACTCTCCCTATTCTCCTCCCCTTTTTATTTATTCTGTCAATATTTCCCAGTTGGGACATCCATTTTCTGGTCCCTAATTTCTGTTTCTCCATGACCATTAACAGAGCCCTCTTTCTTGCTAAAATAAGGATGATGGTGGTGAAGTAAATGCTTGTATACCTGCTGTGTTTTATAATTCTAGTGTTTCCACATGATCTCCTCTTACCTCACAGCAACCCCACAAACTGGCTGGGACACCTCATCACATGTCACTGCTGTCACTTATTTCCTGTTCTGCTTGCTTAGACTGTGTGCTCTGTGAGGGTGGGGCCGTGCCTGTCCTACCTCAGTAACCACCTGGCGCACAGTGGGTGCTGACGGAATTATGATTAGGCTTATTTTACATATAACACTGCATTTTACAGCTAACCCTGATGCTTAGAGAGATTTGCTCACAATCACAAAGCGTAGGAATGTTAAATACTGACTAGATCTCTGACTTCAAGGCTATCTTTTTACTTACTACACTACATTGCAAAGGACAGCGAAACCTGCCAGTCTTCAGAAATTCATGGAAGGGAACTGCAGAGTTTATCTACCCCTGATTCCCAGGCTTACCTGATCATGAGCATCTCTTGAAATATTTACGTAATGGAGGCTTCTGGACCCCACCCTAGTTCTACGGCATACAAATATCCAGAGGATAGGCCGAGGAAATTGGATGTGTACGCAGCTTCTCCCTGTCATTCTGTCCACATGACTTCTATGGGGCTGCTAGACCTGGCTTCAACTCCAAAGCAGGGATAAAAGCCAAGGAACTCAAAGGACGCCACTTTGGAGCAGAGATAAAAGAAGAGAGACCCAACTCTACATTTGTAAGTGATTCTCATCAATAGGGAGATTTAGGAAACACAATTTCAAACTGATGTCTCTTAAAATGTGATCAGCATCATCTGGGAACTTACTAGAAATGCAGATTCTCAGGCCCAACCCTCATCCTATTGAATCTGAAATTGAATCTAAAGATGAGGTCCAGCAGTCTGTGCCTCAACAAATCCTTCCAGGTGATTCTGATGCATGCTAAGATATGACAAGCGTAGCCGGACACAGTGGCTCATGCCTGTAATTCCAGTACTCTGGGAGGCCAAGGCAAAGCAGATCATTTGAGCCCAAAAGTTTGAGACCAGCCTGGGCAATATGGGGAAATCCCATATCTACAAAAAATACAAAAATAAATTAGCTGGGCATGGTGGCACACACCTGTAGTCCCAGCTACTCAGGAGGCTGAGGTGGGGGGATTGCTTGAGCCCAGGAAGTCAAGGTAGCAGTGAGCTGTGATTGTGCCACTACACTCCAGCCTAGGCAATAGATCAAGACCCTGTCTCAAAAAAAAAAAAAGATTGTCTTCTAATACCATACTAAACAGATGAGGCTAGTTCTAATTTTTAGAAGGTGATGATACAACCTCTTCAGTAACCTTTTCCAGCCTTAAAGTATTTGTCACCAGGAAACTAAATCTCTCTTGCTCTTTGTGAAGCCCATTTTTTTCTTGTTCTGAACCCAGTCCTTCATAAATTTAGGTTTTATATCACTTCATGAATCAGACAGTTCATGTTCATATTTCTTAAAAGGTATTTTTAATACTTGATTATATTGATGCTTTTGTGAGAAAGCTCTCCACTACATTGTATCATCCAATTAAGCAATTAAGCAAATATATTGTCTACTTGGCCACAATTCTATGCAAACATTGCCCAGCACTGAGCTTGGTATGGATAAAGAGTTCAGTAAATATTTGTTAAATTTTTAAAAAGGAACTCTTTGGTTGTGATCATGGTATTTTGGTCAGAGGTTGTCAGTAGAGGAGGACAGAATTCTCAGGGCCTATGCTCCTTGCTCTGCAGGTCAATATCACTGGCTTGGTCCTCCTTGGTATCCATCGTGCCCATTTCATGCCTTTTGCTCTAGCCTTTGCCATTTTACTTGCCTCCTTGCCTGCTGCCCAGACTTTGAGACACTTCCCTTGCTGCATTTCATTTCATTTGGGTCTAGTCACTTTAACTCACTTGGATTTCTGATCCTATTTCCCAAATGGATTTCTGATCCTACTTCCCAAAGTGTTTGTGACCCCAGTTCACCATCACCTACAGGTATAAATATTGGGTCTTCCATCTTTAATTCTGTTCCAAAGTAGAGTCCTTGTTAAGTCATTCTTCATCACTACCACCGGGGCTGAAGTCAGAGTCAGCAGACCTAGAGAGCCCCTGTGGATGAAATAGTAGAGAAAGAGAAACAGGGTACATGCCAAATTGAATCACACGTGTGGGGATAGTCTGTTATTAACATGCATTTAGCATTTGGGAATTCTGTGCTTAATACATGTCAATAACTATAATAATAAGATATATCTTGAGGAAATGGCATTGTGTTTACATGCTCCCTGCCTGGGTGGCTATTTAACATGGTCAGTTGGACATCTGGACTCAGGCCACTTGGTCACTAGCCTGGTTTTTGCTAAGGAGTGAGTGCAGCTTCTATAGCCCGCAAACCCCTTGTTATGTTGCCCAGCACCCAGCAGGGAGATGCAGTTGTCCAGTGAACCGATTTAAGAAAAGGACCAGGCATGGAGTTTCCCAGGTGGCATTTGAAAAGCTAATCCTTCCATTTTTAACAACAACTACAAAAGAAAATGAAGAAAAATGCAGTGCACTGTGAGAAACAATTGAGATGGGAAATATTCAATAATTTATAACATTCATACAGCATGTTTTCCTATAAAATTTTACACAAATTGAATCTTCATTTTTATATCAGAGAATCTTCCTACCTCATGACTGCATGGCTATTAGTTATGTGCTTAGTTAAGTGGAAGACTGGAAAAGAAAATGGTTATTGATGGGTTAGAGCCTTCCCATGGAGAGGGACATTATTGAGGCAGTGTATGAAGAAGAAAGAGCACTACTCTTGGCATCAGGACATCTGGGTTTAATGATAGCCTCCCCAAATTACTAATTTCATGACGTTAGATGGTTCTCAAATCCTTTCTAAGCTTCAGTTGCTTCCACTGTAAAATGGGAACAAAGGTTCTTTTCCTACCCATTTGCAGAGCTGTTTTGAGAAAACAAGAAATTATACAAACATATACAAATCTATAATCAGATTTTGCCACAATAATGCATAACAATCTCAAAATTTTCATGATTTGCAACAACGTATATTTTTCCTTCATGGGTTTCTTGATTAGCTGTGGCTCAGCTGAGTTTGGCTGGGCTTAGGTTCAAGTGGGCTTAGGTGTCTCTCATTCCATGACCCAGGCTTAACATGGAATGGCTATTTCGTTTATGTTCTTCTCATGGCTTTTGACTGCAGTGGAAAAGAGCAAGTGGAAACTTGATATGACTGTTGAAGTCTGAGCTTGAGGCTAACATTTGACTGGTCAGTGCAAGTCCCTTGGCCAAGACCAGTGTCAACAGGGAAGTAAAGCATCTTCAGCCCACAGAGAAGGGCATGGGCGGGAGGAAAGAAAGAATTTTGAACAAATACAATATTATAATTTATCACAGTGAATGGAATTGTTCTGAAAACTGTTAGGTAACATTCAGATGTGGGGGTGGTAATAATGAT
Organism: Homo sapiens; assembly: GCF_000001405.40. Lineage (NCBI taxonomy): Eukaryota > Metazoa > Chordata > Mammalia > Primates > Hominidae > Homo > Homo sapiens. The sequence goes on along the minus strand of NC_000002.12, from coordinate 204,200,616 downwards.
TACTTTAGCCTTGGATGATTAACAGTCTTAAGTTGTCTTACAAAAATGAGATTTGGGGTTTTGCAGGGGGAGAAAAGCACTCAAGCATAGGCTGTGTCGTATAAACATTACAGTTCGTTGTCAAGGCCTTCGAGGATCCATTTCCAGCTAACTAAGCATGCATCTATAGTTAAACCGATACGGGTTGGCAGATACCATGATATCAGACAGGGTCTGATCAGTGAGCACAGCTGCTAGAGTCTTTTCAGTTCCTCACAGGAGATACATCAAAGGTGGTGGATTCTGCATGTTCAGGGAAAGGAACTGCCAGGTCACAGGAAGCTCAAATTGAGGGCTTACATGATCCTATACTACAAGCCATATCACATGAAAAGCCAGTGTGATTTTCTTATGTATAGCCACATGCCACATAATGATATTTCCCAAATATATGAGAGTGGTCCCATAAGATTATGATACTGTATATATTTTTTTGAGTTGGGGTCTCGCTCTTTTGCTCAGGCTGGAGTACAGTGGGGCAATCTCGGTTCACTGCAACCCCTGCCTCTCAGGTTCAAGCAATTCTCCTGCCTCAGTTTCCCAAGTAGCTGGGATTACAGGCACCCGCCACCATGCCCAGCTAATTTTCATATTTTTAGTACAGTCGGGGTTTCCCCATGTTGGCCAGACTGGTCTTGAACTCCTGACCTCAAGTGATCCACCCGCCTTGGCCTCCCAAAGTGCTGGGATTGCAGGTGTGAGCCACTGAGCCCAGCCTAAGATTATAATACTGTATTTTTACTGTACCTTTTCTGTGTTTAGATACACCAACATTTACCACTGTATTGCAACTGCCTATGGTATTCAGTACAGTAACATGCTGTGCAGGCTTGTAGCCTAGGAGCAATAGGCTACACCATATAGCCTAGGTGTGTACCATCTAGGTTATATTACCTAGGTTTGTGTAAGTACAGCCTATGATGTTGGCACAACCACAAAATTGCATAACAATCCATTTCTCAGAACGTATCCCCATCATTATGCAACGCATACTGTAGTTGGGAAAACTGCCTTTCACAAGCCATATCACTTGGCTCAAACAGGTCTGCAGTAGGTAATATAACGACTAGTCATTCCACCTGGCAAGTTGTGCTGCTATTGCATGACATTGACCTGATTGAGGGCACATGTGATCAGCTGTCTCCTGTCATACCAGGCTATCATACCTCTCTAAGGCTGGAAGTAGAGAAAAGGCATTGAAATGGTTTCATATCTTTGTGAATTTAATCCTGTCATTTCTATTGATCACTTTGGCCGTGGAGACTAAGAGGGAGAAAAGTACAGGTAAGAGCCAAAGCAGGTCTGGGCAAAGGGGAAGTGATCTGGCAGGATTTGACACTGCTCAAAAGTATGAAGCAAAAATAGTATCATGGGGGGGAAAAGCACGAGGTTTGAAATTCTGGACCCCTGTTTCTTTATCTGTAAAATGAGCATAAGAATATCTGTTTTGCAAAATTATTGTGAGAATTCAATGAGATGTTGTATATGGAAGTTGTTATCACTGTATCTGGCATATAGTAAAAGATCAATTCATATCAGACTCTTCATTTTCCAACGTAGGGGCCCAAGGAAAACTTCCCCTTCTCCCTCTAAAGGTTTGTTGAAAATCACTGACAAGAGGCAGATTAATAGGAGAAAAAGCATACCAATTTATTTTTAATGTGCACATGGGAGCCTTCAGAATGAAGACCCAAAGACACAGGAGAGGTTGTCTATTTTTATGCTTAGGCTCAACAAAATATGAATAGTCATATGGAGATAGGATTGGACGGCAAGGGTCTGATCTAATGCTAACAGACTAAGTGGGGAAACCCAGCAAGGCCTGCCTGTGTAGATTCTTCTTGGCCTGTGTGAGTATTCATTCCTTTCTTCTGGGTATGGGGCAGAACCCTCTCCGGAATGGGGGTCTTATGACCTACAGTCAAGCAAGGTAGATCAGATAATTTCTTTATGGCTAGTTTTTACTCAGAAAGGTGGAAGAGGGGATTACAGTAATATTTTTAGCTTTTATGGCTGGCATTGGGGAAAGAGGCGTTCTGTTTTCTATGGCATCCCTTGGGGAAAAGGGGTTCTGGGGGTTCTACTTTTTCTGGCTGGCCTGGGATGGGGGAGAATTGGACTGAGACAGGAGAGCAGGAAAAGGTCAGGGAAAAACTTTGGCTTCTGAAGCTGCTTCTGAGGCTTTCACTTTGGGTTATCATTTTCTGAGTCCCAACACCAACATAATAGGGGTGTTCTGCAATTCCCAAATGAAAAAAATAGAGAAAGAAAGCTGATCACATATGATATGTTTCATAAGGAACTATACTCTCAGAAAATATTCAATATTAGTTACCATGGACTATTTCCATCCAAACTTAAAAAGTCATAGAGCAAAGATATCAGCAGGAGAAAGATGTATCCTTCTTTATAAACCGTTATGAGGATTACCCGAGTTAGTGCATGAAAGTAGTTTGAATAGTGCCTGGCACAAGGTAAGAGCTCAATTAATGTTAGTAATAGTAGTAGTAGCTAGTATCATTAATTCTGGCTGAATTGGCTACACAAATTTCTTGCAAATAGCTGACCAGTCTCATTACTCATGGAGCCCAAGCTTAATAATTCAAAGTCTCAGATGGAGTAAGGGAGGCAGAAATAGAGAAATGAATGGTTTGGCTCTGAACACCACTGTTTCTGGTACTGGGGCACTGATCCTCTTTATGGCTACCGGGAAAATTGAACTAATTTGACAGTCATGTGGACTGTTTCCAGAGTGCCAATATTCTGGGGGACTACACTTGCCTTGGAAGGATGTCCCCTGGCCAGTTTCCAAGAGGATTGGCAGAAAATTCGAGTCAGTTGTTCAGGTTTAGAATTAAATTTCTAAGGGAAATAGATTTGTGTTTATTTGTTTTTGTTTCTTCAATATAGGGGCAGCTGTAAAAATAAAGAAGCTATAAAAATAATGCACAGAAGAACATTAGAAATTAAAGAGCATTACAATTATCAGCACTTTAAAACACCACTGTTGCTATTCTAGTTCCATCTCTATAGATGTTTCTCTATCAAACGGTCTCTGTGTGTAATGGTCTCTCCCCATTCCCGCACATGCGTAAATGTCACTGAAGACTCACTTTCTCACTACTAGAAATAAAAACAGGAGATTTCCCCATCTCTGTTTGGACCCTAGAACCAGTATTAGAACTATGCCTCCTGGTGATGTACAGTTTCAGCAGCTTTTCTCTACCTTTTGTTAATAAAGGCTCATGAACTCAGACAAGATTTCGAAGGAATTTCAGCTGGAAGAGAAAAGGAAAGGACATATGCTGGCAGATTGTGTTTTTGTGACCAGTTCTTTACAACTGCAACAAAAAAATCAACAAGACTCAGACATGATGGCTCAGATTCCCTCCCAGCCTGGGAAAATGGCAAGGAATGGAGATCACAGTCCACCCATGTACCTGCCCCATTTTTTTTTTTTTTTTTTTTTTTTGAGATGGAGTCTCACTCTGTCACCCAGGCTGGAATGCAGTGGCGCGATCTTGGCTCACTGCAACCTCTGCCTCCCGGGTTCAAGCGATTCTTCTGCCTCAGCCTCCCAAGTAGTTGAGACTACAGGCATGCACCACCATGCCCAGCTAATTTTTGTATTTTAGTAGAGACAGGGTTTCACTTTGTTGGACAGGATGGTCTTGATCCTCCCGCCTCAGCCTCCCAAAGTGCTGGGATTACAGGTGTGAGCCACCGCGCCCGGCCATACCTGTCCCATCTTATTCATCCCTACCCCTTTCCAGGACAGGTGTGTCTGGAGCTGCAGTGGTTTACCTGGCCTCCTGAGTTTTCCTTGCAGTAAGAACTTGAGACCAGAGCCTCCTCTCTCAGGTTCATGTTGGAGTAAGGGACTCAGACAGGGTTACAAATCCAAAGGCCACTTAAAAAAATATATCAGCCTGTACGACCCCACAGCAGCTGAATTAAGTTTGGGGAAAACAGGTAGGACATCAAGAGGTTGACCGTTTGAGTCAATAGAAGGGAGTTCTCGAAGCTCTAAAGAAGTCTCTCTGTTTTGGAGAGCATAGTTCTGAGTCTCAATAGAGTCCCTGGAAGGCAGTTGCCTCAGTCCTCGGTAGTGACATGTTTTTGTCGTGGCAAACCATGTCTCTGTGAAGGCCATGTGGCCAGACAGGAACTGTGTCTCTTGGGAAGTGGGGCCTGGTGGGGTGGCTGGATGTGAGTGCACTTTCACTGAAACATATTTTCCTCCTGCTTCTTCAGCTATTTGTTCTCTGTCAGTGACTTCACAGGTGGCCTTGGCTCCTAAAATCCGGTCATCCAAAGATCATGATCAAAGAGAACCCTTTGCTCAGATTGCAAGGACCACCTGCCTAGATGAGGCCTCAGTCTGCATCCTCCCCCTCCCATTTCCAATGTCCAGCGTTTCACATAATTTTCTCCTCTTTGCTCTGGTACAAGCTCCAGGCATCCGTTTGTGTTATTAGATTTAAGTATGCAGGTCAACAGCACACATCACCAGCCCACCTCACAGCTGGGAGGGCTGTTGTGGAGTCTTTTCTCTACTTGATGTTTTCATTTCAGCTCATGTCTTCCTCCTTCTCAAGGCGGTGGCATAAAGGATCATTAGGGTAAGGCAGCTGAGGACATGAAGCAGAGTTTATCATGAAACCAAAGACTAAATCTCCACAGTCACCAGACCTGGCACGAACTTGCCTACCCCTGGGCTTCTGTGTGCCTGGAAAGGACGACTCTTGCTTTAAAGAAGTCGTTCCCCTGTGGCAAGGAGCAGGGGCTGTTAAGATCAGATGTGCTGTGGCGTTAATGCTTTGAATTTACAAGATGCTGTTTGTGAAATGCCCTGCAGCTTTATTTCTTTCTCCTGGATGCATGAAACCCTGGAAGGGCCAAGGATGGGGCTGGTATTAATAGAGTAAAACCTCAACTAATTGCAGACCATGTGCTGCAATATCCTCTTTGATACCAGAAACTGTTAGCAGAGGTAGAAGTAATATAGAGACACATGGAGGCATTTAGGATGTCAGAAAGAGGGAGTTATAAAAATAAATTAGTTAAGCTAGCAACAAATGAGCTGGAAATGTAAAACACATCTGAATCTCAAGGGTCAAAGATAAGGAAGGGAAGGAGATTGGTTCAAATTGGGAGAGGGAGGAGCTCAACATGTAAAGAAAAGGAAAGGAGAAATGGCTGGAGGGTTTGCAGAGCAGAGGCCTGTGAAGCACAAAGAGGGGAACAGAGAGAAAGGCCAGAGTGAGAGTGAGCCAGGAGGCATCAAACAGGCACACATGGAAGCCCCCAACATCTCCTGGAAAGAGGCTTCCAACAGCCATAAGCTGCAGGAACACTGGCCCACCCTACCCAGGGAAGTGGAAGGAGGTGGGAAAATCCATTCTGAGCCCCATGCAAAGGACAGAATTAGCTTGACCTTCAGAAGCTCCATGTTCTTCTATGCTCACTCCTAACCTCAAAGGTTTGAGTCACAAAGACACAGACTCACGTGTGCACGCACACAAGCGCATGCACACACGCATACACATGACAACCGCCACCACCCGCTCACCCCCCGCCCACCCCCCACCAAAAAAAACCCAACAACTTGGAGAGAAAAGCCCAGTTTACTGGGATGCATAGTAGGTTTTTGTTGAGCGATGGCTCTCATGGATTATCTTAGTTTTTATTTTCTCTCTTGAAAGAAATTATGTGATTTCTTTTAACTGTAGAAAAGCAAGGAGAATTGTAGTTATGGTTCATTATTTCATGAGCTGAATTTATTTACTTTACATAGTACCTCAGCAGCTGTAGTTTCCACTATTTAGAAGTTTTCTGCCACACTAAGGAACTTGGTGGGAGGATTCAGAGCTAACCCCAGCACCTTTCCTAAGCTGCTACTCCGTCCTCCTGCTTGCTGAGATCGGAGTTTACTTTCTGGAGCTTTTGTGTCCTAATTATAGACAAAGACTTTAAACGCATAGGCCTGGTTAAGTGACACATTGACGAAAAGTCATTCGCCCTGATGAGTTTGTCAGTCAGCAAGGTTAAGTGGCTGAGTGAAAATTGTTTTCAGTTGGGGAAGGATTGTTTGGAATTCAGGGGTTTAGAATTGAATTTCTAAAGCAGGGATGGGAGGTGACATCAAGTGAGAAAAAAAAAAGTGAAGAAAGAGATGTAACTAGGGTACTAAAATATTCCAATTTCTGCTCCTTGTCTAGGGAGCAGACAGAAACTGTGGCTAGTAGCATTTAATTCACATACCCCAAATACTGCATTATTCATAAAGCTTTGTGTTTTGCTTTCATTTGTTTGGTGTTACAAGGCAAATTCACTCATTTAATAAATGCTTGTTGAGTGTCCATGTATGAGCCAGGGTGACAAGGTAGGTCTTGTATTATGCAGTCTTTGACAAGTCTCTTTCTTGGTGATTTTGTTCATAAGAGCAATTCTGTGATTGAATGTAGTTATTAAGATGAATACAGACAGAGGATCATTCTCTAGGATCATGTACATAGACCCATAGAACCCAGATTTGTCAAGGATATCAACAGTTATTTGTCCAGTTTTTCCATCTGTTATGTGATCTCACACCCCCGTTAAATATGCTCATGTGCTTTTTTCCCTGAATACTTTCAGTGGCAAAGAGCTTACCATCTCTCAAACCACCAAGCTCTTCTTTATGGTGGTTCAGATTGTTACAGAATTCTTTTTTTATATTGAGCTAAAAGTTACCTCTCTCTGACTCCTTTTTATTGGGTCCCATTTTTTTTCCCACCATTTACCCAGAATGTCTCCTTTTTTTCCCCACGTGACAGCTGTTCTCCTACTTGAAGACAACCCATATGTACTTCCTATCATCGAGTCTCTTCTCCAGACTCTACATTCATTCAAGCATTCTTTGTAAATCATGGTTTTTGACTCCCTTCACCAACCTTGGTGACCTATGGTTTACTGATGGCCTTCTGAAAGCATGGCACAAAATGTTCCAGGCATGGTTTCTGACCAGCTTAGGCTATAGTGGAGCTTCACTCCTCTTATCTGGAAGAATCTTCCTTGATTAATGCAGATTGAGTAGGTATTGCCTTGTCTGGATGCCTCCTCACATGCTTGGCTCATACTGGGCTTATAGGAAACCATGGTCATCTCCACATGTCTGGCCTTCAGCTACATCTCTGCCATCCATACACAGTCACTGGTTTTCTGGACCCAAACACAGGCTGCACTCTTTTCCCTATTAAGTTTCATCCTTTGAGAACAAACATGTTGTTATAGCTGGCTGAGATTGTTTGGGAACCTATTGTTGTCACTGAACACAATAAATCTCTTTCCTGGTTTCATTTATGGGTCCACCATGACCGGCATGTCGTTTCTATCCTTGACCAACTTATGATAACTGTTGAACAGGACAATATTTCTTTCTTTATGAGGAAGCCAAACCATCACCAAAAACAACATAAAAATCTCTCCCCATTCTGGACATTGACAGCGTATGAATCAACATTGACTTTAAAAATTAAAGACCCATGCAATGATTTTATTTTGGCAACCCAGTTAGTGGTAAATTGCACTTTAACTTAATCATCATAGTTTGTATCAGAATTTTGTTTTTGATGGATTAATGCTTCTTGAAAAATTTTGGTGAATTTGTACAAGATTTCCAATAAAATGGTTGAATCCAATGATTCCAAAGTTAATTCCAGGTCTGACCTCTTCCAAGTTTTAGCCTAACAATTTAACTGACTGCTAGATATCATAGAATTTTCTATTTTCTACTGTATTTATTTATGAATATATTACCTCTCTTGTGACAGCATAAGCTCCTTGAAGACATGTATCAAATTGTGATTCATATTTACATTGCACATAGAATCTAATATAGCACTTTAAACAGTAGGTTCTCAATAAATGATTGTTGGATGATTGAATTGTAATATAGATATAGAGTAATACTATGGGCTTCAAAGAAGTACTTTAGGACTATGTAGTGCTTTGAGGTTCTCAGACAAAATATAACCTCATGAGTATACGTTTTTCTTCCAGATTTAAAGTAAGCACAGGTCCGTCAGCTTCATGATCTGTGAATAAGAAATATTTGCCTTTAAGATAGCCTGAGGCTTCTCATTCAGTACAGCAAACTTTTTTTCTTTCTGTAGTCTCAGAATCAGTAAGTTTTCCATGTTACCTGCCAGAGACAGTCCAAGTCTCTCAATCTGCAGTAATTATCTCAACAAAGTCAATTAGTATTTTTAAAAATGATACAGTCACTTGGCTGCTGGTTTTCCTTTTACTCCTGTTTCACAGCAGAATGCTCCCGGCATCAATTGCCATGGAAGCTGCATTGCACCAGAGGAAAAACTGTCTACCTAAATGCCAAAAGGAGGTGTCCTTCAGGCAGAGAGAGAGAGAACAGTTTATAGGTGCTCTGGGAGGCACAGTCGCTCCAGGCAGATTATTCTGTGACTACACAATGTTCTGAGATGCCTGAGACTCTCCATTTTGCAGCTTAAAAATGCCTGAGGAAGTTGCTCAGGTGCCAAGCTGGAAGTTTAAAGTCAAGAGAAATTAGTGCAAATGGGAAAAAACATCCCCTGAGTGGAAGACTTTTTAAAAACCACCACCAAAAAAAATAGGTCTCCTGCTGACCAGTGTAAAGGATGGAAATTAGATCAAGCTTCAGTTGAACACTAAATCCTTGTCTGGTTTGCTTTTGTTTTTCCCATAACACAAAATTCCTAAGGGTTTGCTAAGCTTGTCTGTTAAATACCTTGTATCTTTTATCAAGGGGAAATGATATTTAGGCTTTTTAAAGTAGTATTTTATCTTTCATGTGTTTTTTCTTCCTAATAGCATTTGGCATAAATTGTGTGATTTTTTAGCTGCATGTCTTGGTGATGGCTGGTGGTACATTTTTATTTCCATGGGATGTTCAAGGTCACCCTTCACATCTACATTTAAGGATATGAATCAAAGGTAAGAAGGATTCCTCAGGGCTATAAAAGTGCCCAGTGTAAGATGAGGGTGGGAGCTTATGGGGAGAATTACAGAGATTGCAAATAAAATCAGATTAGACAAGATTCTCTTTTCTCTCCTGGAACACCTCTCTTCCATGCAATATATTCTCACCATGTGGATCTTGTCTCCTTTAAGCCCCTGGAAAAGCAGAGCAGGTCCCAAGTGGGGCTTGGGGGAAAAGGAATGATGAGAGAACCGTCTGTGACATGGGAGTCCCTTGTAGGGGGCCTCAGCCAGCTCTACCCTAAGCACTGCAGGGGCAGCTGCTTCCTCCTTCCTCAGTGTAAAGATCGAGATGGTCAATAGTCAGGGCACAGAAACAGTCAGCATCACCTGTGTGTTGTACAGGCCTTAAGCTAAAGGTGGCATAGATAACTTCCAAAGCCCTAGTGATTTGCCTGGGTGTTTGGTAGGCATTTATTCCATGAACTCATTTGAGGTGGGGGTGGCCTCACAAAGCAGCTCTCATAGGATTTGGGCCTGGGACACCAGCCACATAACACAAATAACACATATCATAGAACTGTCAGGAGAAAGATTACACTTAAACTCCCCTCAACCCAGGGAAAAAGCACCAGGAAAAAAAATGAGGTCCTCAAGGTGGCTTTCAATATTGATCGAAGGCTGACCTGACAAAGAACTGCCTAAAATCTTGTTTGCTGTTGCTTCTCTCCAGGGTCCTGGGATAATTTGTAATTCAAACTTGGAAGGAATCCTAAGCTATTTCCTTCAGATTTATTCTTTCCACATGTGAATCGAAATAATTAAAACACCTCATCTGCTTTTGAGCTTGAGTTTAAAAAAAAAAAAAAAAAGTAAGAAATTGCTGATTGAATCCATATTCCTCCCAATCTTCCACTAGTTTAATGTCAAAAAATTATTTCCTACGATGAACAACGATTTTGCATACAAGTAGATTTTTGAAAGTAGATTTTAACAATTTATATTTGTTAATAAGTTACAATAAATCTATCATCCTTATCTTTATTACTCTAAATGAGTTCCACAATACTTGAGTAGAAGAGATCTCAGGCATATTTAAATTCACTTGAGTGATGATATTTCTGATAGGCTACAGGGTGCTTAAAATAGTTGATATAGTATCCAACTGCTTTCATGTGGACACTTGTAATGGTTATTAAGCTAAATTAACAAAGGCCTTATAATTATGGCTGTTTGGGACAATTCAAGTAAACTCAAGTTTCTTATATGGCATGGTGCCATATTTATCAAGCTAAAATAATTGGAACGTAAGAAATTCCACACTACAAGAAAGACAAATACCACATAATCTCACTTATATGTGGAGTATAAAAACGTTGAACTCAGAAGTAGAAAGTGGAATGGAATGGTCGCTACCAGGAGCTGGTGTGGGGCTTGCGGTGAGCGGGGAGATGTTGGTTAAAGGAAACAAAATTTCACTTAGATAGGATAAATTAGTTAATTTCAGTTATATAAGTTCAAGAGATCTATTGTACAACATGGGGACTACTATAGTTAGTAACAATGTATTACATACTTGAAGTTGCTAAGATGGTAGATTTTAAGTGTTCTCACCACAGAAAATGATAGTATGTGAGGTAATGCATATGTTAATTTGCTTGATTTAGCCATTCCACAATGTGTGCATATTTCAAAACTATATGTTGTACATGATAAATATATACAATTTATATTTGTCAATGTAAAATTAATTTATTAAAAAGAAATTCTGTGCTAGGATGTACTAACAGTTCTGTCGACCAAGAATCTTGTCTTTGATACAGACAATAAGCCATGTCTTTTGGGAGACCATGCATTGACCTCCATGATAGCAATTATAAAAAGTGTTTTTTTAAACATCCCAAATGTTCTGAACTGCGCTTCAACAACTCCAGATTATCCTCCTGTTACACTTAGCCAAATCCCTCTTGAATGTACATATATTCTCAACTTGCTTCACTTTTTGAAGTTGTTCTACCAAAGGTGTCTTTGGAAAATCCACCACCTATTCCCGACCCCTAGACTGTAAGCAGCAGGACAGCAGAGTCTGTGTCTGCCTTACCCACTTCTGTTTTCCCATTTCCTCACTCAACATCTGTAGGTTTTCAAAACAATTGCCTGTTGGTTAATAGATTGTAGTTACCAGCCTGTAATTCTATGGAAACAAACAAACAAACAAAAATGTCTGCATTATTTCCTTTTATCTTCTTGAATAAAATCTCACTAGAAGGATTACAATAACCTGTTCACTGGCCTCACCCTGTGTATCTCCAGGCCCCTCACTATAAGTGGATCCTTCTTTCCCAACCATCAGCTCCTCCCCAAAACGCATCTCACACACACACACACACACACACACACACACACACACACACACACACAGAGCAACTGGGATCTGTTTGAAATTGTTGATGGATTCTTGTCATCTGTAGAATAGGGTCTCATCTCCTCAATATGAAACAAAAAGTCCTTCTTGCCTGGCCCTTCCCCGACCCTTTCTCCTGCCACCTGCCCAGTTCACCTCTGGTCAACCTCATTTCCCATTGAGCTCTGACTCCCCCAGTGCTTCAGCCACTCCATGGAAGTCATTCCCCAGTGGTGTGTTGGTGCCTTTGTTAATGCTCTTCCATTCTCCGACAAGGAAGGCCCTTCCTCAGTTCTGCTCTGAAATGCCTGGCACCCTCCCATCAATCCTTTCAAATCAAGCTCAAATATTACCTCCTCCAAAGCTTTGCAGAACAAGCCCCCTGGGCGTCTTACACATGCCTCAGTTCCATGGTTGTGAATCCTGGCTGTACTTTAGAATCACTTGGGGAACTTATAAAACTGACTGGGCCTCACCCAAGACCAATTAAATCAAAATCTTAGAAAGTGGAATCCAATCATAGTATGTTTTTAAAGTTCTCTAGATGATTCCAGTGGGCAGCCAGCCCTCGGAGCCCCTGTTTGTGATAATCTTTGTGTTTCTTTTTATGGCCTTCTCCTCACTTCTCCCAGGCAGGGACAATGCCTTATCCATCTTTGTCTTCCCAGTGACTGGCATAGTTCCTCATACATAGTAGCTCTTCAAACATTCTTTATAAATTCAAAATGAAATACTCATGAAGGCAAAGCTACCTTGACAAAGCCTAGAAAGTCCATAAATCCAATTTACAGTGAGCCCTGCAACTGAAAACTTTTCATAGCCATATTCTTCAAAGTTCCCATCCAGAGCTCAAGAATGGAGGTGCTTGATTTTATTTCTAACCTGGGCCATAATTATAAATGAAAGCTGGAGTATTGGTGAGGTGAGTAATCATTTCAACTGAGCATGTTCTGTAAAGGTGGTTGTCACTTTATTTAAAAAATAGTAAAAGCCAGTATGTTGACAGGGCAGTGTCAAGACAATTATTGAAGGGGAAAAAAAAAAAAAACTTTAGAGAAAGCACTGGGAAGCAATATCCAAAGACATAAAGGGAAGAAATGTAAGGGTAGAGACTTTTTAATGTGGCCCCTCCTCACCCAAGAAACACTACAGGCCCACCCCACTCTCCTATGTTCCTGCCCCCACCCCTGATGTTGGAACCTGGCTGATGCTCCCTTCACCTTGACCCTTTTATTTGGCACTTGGTGCAGATTATAGATGAAAGATAGGTAGTGTGCCGCTCAGTCACTGCCTCTGACATGTGACTTCTACCCATTAGGTGACCTCACTAAACCTCAGCCTGTTCTTTTGTTAAACATTAACAGCTTCCTGTGTGGGTTGTTAAAAGGATTAAGTTGTTTTATACATACAAGTTCTTATCCAGTGCCTGACATGTAATAAATGCTCAATCAATGGTAATGGCAGAGGCATTTGAACCAGAGCAACTCCATCTTGAATAGGGGCTGGGTAAAATAAGACTGAGACCTACTGGGCTGCATTTCCAGAAGATGAAGGCATTCTAAGTCACAGGATGAGAAAGGGTGTAGGCACAAGAAACAAGTCAGAAAGACCTTGCTGGTAAAACAGTTTGCAGTAAAGAAGCTGGCCAAAACCCAGCAAAACCAAAATGGCGTCGAGAGTGACCTCTAGTTGTCCTTACTGCTCATTATATGCTAATTATAATTCATAAGTATGCTAAGTGACACTCCCACCAGCACCATGAGAGATATGGTCTAAAGGGGGAGGAACCCTTAGTTCTGGGAATTGCCCACCCCTTTCCTGGAAAACTCATGAATAATCCACCCCTTTTCAGCATCTACTCAAGAAATAACTATTAAAATGGGCAACCAGCAGCCCTTGGGGCTGCTCTGCCTTATCAACTTGCTTTCACTTTACTCTATGGACTTGCCTCGAATTCTTTCTTGCACAAGATCCAAGAACCTTCTCTCAGGGTCTGGATCGGGACCCCTTTCCAGTAACAGTAACTACTGTTATTGTTTGGTTGTTCTAAGCAGACATGTTTCATCATATAGCACAACAGGCCAATGCCGCAAACTGAAACAGAAAGAAACTACTGGCATATTTTTGACAAGAGAAAACATTTCCTTATATAAAAACATAATTTTGTTTAAGTCCAGACATTATGACCTTTTGAAATGCATTATTGACAATCTACTTAACACACAAATTTAATTTCTGATCTCCAGACATGATAGAAAGGAAGGCATGCTCATTTCAATTGTAAAGATTTTAGGCATAGTATTCAAATAATTCAATCAGTTAGAAAAATAGAAATGCTTCCTGAATAAGAAAGATCTTAAAAAAAGTGTTTTTTAAAGCAATGAATATACTAATATATAAACAATATTTCCGTTTGTTAAATATCTATGAAGGCCAAACTAGGCAATGACTGAGTTGGCTATTCTCCTCTGATGAAGATGGGCCTCTTCATGCAGTCCTTGGCTGGCTTTTCCACTTCTGTCCCTCTGTTCTTGGAAAGGAATCATAGGTCTTCTCTGTCTGGTCCTGAAGCTGAAGTTGGTGGCTGCTGTCCCTTTTCAGTTCTCTCACTCTTTGCTCAGAGAGGTGAAGGCTCATTGTGGGATGGCACTGGGGGTGATGCTAGGCTATCCAAAGGCCTCCTTTCTGCTTTTACTATGCATGCTCTCACTTCTTTGCAGTGCCCACCTTCTTGGGCTGGCCTTCCTTTTGACTATGGTACAGAGAGACGCCTTTGCCCTCTTCTGTGGCTCATATGGGTCTAGGTATGAAGTTTCTATGGGCTGGTTTTGTGATTCTTCATGCTCAAGTCTTGCTTGAGAACTCTCCCCCAAACGACCACCTCCACACCCACTACCACTATTCATAACATTATGGTAAATCTTGAGCCTCTGGAGTCAGAACAGAGCGAACAACTCTGTGAGGTTTGCTGCACAGTGGAGTTCTCTTAAGTCAGTAGATCTGAAAAGTATTTACTTGACTATTAACCCTGAATGGAATTCCTCGGATAAGTTATCACTTGTCCACTAGGCAGCTTCTTCATTACCTTAACATTATCACCAGTATTAATACACATCAAAAGCCTATAATCAATGTACCATTGACCCACCAATTCTATGTCTAGGGATTTATTTTTGTAACAGCAAAACAGCAAAAAACTAACATAAGTAACTCCATTTTGTTTAAAGGGCCTTTACCCATTCCTGCACATAGGCTAGGAGAATTTGAGAGTACTGAAATAAAATGCAAAAATGGCAATCATGTAATTTTTGAAACTAACTGAGATTAAAGAGGATGTATGTAAATAACTACGTTTTGTTAAAGATTTACAGGAGCACTATGACCTGACCAAGGGCAAAGAAGTTCCCAACCTCCTTGGACCTTCGCTGACACCCAGATATGTCTGTGGTCAGCGGTCACCTCTTGATACCAAACCCCTCCTCTTCCCTATATCCCCCCTAGCATAAAAACCCTCCAGTCAGCCTGCAAAACTTAACATGGTGCTTCAGAAGACTAGTTCACCATCGTCTCAGTTTTGCTGGTTTTCTGAACAAAACCTCCTTTTCCTCCCGCCAATTCTCATGTCTTGTGTTTGGCTTTCAAGTGGTGAGCAGCTGAACCTGGGCTCAGTTACATTCTAAGAAAATAGTCGAGAATGTTGTCCAAGATTTCATTTAGATGGAAGTTAAAGACAATCATGAAGAGTTTTGTAACAACATTGGAAATAAAAGTCTGCCTTTTTAATTAAAGTATGTTCATTTAACATAATTAATATTTAATAAATTTAACATAACGGAATTAAATTACAGTCCAAACAAATTAATGGATCACTTTCAAGTTTTTCAATATTGTAGGATAAAATTTTATGGCATGAAAGATGTTTGTTAAGTCTAAAACAAGGCTATAAAATAGTATGAGCTTAAAAAGCAAGTCACAGAAGACTGTATATATTTTGATATAAATATATCAAAAAATATATATATTGGCCAGGCACAGTGGCTCATGTCTGTAATCCCAGCACTTTGGGAGGCTGAGGCAGACAGATCATGAAGTCAAGAGATGGAGACCATCCTGGCTAACACAGTGAAACCCCATTTCTACTAAAAACACAAAATGTTAGCCAGGTGTGGTGGCACGTGCCTGTAGTCCCAGTTATTTGAGAGGCTGAGGCAGGAGAATCGCTTGAACCCGGGAGACAGAGGTTGCAGTGAGCCGAGATCGCACCACTGCACACCAGCATGGGCTACAGAGTGAGACTCCGTCTCAAAAAAGAAAAAAATGTATATCAAAATATTCTTGATATTTATTTTGATATTTATTTTATTATTGCTTTTAGATATATATCTTTTATTTCTTTTGAGATATATATCTTTTTTCTTTTGAGATAAACATATATATATATGAGATATACATATATATATCTTTCTTTATTATCTCAAAAGGAATAATAAACATGAAGTTCCCATACATAAAATAGCAGTTCTCTCCTTTGGGAGAAAGTCTAGGATAGTAGAGGGGACAGAGGCAAGTGCAATGATCTTGGTAATGCTTCTGTTCTGAAATTGGTTGATAGGTCAATTTTTAAAAATTTTGCCGTATAACTTGCATTTAAACTACATGCATTGTTTTATATGTATCAGATACTACATTATAAAATGCTAAAAATGCAGGGGGAGTATATCCTCATTTCAGGGCCATTGCATGCAGTTGTCCCAGTTATCCCCTGACGGAGGCATCCAGATGGATGCCTTGGCAAGAGAATATTTCAGGTCAGAGGAAAGGGAGTTCTTTCTCTAATTTGCATAAAAAGTACTCTCTACTTGCCAAATCTGCCCAGAGTGGTCATCTTTTGCTGATCTGATCCCCAAAGGGAGTCGCCTTTTTCTATTTTGCACACAGGTGCTGTATGTTCTGGCAGGGACACGCCTAGATGTATGTGTGGGTATACACATGTGCAACTGTGTGTGTATATAATATGTCATTACCACTGAATGGTGGGATTCTGACTTCAAAAATTTTGCTTACTCATATTTTCTTCATTTTCATTTACCATATACTACTTTTATATGAAAAAAATTAAATAGATGTTTTCAGGTAAGGTGTTTCCTTTCTCAAAAGGCAACTAATCCTAAAAATATGTGTTAAAATATGACACAAATCCACTAGACAATTTCACCTCTTGGTTTCAACTTTGCTGTCTTCCTCCCTGCCCCAATCCTACTGCTGACAGAACTCCCTCATCATTGCGTTTACCCTGTTCCCCTCAGAAAAAGCACATCTTCCCACAGTAGGAACCCATCTTTTGAAACACGCCATGCCTCTCCCCTTTGCACTGTGGACATTTAAGAAATGCTGTTATTCCTGTTTGTCAGCATATCATGGTTTTGGCACTAAAAAATCACACTGAAGCCAACACAAATTTTGCACATGAAAAACTATGGAGAGAGAGAGCGGATGGAGCTTCCAAGGCTAAAAGAGGAGAATTTTTTTTTTTAAATTAGCTGCATGGTTAATTTAATCTACAACGCCTGAGTTATTCATATGTACACACAAGGATCAAGGGGATGCAGAATGTAATAAGTCTTCTTGTTCTTTCACCCAAAAGAAATGGCTTTATTGTTTTACTTGATTTTAAAAAGTAATATATGTGTGGTTAAAATTTTAATAAAATATACAAATAAATTAAAGAGAAAGTAAAAATGTTTATAATAATTAACCTCCATAATAAATCACTACTGTTAATATTTTGGGGTTTATCCTTCCAGAACTCTTATACAAATTTATCATAGCTACTATTTAGAGAGAACATTTAGCAAGTCAGGTCCTATGCTAAGTAAGTTATGTATGTTATCTGAAAACCACTACGATGACCCTGTGAGGTATAGTCACCCACCTAAAGTATTCATAAGAATTAACCCCCATAAGAAATCTGAGACTCCACGAGTTAAGCCCTCCAAGAGATAGCGTTAGGAGAGGGTGGCAGCTACCTTGTCACATTGTCAGTCACAGGTGAATGAGGATCAAAAGCCTATGTGTCTGTCTCCAAAGTCTAATACAACTATGATAAATTCTCTTTTATGTAGATGTATATATTTATTTACAAATACATATTTTTAATAAAACAAAATTAGAACTACATGTAATGGGTTGAATCAAGTCCCCCAAGTTGTGTCTACCTGGAGCCTCAGAATGCGACCTTATTTGGGTTTTGTTTAATTTTTTAAATTTTTCTTTTAGTAGTTTTTGAAGTACAAGTAATTTTGGTTACATGGATAAGTTATTTCCTGGTGATTTCTGAGATTTTGGTGCACCTGTCACCCCAGCGGTATACACTGTACCCAATATGTAGTCTTTTATCCCTCATCCCCCTCCCAACCTTTTCTACTGAGTCCCCAAACTCCATTATATCATTCTTATGCCTTTGCATCCTCATAGCTTAGCTCCCACTTATAAGTGAAAACATACAATATTTGGTTTTCCATTCCTGAGTTACTTCACTTAGAATAATGGCCTCCAGCTCCATCCAAATTGCTGCAGAAGACATTATTTCATTCCTTTTTATGGCTGAGTAGTATTCCATGGTGTATATATACCACATTTTCTTTATCTACTCATTGGTTGATGGGCACTTAGGTTGATTCCATATCTTTGTAATTGTGAATTGTGCTGCTATAAACATGGATGTGCATGTGTCTTTTCATATAATGACTTATTTTCCTTTGGTTGGATACCTACTAGTGCGGTTGCTGGATCGAATGGTAGTTCTGCTTTAAGTATTTTAAGGAACCTCCATATTGTTTTCCATAGTGGTTGTACTAGTTTATGTTCCCACCAGCAGTGTAAAAGTGTTCCATTTTCACCACATGTGTGCCAATATCTATTGTTTTTTGACTTTTTAATTATGGCCATAGAATGTGACCTTATTTGGGCAAGAGCCTTTGCAGATAGAATTAAAGTAAGGCTCTTGAGATGAGATGATCCTGAATTAGGATGGGCCCTAAATCCAATGATGAAGGCCTTTATAAGAGAAAAAGAGAAGACACAGAGATACAGGGGTGAAGTCCACGTGGCAATGGAGGTAGAGATTGAAGTGATACTTCTACAAGCCAAGGAGCGCCAAAGTTTGCTGGCAACCACCAGAAGCGAGGAGAGAGGCAGGGACAAGATTCTTACCCAGAGCCACAAAGCCTGCCGATACCTTGTTATCAGACTTTGGGCCTCCGGAACTATGAGAGAATAAAGTTGTTTTAAGACATCTAGTGTGTGAATATTTGTTACGGAAGCCCCAGGAAACTAATACACCATATTACCCAGATTATTTGATAATTGCTCTCTTCATGTATCAACATATTACAAGCATCTTGAATTTACTGTTATATCACAACATATATGTAGATTCAGATTATCCTTTGAAAGATCTAGATGGAATTCTATAGTAAGAATGTAACAAAATGTTGCATCAATCAATTGATGATCTGTTAAGGGTATTTTCAACTTTTCATTTTTACAAACAATAGTGCGACTAAAATTCTTGGTTGATTTCAACATTGCATTATTTCTCTCAAATTATTTTTTTAGTGAAAGTGAATGTGTGGGTTACATTTGTACCCCTAGCTAAAGCTTTTGATACATCATTATTAAAGCACCTTCCCCAAAAGCCAGACAAATTTACAAACCTACCAGCAGTATAAGTAAAGCAGTGATGATCAAATATTTGTTCTTTGGAAACCCAGGTTTTCATAAAATATTTCTTGAGAATGTGGTTGAGGTGAGCATGTTTAGTGCTAGCCATTCCTCCCTGGGCCTGTCATTATCCAACACCAAAGATGGGATTCTGAGACATTAGAAACAATGGTGCCATAACTTACACATTAAAAAACTCTGTGTCTAACGAATGAGTCTTGAGTTGAAAGTCAGGAGGCTCTGCCAGCTAACTAGAGGTTGTATGACACAGCTTTGTATTTGTTGCCCTGTCTGCAATATGGATAATCCTGACAGGGCTAGGATAGGGTGGTAGCTAGAAATGAGCTCAGGAACTGAATTGCCTGTTTGAATCCTGTTTTCACTACTTATTAGCTATGTGCCCTTGGGAAAGTCTTAGACTCTCTAAGCTCCTATTTCCCTGTGTGTAAAATGGAAAGATGATAGGCATTCTTCACAGGGAGTTGAGAGACTCATAGGAGATAATCCCCATAAAAACATTCAGCAAGAGACTGACACATAGGAAGTGCTCTATCAATGCAAACTCTCACTATTATTATTATGATTGCTAAACATAACAGTCTTGTCATAAATGTGACAACTGATTTAGAGGTCATGCCCAGGAGGCTCAGGTCATGGGTTCAACCACAGTGAACTTGGCTCTGCTCCACAGCCACAGATTGCATCCTAGTCCTAGCCAGCTGTCTCCTAGGCAGCCTGGTGTAAGCATGATTAAATCATCAAGCTCCATTGTCGTGGCCATCCAGAAGGAGGGCATTGTCTGTAAAGAGGGAAGGAGACCTGTATTCTCTGAGCCAACCAGGACTAGGGACAGGCTGAGCCAGCAGCTTTATGGAAATAATGTAGACAGTGTCTTAGTTCTGACAGGGAAGAACTACAAGAGCAACAAAATGTTGAGCCTTTGGGGTTTTTCTGTTCTCATCTCTGGTAGATCTTTGAAGGAGTGTATGCTCCCGTGATCCCTTTCTGGACAGGCTCGGGAGTACTGAAATGACTTCTTCCAGATGGAAGTTAAGGAGCATCATGTAATGTGTGCATTGCTGCAGTTGTCACCAATTGGTAGTTTTGTGGAGAAAAGCTGTCTGCATCCCTTTTGAGAGAATTTGCATTAGAAGTTCATCTTAATAAAATTTATCTTTATCCTCTGAGGTAAAGTGGTAAATGGAGGCACATAGATTTCTTTGGTATTGAGTTTTGCCTTAGGTACATATCCCAGTAGGGAGCCAGTCAAGATGAGCTTTGAAAAACTGGGGAGAAGTTTCTGTAGAGTTTCCCAAGGGGAGAAACTTCAGTGGCCTCCCGTACACCTACAACTGTAGGCAGGAATTTCTCTTTTCCCAAAACAATCGCTTAAGTATTCATCTTTCAAAAACCACACATCAACACACCTATGGCTAAAAAACGGCACAGATGAGGAAAATTGTAAAAAGCAGCGTTGGTTTTTGCTCTTCATACTCATTAGGAGCATCTATAAGAAATAGCCATGCATCTCCATCTCTGCCCCCTTGGCAGGAATGTTTCTGAGGAATTTATAGACAGCATCATTCAATATCCTCAATATAAAAGATTTACAGGAGAAAATTCTCTCATATCTGAGTGCCAAGAAGGGTTTGCTTCTCTTGAGATATAGCAAGTCTTTTCCTTATGGACAATATGAATTACATTTTTCCTCTTTTGCTTTAGCTGCCTGGAAGCTCAGAGCTCAATTTGCACACTAATTTTAATTACTGTGTGGGAACCTGTGGCTAGTATTTTCACTTTTCTCCTGTCTTGCTTTTTTAGTCTATCTATATACTCCCTTGTCTGCATTTTTTTTTTTATTTTTAAAGAAGACTTGAAGTGCAGGATGAAATGAATTAGAACATGAATAAATTATTTTAGAGATAGCACTCTATAGTGGCAAAAGCATTGGCTTTGGAGTCAACCTGTTTTCAAGTTTTTGCTTGTCCTTTTACTGATTTGTAACTGTGGACATGTCATTCAACCCATTCTTCTGTACCTTTATCTGTCAAATGGGAGTGGATAACATGAATTACTACTGACCTTACAATAATTTTGTAAGGATTCAATGAGCTAACATATATTAAAGTACTTTGCAATCAATAAAAATGTATGCATGTTAAAGTGTGTTTGGTCTAACAGTGTATACTGTTGGGCAAGGCTCTTTTGAAATTGAGAGAATCAACTAAATCATTCAAAATCTGTGAGAGTAGAAAATGGCTTTTAGCAATAGATCCAATGTTACCTGGGTTTAGGCTAAACAACTTACAGAACCAGTCCATCAGAAGTTGAGATATTCAGGGACAGGCAATCTTGCCTTAGGACCAAGAATGTCTCCTACTTCTGAGCCTTCTAATACTCATTTCAGCCTGCTAATTGTATCATCTCTCATGGTAAGTGGGGCCAGTCGGCCCAAGTAGCAAAGGATTCAGCCCAAAGAGGCTGAAGCAGAAGCCATCGTTTTTAAAACACAAATTTGGCATATCCATTCCCAGTTTAGAGCCCCTCAGTGGCTTCTCAGCACCCTCAGGACAAAGTCCAAATTCCTTTCAGGACCTTACCTCTCTCCTACCTTTCCAACTTATCTCCTACTTCTCCTGCTGCACACAGCCTGAGCTTCAGTCATTCTAGCTCTCTGAATGCACGTAGCTTTGGATACCTCTGGGCCTTTGCACATGCTGTTCCTCCTCTCTGGAATGATCTTCCTCCTCATTTCCTCACCTAGTTGACTTATATTCATCTTTCATTGGGACCTCCCATGACTTGCTCAACCATAAGGATATGCCCCTTCTCTATACTCCTTGTGTAAGTCAAATTCTATTACAGCAGATTCCTCACTCGACTGAACTGTTGAGGAGAGAGTCTGAATTGTGTTCATCTCTTCATTTCCAAAACCTAGTTGTTGCTCAATTAAAATCTGTGGAATGAAGATATTGAAAACATGCTCAGGGACCAGTTGAGTCATTAGCCAATAAGGAAGTAGAGACAGGATTGAAGAGCTGGGGGATGGGGGTGGAGGTAGGGGGAGCCCAGATAGCTGTAAGACAGAAAGAAAATGGCTACGCTGGGTACAGCATGAGAGTATCAGAGGGCAGGCTGCTCAGGTACCCGGGACAGCTCACTGTGGGCACTCTGGCCCTGAAAGTCTCCAGGATGCAGGCATTTCTTAGTTTCCATGCTAAGAGTTTGGGGTTTCTGTTGACTTCTAAGCCTGATGGCTCACAGAACCCTAACCAGGGCTACTTTGTATGGTTTTGCCCTGCATAATTTGGTGAAGGGGATGAATAGAATTTAAAACCCAGCCTCCCTCTGATTGCCAAACCATTCACCCTGGAGCTTCTGTTTCTGCCCCCAGGGGGCGCCTTTATCCAATTCACACAGAGGCATAGGTTGGGTTAAACCCAACCTGCCTCATTCAAGTAAAAGAACTCCTGTTTATTTCTGACAGACCCCAAACAACTCACTTCAGGAGTGGTTGAGGATGCAAGGAGGGCTTAGAAAGGAGAAAAGATTGATCCAAGGCTTAGGGCTTGGTGCCGTGACTGTGATTTTTGTCTTCCAAAGCTGCTTCAGGCAGGAGCTATAGGGATCCTGTGTAAATGACCGGTTCCTCTATGATGCCCTCCACCCTCACCCTCACCAGAGACCAGGGGCTCTGGCATTGGTTCTTGCCCCAGCAGGCAGCCCGAGGGAGGAGTTTCCTCACCTTTAAGGTCTTGGTTCAGGGATGTCATATACACTATTGTTCATCTGACCAGTTTGATTTGACCTCTGAAAACTATGTACTGTGTGCACCCAATAGCTTAGCAGACAGTGTGTGTGTTGATTAGTTTAAAGATAGGCTGTGTGCTCAATTCCATCTCTGCCATTTACCAGCTATTAAATTTGGACGTATGTGTTAACCTTTTTAGGAGTAGGGAAGGAGGGAGGGAGGGAGGGAGGGAGGGAAGGAAGGAAGGAAGGAAGGAAGGAAGGAAGGAAGGAAGGAAGGAAATCCTTGCTGTGATAGACATGAAAAAATATGCCATTCAGATCTCTTATGCAGAGAGCATAATTGACCTGTGGCCCCAGCTGCTGCTCTCTGAACTTGTTCACCACCTTCACACTGAAGCCACACTTCACATGGACTTCTCTCAACCTATAACTGAGACTTGCAGGATGTAGGTGTCTAAGGCCTAAGATAAGACACAGAAGATGTGGGTCTCTGATTGGGGAACCTGACATGAAAACTAACTCCCTGATGGCCTTTCCAAGCTCTCCTTAGAACTTTGTTGCTTCATTCTTTGCTACCTTCTCTCCTTCACTCAGTGTAAGATCTACTCCCCCACACTCCTCTGACTCCAGTCTCAATTTTCTCTCACGGACACTTCCCCTAATAAGTTTCTTTCATGTTTAATCCTGTGTTGGTGTCTTCTTCTTGGAGGATCTGTACAAATACACTATTTATAGAGTTGCTGTAAAAATTAAGTGGTTTAATGTACACAAGGCATCTTTCAGTTTCTAGGATGTAGTATACTCTCTGGTCCCACTTGCATGGCATTGACCAGCCGCCATCTTTTCTCAGCTGTGGGATTTCTCAGACCTCCTTACTCCTTAAAATGGTAGTTGCCCGATTCTTATCTCTGGTTTTTATATATTCTAGAACAAAACTGTGGCAGAGACACAACTTCAGCATCATTCTCTCAGCCTTCCTTTGAGAAGTATAACATCCCCACTATGAGTTGAGCAGAACACATGGCCATCCAATTGGTGACTATGTTTTCCAGTGTCCCCTGCAGCTAGTGATGATCAAATAAGTTCTTAACCAGTGGAATTGTAAACAGAAGTGATGTGTACAATATTACCATCAATTCCTCAAAATACATTAGCTTGCCCTCCTTTTTTTCTCTTTTCTCCTTAAAGATGACTGGAATACAGATGTGTTGGTGAGATAGCTTCAACCATGAGGGTGAGGAAAATACTATAATGGATGTCAGAGCAATGAGATAGAAGGCATATGGGTCTCCGGTTGATCTTAAGATACAGAGCTGCCTGTCTTGAGCCTTTCCCCTACCTCTGTTTTGTTTTGTTTTGTTTTGTTTTGTCTTAGAGGGAAATAAACTATCTTTTTTTGAGACATAATATTTTGGGTATTTTTTGTTACAGCAGCTTAGCCAGTACTTTACCTAATATACCTCTCTTTCTGAGCTATTCCTATATTCCCTCTGCCTTGGTTGACCCAGAACTGGTTGACAGTCCTGTCCCCTTAATCCATTAATGCCTACTCCTCAATATGGCATTTAATTACATTTGATGACTTTGAAGGACAGCAAAACTAGTTCCCTTTGGGCACAGGATTATCTCCTGTCAGGTTTAATAGCCTTAATGGTTTAAAATGGCACTAAATGGTTCTCTACATTTGGGCAAGGCCATCTGGTCATTTGTAGATAAGCATAATAATAAGCACCCGGGCAGATAGCCACATATGGGCTGAAACACAGACATGTTCCAAATTATATACACTATAAAATTTACCATCCCTTACTAAAACCCAAATCACAAACTATCCCTTACTTTAATTGCAATAATGAGTGGTCACTCAGACCATGGGACTGAAATGAATCTGACAGTAAACAAAGCCCCACTAAACCACAGTACTGGGACTCTAGTCAAGGTCAAAATGCAATCATAGTTCTGGGAAGAGCTTCTGAGCATGCACATTCGTAACGGCCCTTGGCTCTGCCCAGGCATGTACATGGCCACTAGGTTTGTTTAAAATTGAGCCATTACAGTTGGGTAAAATCATGTGATTTTGCTCTAGAAGCATTTACATCCTCCAAGTGTGCTTGATAAATCATAGAAGTACACTGAGGAAAGAACGAAATAATTTTCTTTGCAATGATAGCATTTACTTCTATCTTCTGCCTTCCTTTTTTTCAAGGTTTCTGCATACAGGTAGACTGTATATAGGCCTTAAAAAATCTTTAGCATTGAAATTATGATGATTATTTCCCATCCATATTTTCTTTTATAACTCAAAATAGTCTTAATAATGAAACTTAAACTAAGAGTGTCTAGCAAAGTTCTGATGTTTACCATGAAGATTATTTATATACCAATTAAGTTTTAAACATTGGTGCCTTAAGCTGCATACTAACCTGCCCATTGAGTCATCCAAAAATGCCCCTTAGACCTGTGGTGGCATTGATGACAACTCTCTAATTCCCTTTAAAGCCTCTCAAAAACTGAAATCAATTAGAAGAAGGATGTCCTTGTAATGAACAAAGCACCAGAGAGACCAGTGACTGGCATTCTTGAATGCCCTTGGCAACAATGCCCCAGCTGCTTAATATGTAAAACAGAGACAGACCATACGACTTGCTGGCCACTTACCTGGAAGACTGTTCGAATGAGACAATGATGGGAGAATAATGAAAGAACAGCAGTGACACCTCTTAAGCTACTATAAATGAAGCTTCTATATGCAAGTCCCTGTGGCTTTATTTCTTTAGCTAAAAACCATTGACTATGAACTTGATATAATGATAGAAGTCTTATAGTTCCAGTAGATGATTTTTATTTTATCTGAATAACTAAAACCAAGGCAATGAGTGGATTAAATTTCTTTTTTGAATGGCCTGCAAACAGGGAAGGCTGAGGCAGGCCAGATCTTTTCCTTTGATAGGATGAGGTTTCTTTATCAGATAAGGCAGGCCAGGATTGAATGGGTTTTGGGTTGCCCTAGCATATTTTAGACTCCTACCTAATTTGCCATCCGGTATTGCACCTGGGTCTCCTCTGGCACCAGTGTGGTCCAGATTTCTTTGGCCCAATGAATATCTGCTTTTTGAATTATTTTTCCCCAGATGTAGTTTCCATCTAGCCAAATTTAACCTAGTTTTATTATTTCCTGCCCCTCATTTCTAACCTCTTTGGGGACATTGTGTTCTGTCAGGTGTTGACAATGCTGCCTAATTTAGAAGCATCTGCAATTTGCATCAATAAGTAAATTCCTCTTCTCAATTTATGAATAAAGACACTAAGAAATAATATTTCTATCAGCGACCATGCCCCATATTTGAAAACACTGGCATTTCTCATGGACAATTTCATTTATTAATTCTCAGCCTATTTCCAAACCACATTCTTCTCCAATCCAATTGGATTTTGATGCCAAGCAAAATATTGAAACACTGGTTTTGAGGGAAATGGTTTGCTCATCTCCAAGTACATGCAACTTTGCCTTCATTGCCTGGTGGTTGGGAGAACACCACTACTGAAATAACTTTATTTGAGTCAGTCTGGCATGACCAGTTCTTTGCACGTGGCTCATAGGTCCATTTTCCTTTTGGATTTTACAGAGCTTTTCCTTCTATGCTCTGGGACTATTTTCCAAGTGGAATATAAACCTAGCATATCTGTTGTTTTCTTATCTCCTGGAATTGTGGAACTCCCACAATAAGGATAAGAAAGAGTAAGTGTTTACTTAACCTTTTTCGGTAACAATTTCTTGGACCTCTATGAAGTATTGGGCTCTTCCTGGAACCCATTTATAATAAAATATATATTCTCTATATAAATTCTCAATGGACTTGGTTTCTCCCTGGAAATCATCTTGGCTTCCTTTCTTACTTTCACCCCATCCGCACTGTTACCCTGAGACAGGCCACCTGGTTTAGGGCGATCCTTTCCTAATGGGTCTCCCTGCTTTCAAAATGACCCCTTCCTAATCCATTCTCTACACCCTCAACACTGATCACATCACTGCCCTATTTAAATTCTTCTGTGGCTCTGCGATTGCCCTCAGAATTAAGTCTAAACACTTTAATACTTCCTACGAGGCCCTGATTTGATTCTTCAGCCCCAGGGCTTGTAGCTGTCTTACACACACACACACACACACACACACACACACAGCTCTGGTCATGTTTGATAGTTTATAGTTACCTGAATATGCCCTGCTTTCTCTCACCTCTAGGTCTGTGTGATGACAGTCCCTCCTTGTAGAATCATCTCAGGTCTTCTCCACCCACTCTCTTATTTCTCTTCCACTTGCCTCCTTTGTAACACGGCAAACTTCTCTCCATCCTTCAGATTTCAGTTCATCCATCATTCTTCCAGGAACCTTGAAAAAGAGTCACCAGGTCTGGATTCTGTGACTGGGTTCAGCCCCTACCTCATCCCAAGCTAAAGATCTTACTGTACAATTTTGGTCCTACCAAATTACCATATTCTAATTGTCTGTTTCCTTGCAAACTACAAATTCTGTCTCTCCCAAATGTCTGTAGATGTTCCTTGGGCTTTGTGCACATCTGGAACAGACAAGCAGGAAAATCAACATGAGTCAGATGTGGGAGCTAGTACGCGGAGGGTCTCACTGTCTTTGAATTTTCACTGCCACTCTCCCTAATGCAGAAGGGCACTAGGTTTTAGACAGCTGATCAACTTTTCAACTTGCTTGTGTTCTGGCTGGTGCATTGAAAATCAATTCCACAAGAAATGGAAGGTCCTCCATAATCCCAGGTGACCTCCTGCATATGGTAGAAATTCCTGAAATGAAGAGAGTGGCCTGATTCTGTGGATGAGAGATTCTTTTAAACATATGTGGCAGAATGAAAGAAAATGTGGCATCTACAGCCAAGGGTAGGCATGCTTGACCTTCTCTTGGGCAGAAGAGGAGAGGAAAAAAAGTGTTCCCAATTCTTGCTTGGCCTAATTTTTGTTCCTCAGTTTACTGGCCAAAACTAGCCTTGGGAATGAGTATAGTGCCCATATTTCTCAATGTACCGTCCTCATTTGCAGGTAGGTTTTCTCTCTAGTCTTTATTCCCTCAGCTTATCTTCACCACGGTGCCTCTGAATATTAAGGTAAATTCTGTCTTATTCTTCTAATCCCCTCTGCTGGTATGCTTTTGGTCATCCATTCTATCTGCCTGGAATGCTTTAATCAAAACAGTACATTCTTGTTTGGCTTTATTTCCAGGAGGTTTCTGTCTTCTTACTCTTCTTTTCATCTTCTTTCCCTTTGCCCATAAACTTTTATTGGACTTTTGTGAAGCCAATTGAGAGAGCAGGGAATATACATTATAATTCATTTGAAAAGGAATCAGCTGCATTTTGATGAGAGGGATCATTTAGCAAGGCGTGTGGGAAGCGTGGCTATTATTGCCCCCTCCCTGTCGGCAGGGTTGAAAAGCACCGGCTAGCACTTGTCTGTTCTCACCTCGGCTTAGCAGTCCAGTCACATAGGCAGCCTGGCACCAATTGCTAGCCATATCTCACCCTCGCTATGGCAGGAGGCGATCAATAGATGGATTAATCACACCTTGGGGAGCTCACACCCCAGGAAGGAGAGAAAATGAGGATTGGAAGAGGAGGCTGTTGCCAACGTGTCCTGCCTGGAGTTTGCAGACTGGTGGTGCACACAATGCAGGACTACAAAGAAATCCACTTTGCCCAGAAGGATGACCAAGACCAGTTGCATAATGAAAGCTTCTATAAATTTACCATCAGCTTGATTTCAGCTCATCAGCAATGCTTTAAAAAAATTAATACATGCCAAAGATGGTTCAAAGCCTTTATAAAAAAAGCATAATGAGACTTCAGTGATCCAGTGAATAAGATATTCTTTTTCATGCAGACTAATCCCTACATATGCATACTTTTCCATATGAAAAGAACCCCGTGTGTCTATGTGTGTCTTTTAATGTATTTCTAAAGTCTCTGAAATTTCAGAGGGTATTGGTTTTTTTGTGGGTTTGTTTTATTTATTTGTAACTGGGAGATTTGCAATGAAGAACCCTAGAGAGTAAAAGTCACGGCGGAGTGGAGCTGGAG
Organism: Homo sapiens; assembly: GCF_000001405.40. NCBI lineage: Eukaryota > Metazoa > Chordata > Mammalia > Primates > Hominidae > Homo > Homo sapiens. The sequence goes on along the minus strand of NC_000002.12, from coordinate 204,171,639 downwards.
GAAGCAGGATGACGAAGCCCTGATTACTGACTAAGAGGCCCTGATGGTTCAGGAGCCCGAGATCTACTCTCATAGAAAACATAGTATGTGCAAGGAGCACTGCATTTTGGACTAAAAAATTTTGGTGTGAGTATTCCCTCTGCTACTGACCAGCCAAAGGAAAGAAATTGAATGTCTCTGAGTCTCAGTTTGCTCATCTCAATAATGGGTTAAACCTGTTTTATGAAGTTGCTGTAAGGAGCAGATACAACGATGCAAAACTAAAGTGTTTTATAAACTGAAGTGGGCTCTGCAAAGTCAAGTATTGTTATAAAGGCATGCACTTAGAAAGGGTAAGGGGGGAGAAATGTCTGCAGGTTTGGACTATCATCCTGTAACTGGCCCTCTAACATGGTTATTCCAGGTAAAAGGAAAGTCATAGAAAATGATGTTATTTTGTACTGAAAAGCATAAAAAAAAACCCTCCTACTCCTGATTTTCTTCCTCCTAAGTAAAGGAAGGTAAAGGTACTTGCTTTTACCGACACTTATCCTCAGAACCTATTCGGCTTCAAGAGGACTCAGGGCTACTGCCCTTGGCCTTCAGACTGTTCTTCCTCCCACCCTGGATGGAATGATCATCATTTACAAAATGGTTGATTAATGTTTAATTAAGGAGTTCTGACCTTTTTGGAATTAGTCTCATCATTACAGGGCTGGGGATTGTCCCTAGCTTCTCAGCAGCTCCCCTGGTTCAGACCTCTTTTCAATGACAGTGAGTGACAGGCATTGAGGAGCAAAGCCCCGCTAATTCTATAATCACCAGGTACCATCTAAGTGCAGCTCACATATTTGCTCCAGAGTAGAGAGCAAATGAAGCTGCTGTTGGGGGCTCAGGTTCCTTTTCCATGTGTTCCTTTTGGCTTTTAACAGCTTTGTTAATTCAATCACCACCTCCATCCACACAATAGCCAGAGGGGGCTGGGAGAAGGTAGAAGACAGTTTGGAGGCTGAGTCAAAGCCTTCATCACACTACCCTGAAATGGCTGGGCTGGGAGAGCGGACCAGCTGGGCCAGTTGGCTGAACAGCCCAGGCCACAGAATAGACAGCAGGTGTTCCCTGTAACACAACACACTCGAACCAGGCGTCATATGAAATGTGGAAAAGGGGCCTTCCACTGCTTTGTAAGTACGGCTCCCTTTGGCCTCCAGAGTTTTCAAAAGCATAAGGGAAATGAGACAGAATGTGAGAATCAGCCTGTTCGGTGGGAATTGTCATGTTTCACTACTCTGTTTTATCCCATTGGTGAGATATGATGAAGGAGAAAAAACAGCGCCACCAGAGTCCTGCCAGCTTCCTCCACCACTTGTAGGACCCCTCCAACTAATGGTCTATGGCTTCTGTTCTCAGAAGCAACTTGAGGAGAATTCCTATCCAATCAGCACTAAGTCTGGTCCAACATTTTCCCCTGAGTGTGTGGGTTACAAATAGGGGTCATTTGAGAAAAATGTCCTGGGCATAAATAAGTTTGAAAAATTCCAGACCAAATAAATTTGAACAGGTTGCTTCACTGCAGGACTTCTCAGAGCCTTAAATTAATTAATTTGCATAGTGAATCTCTAAAAGGAAGGTTAAGAATGCAGAATGCCTTAAACTTGGCCGACTTATGAAACTCTTACACAAAAACCATTTGGAAAATGGTGGTCAGGTCCAGTCTAACCTTTTTTTTTTTCCTTAAGAATGCAGGTTTTCTTCACCTTTTGTCTGCACTTCAGACTTCATTGCTTTCCTGTGGGTGTGTTTTAAAAGCATAAGTATGTTTAAAAGTATTGCACATAAATGTTACCAGCAAAACATTCCAGTGACCAGGATTTGTTTAATTTACTTTATATAGAAGCACCCTGATGGTGTAATCAGTACTGAGATTCCTCCAGTATTAGCAGCTTAAGTGCAGGGACCATTGGTCTCTTATGCCCGGCATAGACCTGCTCTTGGAATGTAAGCCCCGGCAGGGAAGAGATTCCCTGGAACACCAGATGCTGTGGACCTTTTCTTCCTCTGACCACAAGTTTTCTTGAGGGAAGAATAGTGTAGTGCAACCATGCTGGGTTGAAATCCTGGCCCTGCCACTTACAAATTACATGGACTTGGACAAGTCAGTTCATCTCTCTGTGCCTCTGTTTCATCTATAAAGTGGGGTTAACAATACTACATGCATGATAGCTTGGTGTGACGATGAAATAACACCATCTCTGCACAGCCCTGAGAAGGTCTGGCTCCTCACTAGGTACCAGCTACTTTTATGACCCATAACATCCCAGTGCCTAGCACGATGCTGGGTAGAATAGGCAATCAATATTTGCTTAAGTGGATACTCAAAATCTGAACCTCAGGCTACATTTGTTTTGAACCCTTTCTTTCCAAGCCTGCAGAAATCCACAGATGATAGGTGTCCAATGCTACTAAACTCAGGGAAAAAAGAAAGAAAATTAAACTTTTCCCAGGGTCATTGAAGACATTACTCTTCATAATTTTATACTTTTTTTGAAGCTTCAAGTGTGATTTTTGTCATTGGGAATATGAAGAAAGAAATAATCCAATTAAAAAAATGTTTTACAAAGGAAGATGTTCATCTACAGCATTATTTATACTAGTAATAAAATAGAAACAAACAACTTTAAAACACAAATTCTCAAGAAGTTACCAAGAAATAATCAAAAACTGACCAAGTAAATTATGTTAGAGCTATATGACAGGATATTGTGTTTCTGAAGATTTTTATAAGAAGAAAACTGTTATAATAGAATATTAGTGAAAAATGAGTAAAATAATATCAAGAATCTGATCACAATTATGTAAAAATAAGGATAAAAAAAATGATCAGACGAAAATAACCAAAATGTAACAGTGGTTTATTCGGTAAAGGATTTTTTTTAACTCTAAATTTTCAAACTGTCTATAGTAAGTATTAATTATGTGTGTATTTTTAAATGATGACTTTGTTAACAAGAGTAAGAAGTACTTATCCTTTCTGGTGCATCTTTAATTCTAATCCATTATTAAGAAATAGTTATTTCCTCAGTTTCGCACTCAGAGCTCTCAACAAGCTGGCTCCAAAGCAGGATCACCTCCCACTACTTCACAAGGCTTTTGCAACAATTAAACTGGCTTATTTACCAGGCCCCAGAATCTCTATGAAAAATCCTGCATTTATGAGCATGGCAGCATTGTAGTTAAAACATCTCTTACATGTCTACTTGATCAGTGGTGGGCACTTGCGGAGGAGAGGACTAAGATAGAGATGATGATAGTTCAGCTATGAAATATCCAAATAAAGGGAACAAATGGGAGCAAAATGGCAGAGTAGCCTACCTATATTTTGTCTCTGTCTAGAACAGCCGTTCCCAACCTCTCGGGCACCAGGGACCAGTTTCATGGAAGACAATTTTCCACAGAACCGGGGGTGAGGATGGTTTGGGGATGATTCAAGCACATTACATTTATTGTGCACTTTATTTCTATTATTATTATAATATATAATTAAATAATTATACAACTCACCATAATGTAGAATCAGTGAGAGCTCTAAGCTTGTTTTCCTGCAACTAGATGTTCTCATCTGGGGGTGATGGAAGACAGTGACAGTCATCAAGCATTAGATTCTATAAGGAGCGCACAACCTAGATCCCTCGCATGCACAGTTCACAATAGGGTTCATGCTCCTATGAGAATCTAATGCCACTGCTGATCTGACAGGAGGCAGAGCCAGGCGGTAATGTGAGTGATGGGGAGCGGCTGTAAATACAGATGAAGCTTCACTCACTCGCCTGCTGCTCACCTCCTGCTGTGCAGCCTGGTTCCTAACAGGCCACAGACTGGTACTAGTCCATGGCCCGGGAGTTGCAGACCCCTGATCTAGAATATTTCCTTTTTCTTCTTCAAATATCTAAACCATATTATAAAGTGAAACTCCTAGGTATTTACCCAAAAGAAATGAAAATGTATGTTCACACAAAAACCTGTATGTAAATGTTTATTCATAATTGCCCCAAGCTGGAACAATGCTGATATCCTTAACTGATGAACACATGAGAAAACTGTGGTATGTCCACACAATGAAATGCTATCCAGCCAAAAAAAGAGCAACCCACAAAATCGACAATGTGAATGAATTTCAAAAGCATTTTGCTAAGTGAAAGAAACCAGAGTCAACAGGCTATATACTATATGAATATATATATATGTGTATATATATATGTCGCATATATAGTATTAATTAATATCATTACCTATCTCATCAGAAAGCTCTAAGTATTGGAACTCTAAATATTGGTATTGGAAAGCTGTCAAGCTTATGGTAATGGATGTGTATTCCCCCCGGTTGTTTTTTTTTTTTTTTTTTTGGCAACAAATACTATCAGTTGTTTTCCTTTAAGTGAAAGGATTACTTTCTTCATTTTCCAGAAAATGTCTGCCAAATACCCAAGCCTGAAGAGCCATAGTTTGTTTGTTTGTCATTCTTTCAAGAAAAAAAATATGGTGTTATACAAGAAAAAAAAACAGCTATTTCAGCTTACAACTCAAGACGACAATCCTTCATTACATAGCAAAAGTGCTTTTTGTATACTTCCCACTTTATCACACAGTATACAGTATGAAAAGATCTGTTCTCGAGAGTTGAGAGTTAATAAAATTCTTTTACTTTTCCACCAAGGATTTTCTCAAGTGAAATTACATTTCTTTTAAAACTATGACTGTGAAACAGTGAAGAAAACTTATACACTACCTACACAGCATGGTGCCATTGCAGTTTTATCCACATTATTTTGTGCTATCAATACAAAGGTGAACACAGAGAGAAAGGTAATCTTAAATTGTTATAAATATAGTTTTGATCTCCCAGACTTCTTGATATGGTCTCTGGGAACCCCCAGGGGTCTTCTGACCATACTTGAGAAACACTGATTTAAACCTTTCTCATTTTTATATCCTTTCTTAAATCTCGCTATCTCCTTAAAATTTTCTTCTACTAACCACTCTGTAGCTCTCATCTTTGCCTCTGTCTTCCCATGACCCTTGTCTATTCCACCAGTGTACCTTGTATTGTTTACTTTTTTTTTTTTTTTTTTTTTTTGAGACAGAGTCTTGCTCTGTAGCCCAGGCTGGAGTGCAGTGGTGCGATCTTGGCTCATTGCAGCCTCTGCCTCCTGGGTTCCAGCGATTCTCCTGCCTCAGCCTCCTGGGTAGCTGCGATTACAGGTGCACACCACCACATCTGGCTAATATTGTCCCCTCTTTACCTGCTCTGTCTTTCCAGTTACTTTTCAAACCTCTTGAGAGTGAGAAAGTTTTCTCTAAATCCTTCCCCAGCTTCTGCTACCATCCCCAGTCCAGTAACTCATAGAGTATCTTATACCTAACAGGCACTATGAAAAGTTTTTGATGATATGCAAATGTTAAAAATTATGCAAAAGTAGATAGCTCTTGGCACATAGAGTAGACACATTCCAATGCTACTGCAATTTAGGAAATAAGCATTATTTAATGGCATCATCACTTCTGAATATTTTCAAGCTCCCATCACCTGAGGCCAGCCCATTTGGACTCAGATCTTTCTCTTCTAGCTATTATACATTTATATTTTCTCCTTCATCTGCCTTCACTCTCAGTTTAGGTTAAAAAAGAGACTGTTATTTTATGGGCATGGCCAGTACTTCGGAGCAAAAAATTGTGGGTTCATATTTTACTTCTACCACTGACATGACCTTGGCAAGACACTTAAGATCTCTGAGCCTTAAGCCATCCCATCTGAAATAAAGACAGGAATAACTGCCTTAGCCGCCTCATAATGTTGTAAGGATTAAAGAAGATAGCATCTGAAAAGCACTTAGCCCATAGATTTACTCGAAAATGCCCGTTCCATTGGCCTAAGTTCCATTTGACCTTAGATATTGAGAAGGTACAGCAGCCTTCTCCTAGCTGAGGTTGAGTGCCCAGGCCCACTCTCCTGATTCTAAGAATGACATTCCCTTCCTGCTCAATAGCTTTGAAAGAACTTTTCTAATCCTTGTTTGCTCACTACTCTTCTCCTTATTCTCTGTCATTGTATCCTTGGGTTAGCTGACATCTCTCCCTCAGTCCAATAATTCCAGTCGTAGTACTTGAGCTTAAGCCATCATCTGGTGTGTTGCCTGTCATGAAACAAGAGGACAGATGGACCCCATAAAGGGATGTGCAAGATGCTTTCTACCAAAAAAAAATTTTTTTCTTTATCTAAGAAAAGGAAGATTTGTTTATTAAATATTTTTTCAAGTCTTCCAAGGTTTGCAGTTATTGCATATGTTATTGGTGGAATTTTCATTAATACATTACACATTTTCAAGTCTCACTGAGGCAAGGTGGATAATTTATTTTGTTTTGTTTTTACTCATTCATTCAACCAGTATTCTTTCAATATTTAAAAAATGTCAAATGTGTGTCTGACACTGTTACAATCATAGGAATAAAAAAGAAATTCTCAATTGGTATGATACAAGTCTGAGCTGGAGACTAGGAATAAATAGCTTCAGCTTCTCATCCACAGCAGTATTGGGTATGATTTCATTACATTTAAATGCTAATCCATATCCCGTAGCATTCTGATTCACCAGAGGACTAATGTTGCTGATAGCCACACAGATAGCCTCATCGGATATTACATTCTGAGCAACAGCAGAGCAAAACCCTCTCAACCTTCAATTCCTCCCAAATGCCCATAAACACAGTTTTGTGACTGAGCTAAGAAATATCCACAAAAGAAGAAAAATTCTGTAAGTATATATATATATATATATACATGGACGATGAGTTTTCAATAACAAATGTGCATTTTATGATCATTGCTAATCTCCTTATTTTTAAATTTGGTTAAAAGTTTGCCATTATGGTTTTTTTCTTAACCTGGGTGATATGATTGGGGTCTGTGGCCCCACCCAAATCTCATGTCAAATTGTAATCTCCAGTGTTGGAGTTGGGGCCTGGTGGGAGGTTATTTGGCCATGGTGGTGGATTTCACCCTGTGGTGCTCTTCTCGTGATAGTGAGTGAGTTCTTGCGAGACCTGGCTGTTTAAAAGTGTGTGGCACCTCCCCCTTCTCTCCTCTGGTTCCAGCCATGTAAGATGTGCCTGCTTCCCCTTCACCTTCTGCCATGATTGTAAGTTTCCTGTGGCCTCCCAGCCATGTTTTCTGTACAGCCTGTGGAACTCTGAGCCAATTAAACCTCTTTTCTTTATAAATTAGCCAGTCTCAGGTATTCCTTTATAGCCATGTGAGAACAGACTGTACACTGGGGTACAGTTAAATTTATTCCACTCTCCAGTTCACAGAATATTGTCAGTTAGTAAAAAGCTTTTTGCCAACTTTATTATTTCCTCTCCCCACTCCACATTTCCACACTTCTATTTTCTCCCCTCCACACCACACGTACCCAAATGTATCTGATACATGTTCTTATACACATACTTATTCTTATAAAATTTTAATGTTGTTTTCTATGTATATAAATTTTCAATTTATAGAAATGGTATTATGGTATACATTTTATTCTGTTCCCAGCATTTCTTACTCACCACCATGTTTTAGTATCAACCCATGTTGATATATATATATATAGCAGATTAGGATATATATATATATATAATATATATAGCAGATTAGGATATATATATATATAATATATATAGCAGATTAGGATATATATATAAAAATATATGTATAGCAGATTAGGATATATATATATCAGATTAGGATTATATATATCAGATTAGGATCACTAGATTATAGGATATATACATATTTTAATTCAGCAGATACCACCAGTTGTGCAGAGTGGCTGTACCAATTTATAGCCATCCCACCCCTCAGCAATGAATTATCTTCCTATGTCCTCACCAACACTTGCTATTACTCATATTTTAAAATTTTTGCCATCCTAGCATTATTTTTTTCCTATTTTAAATTAAAGCTAGCTGATTACCAATGTAATCTGAGCATCTCCTTCCTTACTAATTAGTAATCGGGGCCTCTCCTTCTGTGAGTTGAGTACTTATCTTCTTTGTTCATTTTTCTACATGGTTTTCTTCCTCGCTTACTTGCATTTATGTAAGCAAATGGACATGGCTGTGTTCTGATAAATCCTCATTTTAGCAGGCCACATTTGTCCTGCACATCATAGTTTATCAACTTCTAATGTTACTGTGAATATTTTATTTTTTATGATATTTTCTAATTTACTCTTGTTGGTAGAAACATTATTGATTTGGTTAGATAATTTCATGCCCATCAACTTTGCTGAACTCTTAACACTTGTAATAGTTTATTAGTTCAATTTGATTGAATTTTCAATGGAGACAAACATATTATCAGTAAAATATTATTATTTTACCTCATCTTTTCAAAAACTTTCTTTTTTCTTAGCTGAGATAATTGGCCAGAACATCTAGCACTATGTCAGCCAGTAGTGAGAATAATAGATATGTTTATTTTGCACCTAATATTAATTGGGATAAACCCAGAGATTTTTCTTTCTTTCTTTTTTTTTTTTTTTTTTTTTTTTTTTTTGAGCAGTGTCTCACTCTGTGGCCCAGGCTGGTGTGCAGTGGTGCCATCTCAGCTCACTGCAACCTCCGCCCCCCAGATTCAAGCAATTGCCATGCCTCAGCCTCCCAAGTAGCTGGGATTACAGGCGTGCACCACCTTGCCTTTGTGTTTTTAGTAGAGACGGGGTTTCACCATGTTGGCCAGGCTAGTCTCGATCTCTGGACCTCAGGCAATTCACCAGCCTCAGCCTCCCAAAGTGCTGGGATTGCAAGTGTAAGCCACAGCATCTGGCCAGATGTTTCTGTTAATATAATGTTTATTGTAGGTTTTTGGTATGTAGCCTTCATCAAATTAAGAATATTTCATTTTAGTCCTGGTTTACTGAATGATTATATTGTAAATAAGTCTGATCAATATACGTTATATAAACATATTTATATTTGTACATACACTATAAACGCACACACACCAATCCAACCTGATTCCTCTGCCCAGGATTAATCACTGTCATCAGGCTTTATCACCACATTGAACTATATAAAATGCTTTATCTATAGCTATTGAGATAATCAATGGTTTTTCTTCCTTTGTCTATTAATGTGGTGAATTTCTGATGTTAAACTATCTTTTTACTCCCGGAATAAATGCCTCTTGATCATAATATATTTTGGGGATTTGATTCTATTTGGTTAATTAACATTTTATTTAAGATCTTTGCATCTATTTATAAGTGAAATGATTCTACTTTTCTTGTACTTTTCTTATCCAATTTTCAAGTCATAGTTATATTAAATCCATAAAATTTAGATAGCTTTTTTCTTTCTGAAACAACATATATAAGCCAAAGATTATCTCTTATTTGAAAATATGATAACTCTCACCTGTAAAAACATCTGGATCAGGGACTTGTGGAATACACGGAGATCACGGATTATCAATTCAATTTCTTCACTGGGTATGGTCTATGCCATAATGTAAACACAGACGCACATATATACACACACTCACACTCACACATATTTCAGACATGTGTCCTCTTTCAGCCTGCAGCTGTGTGAGTAAAAAATAATTCACATTTTTATATTCTCCCCCATAGGATTCCAGTGATTAAATACATGAGTATTATGCATTAACACTAAAAATGCAGAATCCCTACTTCTTCAACCCACATAAATAACAAACTGGTGACTATTTAAATCATTTTTGCTATATGATCTACCTGAGGCTCAAAAACAAAACATTGTGGATGAAATCAATTTTGCTTTAGAACAGTGATTCTCAAACTTCAACATATAAAATCACCCAGATTCTTGATTAAGATGCAAATTCTTCAGCTCTAACTCCAGCAATCGTTACATAATATTTTGGAGATTGGGATGCAGTTGTTTTATGAACCATACTTTGAGGGACAGGGTTCTAGGATATTTTATATACAATGATATTTTGCCCACCAAGATATTAGAAAGAAATCGAACAAATCCTTGACCACACCTGGCAAGATCAGGATGTCTGCAAATCAGGGTTGAAGCTTAAACAATGCATTTTCTGTGGCACAGAAGCCAAGGTCTTAGAGACCTGGCCCCTACCACTTACCAGCTCTGTGACCTTGAGCAAGTCACTTATTTACTTTGACTCTTCAGTTCTCCCATATATAATAAGAAGAATTAATTTGATGACTTTAAGGTTTTTTTTTTTTAATTTTTACATTCTGTTCTGTGATTCTTCCAAAGCATATGCTGTAACAGCATGAATTTATCAAGGAATTAGACAAAGGCAAGAGTTGAAACTGGACTTGTAAAATATTTGTAATGCAGATTATTTCTAGGTTATTCATCTCTCTACAGTCTTTGTCCTTTTTAGGGTGGATATCCAGCAAATGGTTCCTTGCTACTTTAGTCTTTGAATAACAAGAGCTTTTACATTTCACATTCAAAGCCCAATGAGATATCACCCCTGAGGTCATTAGCACTATAGCCTTCTCACTTTTGATGAGACATTCCACCCCTGTCTGAGACTATTTTCTATACCCCTGGTCACATCATGACCATCCCTAATACCAAATCTTTACTCCTCCAAGTCCTGCCCTCTTTTCTCCACATCCCTTCCCTGAATTCCATTCATTTTTCATGTCCATGTCTGGTAACCTTGTCCTGAATGCACTTCCTGAGCCTGATTTCTCTGACCTGGATTGATCACTGTACTCTGACTTCCTATAACACATAGTTCATATCATTTTTTTTTTTACCTTTTCTTTTAAGAGATAGGGTCTCACTCTGCCACTCAGGCTGGAGTGCAGTTGCACAATCAGAGCTCACTGTAACCTCCAATTCCTGGGGTCAGGGAGTCCTCCCACCTCAGCTTCCCAAATAGCTAGGTTTGTATTAGTAGTACAGATGGGGGTCTTGCTATGTTGCCCAGGTTGGTCTCAAACTCCTGGCTTCAAACAATCCTCCCACCTCAGCCTCCCAAAGTGTTGAGATTACAGGCGTGAGCCACTGCATCTGACCAATTTACATTTTAACATTCAATCACACACACTGCTTTATTGTATAGCTAAAATGTTTCATATAGGAATAGTTTTTTTGTTTTGTTTTGTTTTGTTTTTGAGATGGAGTCTTGCTCTGTCGCCCAGGCTGGAGTACAGTGGCGCGATCTCAGCTCACTGCAAGATCAGCCTCCCGGGTTCACGCCATTCTGCTGCCTCAGCCTCCCAAGTAGCTGGGACTACAGGCGCCTGCCACCACACCTGGCTAATTTTTGTATTTTTAGTACAGACAGGGTTTCACCATGTTGGCCAGGATGGTCTCGATTTCCTGACCTCGTGATCTGCCCGCCTTGGCCTCCCAAAGTGCTGGGATTACAGGTGTGAGCCACCGTGCCTGGTCTCATATAGGAATAGTTTTAAGCTCCTTTAGCTCAGGGTTCAAATCACCCAAAGATCTTAGGAAAGTGCTAAGCAGAAAACATGCAGCAAATTCAAATTCCAACAACTCATTCTCTTTAGCCCTTCTCTCTCAAATAGTTCCAGCAGAAAACCTGAAATGTATTGAAAGCAGAACAACTCTAGCTTTGAAGGCACACAAACTTTTCCATGATTCTGAAACTCATTTTATCTCCAACTCATAGCACTATACAGGCTTCTATTTCCTCCTGATTCTATTTTCAGGTTTATTCGATCCCATTCTAATAGCTAGATGGAAGCAGAGTGCAAATGGATAATATTTTCTGCATACTTCTCCTTAACCTAATGTTGAAGTTTCCGTTAACATTTTGGACTTTTCAAAAATGTCTCAGTCCAAATCCCATGGTTTCCAAGGAATAATTTCACCCCACTGCCTAACCACCATCTGTTTTGCATTTTTAAACCATGACTTTTATCTATAAGTACAGGTCATCCACAAAATAATGACTATGACCACTCTCATAAGTGCATACGTTAGTTTCTGAGCCTTTCCTTCCATGAAGTAGTTCTTACATTTCCAGAGTTCTCAGGCTCCAAGGGACCAGTTAAGATTTATTTTGCAAATGTTACTTCATCAGAGAAGAATGGCATCTTGACCAAGGAAGGGGGCTTAAGTTAGCATTCTTGTGTTCACATCCCCTCTCAGTTACCAACCAACGATGTTAGAATCATGGAATGGTAAAGCTGAAAGAAAAGTTCTGAAATAATTTAGTCTAACCCCTTTAATTTACAGCTACTCAAAAATATACTTGTGTAGTTTATTTCTATATTGCTAATTTGGAAGTACCAAGCTCCATTTGGGAGAAGGTTCAAATAAAGTTAAATTAATTAACTTTTATAAAGAACTCTATTTGGGGTTCTTTATAAGGCGGTGGCTCACGCCTGTAATCCCAGCACTTTGGGAGGCCGAGGAGGGCGGATCACGAGGTCAGGAGATCCAGACCATCCCGGCTAAAACGGTGAAACCCCGTCTCTACTAAAAATACAAAAAATTAGCCGGGCGTGGTGGCGGGCGCCTGTAGTCCCAGCTACTTGGGAGGCTGAGGCAGGAGAATGGCATGAACCCGGGAGGCGGAGCTTGCAGTGAGCCGAGATCCCGCCACTGCACTCCAGCCTGGGCGACAGAGCGAGACTCCGTCTCAAAAAAAAAAAAAAAAAAGAACTCTATTTGGTTTGTCCTTGATATCAGATAAAAGAAGGTTAAAAAATATAAATCCAAAGTGTTAATATCAATTACGTTCATGGAACTTGAACAATAATGAGGGAGATGGAATGAGTAGAGAAATAGCTCCCTAGTCAGCTTACATTTCTTGATCATATACTTGCAGACCAAACAGAATAAAAGAGGCATCACTGTAGTTTCTTAAAACCTTGGAAACCTCAGAATATTCTGATTCACATAGTGTCAATTATATCCTAAAGAGCTATCAAAAATGGCATTTTGTGGAGATGGTCTTAGCGTAAATCACAGGACGTGGCAAAAATCTCACTATTATGGGCAAAGGATTTGAACAGGCATTTCTCCAAAAATGATATACAAATGGACAGTAAGCACATGAAAAGACAATCAGCCTGTAATCCCAGCATTTTGGGAAGCCAAGGCAGGTGAATCACCTGAGGTCAGGAGTTCGAGACCAGCCTGGCCAACATAGTGAAACACCGTCTCTACTAAAAATACAAAAATTAGCTGGGCATGGTGGCAGGCCCCTGTAATCCCAGCTACTCAGGAGGCTGAGGCAGGAGGATCACTTGAACCCAGGAGGCGGAGGTTACAGTGAGCCGAGATCACGCCACTGCACTCCAGCCTGGACAACAGAGCGAGACTCCGTCTCTAAATAAATAAATAACCAGCATCATTAGTCCTAAAGGAAATGCAACTTAAAATGACAGTTTAATTTACATCCACTAAAATGACCATAAAGACAAAAGAACAAACAAAAAATAACAAAGGTTGGTAAGAATGTGGTCTAATTAGAACCTTCCTACATTACTCGTGGGAATATAAAATGGTGTGGCTGCTATGGAAGACAGCTTGGCGGTTCTTCAGTGGTTAAACATGGAATTACCATATGGCCTAGCAGTTTCACTCCTGGGTACACACCCAAGAGAATTGGAAACATAGGTTTATACAAAAACCTGTAGACAAATGTTCATAGCAGCATTATTTATAATAGTCAAAAAGGTAGAACAATTCAAATGTCCATCAACTGATGAATAGATAAATAAAATGTGGTACATCCATACAATGAAATATTATTCAGCCACAAAAAAGGAACAAAGTACTGATACATACTAGAACATGGATAAACCATGAAATCATTATGGTAAATGAGGGAAATCAAACATGAAAGGCTACATATTATAAGATTTCCATTTATATGAAATCTCTAGAATAGGCAAATCCATAGAGACAGAATGTAGATTAGTGACTGCAAAGGGCTCTAGAGGCACGGGAAAGGGAGTGACTGCTAACAGATATGGGGTTTCTTTGTGGCATGATGAAAATGTTCTGGAATTAGATAGTGGTGATGGTGGCACAAACTCGTCAATATACTAAAACCCACTGCACTGTACACTGTAAAATAGTGAAATGTATGGTATGCAAATTATATATCAATAAAAAAGAAGCAATTATTTATTCTCTCTATTAATTCAGTCACTTTCCAAATGAAGCAGTGACCCCACATTCCTCCCATCCTTGCTTCCAAACAGTCACTGGGCCTCCTGTATTCCTCAGATTGGTTTGTTCGTAGAGTTCTACTTCCACAGCCACTACCCAAGTCCAGATTTTCATCACCCTGCATCAGATTTACAGCCATTGCTTTCTAACTGGACTCCATTTCCATCCTAAGCCATCCCACACAACCCCCAGAATATTTGTAAAATAGGTATAAACTCTCCTTCTGCACATATATGCATTCTCCACCAGCCTAAAAACCCGTAAGGGCTCACTATGACCACATCATCACATTTAAACGTTGTCTCCTATTCAGAGGCCTCCATCTAGCATTGGATCCTCTCTTGCTTTGCAGCCTTTTTTCTTTCCCATGCAGATACACCACCTCTAAATAGCCATGCCAGTCTCCTTCATATCTTTCACATACAGCATGTCCAGTCCTGCCATTCTACTCTGACTTTTACACACATATTTTTTTCTGGAATGCTCCTCTACTTCCTTTCATCAGTCTGTGACTCCACTTTTTTTTAAGACTTTACCCAAAGTTCCCTTCCTTCAGGATGCCTTCAGGATCTGCCTTCAACAACCCCTTACCACAATAAAAGTCACAAATACTAGTTATTAAAGATCTATACCATGCTAGGTGCTATGCTAGGAGATTTAAGCATGCTGTTATTGTGTAGAGACCTGGTGAGGTAAGTAGTGTTGTTTCTATTTACAGGCAAGGAAACAAAAGCTTGGAGAAGTTAAATCATATACAAAAGGTCGTGTAGCAAGAACTGCCAAAGTTCAGATTTGAGATCATAGCTATGAGATCCTAAGTCTCCTACTCTCACTTCCTGAACTATTGCATGATACATGTACAAGAGTTTTATTTGAGAATGTTAGTTCTTCAATCTACAGAATATTTTTCAAGGGCAAAATATTGTGCCCACTGACACCAGTAAACTGTCTTGGTGACAAATAACAAAAACTATCTCTGCCTAGCAAGGAGTAAGCAGTTAACTGGATCAATACTAGAATTATTTTGAAGGCTGCAGAACCAGGCTCAGAAAACCAGATGGGCCTAGGGAATATTAGGCAAAGGAGAACATAGCCAAGGCCCTGCCCCAGGGATAATCTGCTGAGAAAGCTGCTATGACAGGACATGACTGCCCTG